>NC_000002.12:202338102-202641133 GCF_000001405.40 Homo sapiens | reverse complement strand
TGTATCTGTCTTACATGGCTAGTTTGTGAGTCTCTGGAATTCCTTGTGTGTTTTACATCTTTGTATTACACTGTTAATAACACAGAGTAGTTCAATCAAAGCTTACAGAATTTAACTTAATTAAATGTAAATTCTACTAGCCAAGACATAAAACTAATAGTTTCTACTTTGTCTCATCTTCATTGCAAAATATAGACATCACAAACCAAAAGAATTCCCTTTAGCCGGGTGTGGGTGACTCGTGCCTCTAATCCCAGCACTTTGGGGGGCTGAGGCAGGCAGATAGCTTGAGCTCAGGAGTTGGAGAGCACCCTGGGCAACATGGTGAAACCCAGTCTCTACCCAAAATACAGAAAATTAGCTGGGCATAGTGGCATGTACCTGTAGTCCCAGCTACTCGGGAAGCTAAGGCGGGAGAATTACCCGAACCCCGGAGGCAGAGGTTGCAGTGAGCCGAGATCGTGCCACTACACTCCAGCCTGGGTGACAGAGACCCAGTCTCCAAAAAAAAAAAGAATTCCCTTGAATGTGTAATGTTAGCAGCAATCCTCCAAATGTTAGAGAAACACTAAATTCTTAGAGACATATTTCATAAGGTACTAGAAAGTAGACATCAAAGATGACACAAATATAAGTTCTGGTTATCTTGCTTCTTGATTCTGCCTATTAGTCCAAAGAAGTTATCACTTTTTGCTGCCCTTGGCACTCCCCAACTCCAATAAACAAACGAATTTATACACAACTTAATACATCCAAAGGAAGGGGGAAACTAGCAAGAACACGACTTGCCATATATATATATATATATATATATATATATATATATATATATATATATTTTGTGGTGGTGGTGGTGGTTGTTGTGACGGAGTTTTGCTCTTGTTGCTCAGGCTGGAGTGCAGTGGCACAATCTCGGCTCACTGCAACCTCCACCTTCTGGGTTCAAGTGATTCTCCTGCCTCTGCCTCCCCGGTAGCTGGGATTATAGGCGCCTGCCACCACACCTGTCTAATTTTTTGTATTTTTAGTAGAGACAGGGTTTCGCCATGTTGGGCAGGCTGGTCTCGAACTCCTGACCTCAGGTCATCCACCCACCTTGGCCTCCCAAAATGCTGGGATTACAGGTATAAGCCACCGTGCCCGACCAAATTTTTTTTATTATACCACACACCCTAAGTAATTCTGATACAGATGAACCACAGACTACACTTTGAGAAACACCATTCTGGATGTTCACAGGCAATGTTATCACCAATTTGAAACTTCATACAACCATGAAAACTGAACCTACACTGGTAATTTATGTTAAATACACTAAAACTAGAAGCAAAACTAATATGATACACAACAGCTAACTTTTATACTGAGGTACTGTGCTGTTTTTCAGTTTTCCCTTATTTAATCCCTACTATCATATGAAGTAGATTTCACCACCCATTTCACAGATAAGAAAAATAACTTTCCATATCACATGGCTTCTAGTTGGCAGAACACAGGTATTAAACTCAAACTGTCTACCCAAAGTATATCCTCCTCACCTCGATGTTATACCATCTCTCCATTTGTAATCTATTTGACATTTTAATAAGTAAAATGAAGTTGGGTAAAAGGAGAGAAGGCACAAAAATAAACTTTCTGGTTAACACTGTTGCCTAGGTACCTTTTCTAAACATACCTCAGTTCCTAATGACAAACGGCTTTGCTATGGAGATGACAGTCACTGAAGGTGGGAAGTTTAAAATATCTGTCAGGGATGGGTGCTTGGATTACTTTATAGTAGTCAAGAGTAGGAAGTTCTACACCAGCCAATTAGCTCTAACCCTAGAAGAATAAAGCAACTGGATAGGGATCTTGATACCTTCAACTTAGGGACTCTGAGATACCGGATCCCTAACAAAGGTTACAGCATCCAGTTCATCTGATAAGACACCTAGAAGTCAACAGCCTGATCTAGATGGACCCTGAAATTTGAGTCCTATGAGGTTTATAGAATTATATGGGGTAGACCCTTACCCTTTACGGTAGGGATTTTTACATTCATCACAGCTGCAAACTGGTGGTAGCCTCCCTTTAATGAAAAAGGGACTCTGACGTTTACAAAGACTTTCCTTCCAGATTTAGTCAGATAAAAACAGCAAATGATTTCATCGTAGTTTTGTGTGTGTTATGAACACCTGAAATCTGAAAACACTTTGTTCTACTCTGCATGGATATTTACTAGAGTGAAACAACAATTCCTGGGAATGAAACTATGAGACATTCAAACTAGAGTATGACTTAATAACAGACAATATTTCTCACACCCAAGTGAAAGTGCTGCACTAGAAAAATAAGAGTTTTTATTTTTCTAGTTGGCGGAACACAGGTATTAAACCTGACCTCAGGTGATCCACCGCCTCGGCCTCCCAAAGTGCTGGGATTACCCCTGTGAGCCACCGCGCCTGGCCAAATTATTTTTTATTATACCACACACCCTAATTCTGATACAGATAAACCACAGACTACACTTTGAGAAATAAGAGTTTTTATTTTTCTGGATTTATTTATTTATTTATTTATTTTGATAGGGGAGCAAATGGGGATAATTTTACAGCAAATACTCTACGGGATGATCTAGGGAAGGGGAGCGTTCAAAAACCATGAAGAGAGGACATGGGAGTAGCCTGACATCCCAGGAAATAGAGCCCTCCTAGAGATCAGAGAAAAAGAGTACCTTCCTCCACACCTTGCCAATACTTAATTCAACCCAGTTCTCCTCAGGGTGTTTCTCTGAGTGTCAAACAGTTGTTAAGAGAGCCAGATTCTGTTATCAGACTACAGGCTGTGCCTCCTTCTGCCACCTCTACTGCCCACTTATAAGCCAGCTCCTTCCCTTCCACCTGATGCACTATGCTGGCTCCAGAAGGCTGAAGGACTGAAGCAGTTTTGTTCATATCTGTAAGAGTTACTTAACTAGTGGCTGGGCGCGGTAGCTCATGCCTGTAATCCCAGCACTTTGGGGAGGCCGAGGTCGGCAGGTCACCTGAGGTTGGGAGCTTGAGACCAGCCTGACGAATGTGGAGAAACCCTGTATCTACTAAAAACACAAAATTAGCCAGGCGTGGTAGCGCATGCCTGTAATCCCAGCTACTCGGGAGGCTGAGGCAGGAGCATCGCTTGAACCCGGGAGGCAGAGGTTGCAGTGAGCCAAGATTGCCCCATTGCACTCCAGCCTAGGTGACAGAGTGAGACTCCATCTTAAAAAAAAAAAAAAAAAAAAAGTTACCTAACTAAGTACATGTAATTTTGGTGTGCTATATATTTCCCACATTCTATCTTACACATCATGATGTCACTTCCTTGATATAATATAAAGACATGGTCTTTGGAGTACAACTGACCAAAGTTCAAATAAATACCAACTCTGCCACTTGTTACTTAACCTCTCTAAAAGCTATAGTGAGGGTTAAATGAGATTTTGCATAAAAACCACCTGCCAAATAGTAAGAGTTCAGTAGGTGACAGAGGTTATGAAGCAGGGAGGGGAAATCTAGTACTTTTATCACAGTTTTAGAAAAGCATTCTGCATTCTCAAAAGGTTTAAAATAGTGCTCTGGGCTGGGCAATCCTAGCACTTTGGGAGGCCAAGGCGGGCAGATCACATAAGGTCAGGAGTTCCAAACCATCCTGGCAAACATGGTGAAACCCCATCTCTACTAAAATACAAAAATTAGCCGGGCATGATGGCGGGTGCCTGTAATCCCAGCTACTCGGGAGGCTGAGATAGGAGAATCGCTTGAACCCAGGAGACCATGGTTGCAGTGAGCCGAGATCACATAACTGCACTCCAGCCTGGGCAGCTGAGCAAGACTCCGTCTCAAAAAATAAATAAAAATATAAATAAAAATAAATACATAAATAAAACAGTGCTCTGGTTCTAATTAGAAAACACTATTCGGGCCGGGCGCAGTGGCGCATGCCTGTAATCCCAGCATTCTGGGAAGCCAAGGCGGGCGTTTCACCTGAGGTCAGGAGTTCGAGACCAGCCTGGCCAACATGGTGAAACCCTGTCTCTACTAAAAATACAAAAATTAGCCGGGCATGGTGGCGGTCGCCTGTAATCCCAGCTACTCAGGAGACTGAGGCAGAATCGTTTGAACCCGGGAGTTGGAGGCTGCAGTAAGCCGAGATCGTGTAACTGCACTCCAGCCTGGGCAACAGAAACTCTGTCTCAAAAAAAGAAAATACTATTCATCATTTTCCAGGGCAATTCTCTCTAAATAAGTATTATCTAAAACTTTCATAAAATAAATAGTAAGAAAGAGTCATCCTATTCCTTCCATTTCGGAAACTATTTCATCTGAATTTGTTTCCTGAAATTCCCAACCATTCTGCCTGGAAAATTCTAACAGAAGTTCCCCAGACAAGGAAAGACAAAGATATATGTTGACAAAAATGAATACGTAAGTAAAAACCACCCATTTCTTTCCTTAAGGCAACAAGATTATAAATTTTATTCCTTTCCACTTCCCACAATTTGAATTTCTCTTTTGAGTTACTCTTTATGAATGACTCCATTGGCACCCAACAGCTCCATTCAGGACCTTCCCCAAGAAAGCTTCCAGGTAAACAGAAAAACAACGAATGTTAGCTCCCTAAAACAATAACAAGATGGAGACAAAACACTGGATTCTGTTTTTCTACATTCAAAACACAGAATCAGTACACAAAATCAGAAATACACCCAGAGCCTCAGACAAAACCCATAAACCTTCCTAAGGAATCTTGTTTAATTTTCACTTCTTGCTACCCATTTATCAAGTCTTAGGAAATGCTAAAACACGGTTCTCAGCCTCCTCTGTTCAGTGATCCAAATCTGCCACTGCTAATGCATTCAGTACCCCAGATCTGAAACTGTTTTGTGAACAGAAATACTTAGCAGCAGCAGATATGGGCTATGCCAACATTAACCTTGTCCCTAAAACAAAGTGACAAACCACTCCTAGCCTCACCCTCAAGGGAGGGTAAGCAGTAACGACTCCTCCAGGAGTAAGGCCAGGAAGCCAGGTTTATCATTAACACTCATCAGCTCAAGCCCAAGGTTTAGCCGCTGCACCTCCACCACCAGGGAGCCGTGCGGGGCGGGCAGAGGGGTGAATGAGGCGGGCGGGCGGGCGGGGCGTAGGGTAGGCCCGGGAAAGGCGGGGCCGCACTGCCGGGTCCCCCACCGCCCGGCACCGCCCCCAGCCCCGCCCCCAGCCACCCGGGCTCCGCGGCAGCTCTGCAGTCCCCGCGCGATTGCAGCGCGCGCCCGGGACCCCTTCCCGCAGCCGCCTCCCCCTTGCTGCGCGACCCCCAGCACTTACCTGCTTTGCAAACCGGGGCGCTGGGGCTCCTCTTCTCCGGCGAGCTTCGGCTCTGCTCCGGAGACCTCCTCCGATGCCGGACGCGGGCTGGGGGTGGGGCCGCGCTCACCTCGCCGGTCCACAGGTGGGTGGGCGACGAGCTGGGCGACGACACGGTGCCCAGCAGCGGCGGCGGCGGCGGCGGCCGTGGGGGGCTCCCGCGAGCTCCAGGCGCGGCGCTGCGCGTGGGGCTGGTGCCTCGCGTGGACGTCGCGGACGCGCCCGTCTGCGTGGCCACCGTGGGGCTGGTGCGCGCGGCCGCGTTCCCGCCGCCGCGCGTGGGGCTGGTGCTGCGCGAGGCGGTGCGCGGGCCACCGCCGCCGCCGCCGCCTGCGGGGCCTGAGGCGCCACCACAGCAGCCACCGTTGTTGTTGCCGCCGCCGCCGCCGCCGCTCCGCGTGGGGCTGCCATGTTGCTGCTGCTGCTGCTGCTTCAGCTGGAACGGAACCGTCGCCCTCATGGGCTGCAAGCGGCTCCCGGGTCCCCCGGCCGTGGCCACCGCACCACCCCCAAGGGAGCCGGCCGGCGTGGGGGACCCATTGCGCCTCACCCGCTGGGACATGGTCCCCCCCCTCCCCGGTGACTGGGCGAGACGGGGGGTTTTGTTGTTGTTGGGCTGCAGGGGGAGGATTCTCGAGGCCGGAGGGCAGGCCCCCCAAGACGGGGTGACGAAGCCGGACTCCGGGGTGCAGGGGGAGACCGGGCCGGGGCAGGCAGCAACGAGGTGGTGCAGCCGCCGCCGCCGCCGCCGCCGCTCCTCATCAACAATAGTGTCTCCTCTGCTGCCCCCGCCCCCCACGATCGCCCATTGGTGCAGCGTCAGCCGCGCTCGAGCCGCTCCACTGCTCCCATTGGCTACGAGCAGCTCGGGTCCCGGGCCCCCGAGGCCTTGAGAGCCTGGGTGTGCGCGGAGACCGTCTGCTCTTTAAAGAGAAAGAGACCCGCCCCCCGCGGGGAGGGAGCGGAGGAAATGGGCCCTGTGTGTATGTGTAGTGTGCGCGCGTGTGTGTGTACACGTGAGTGCCCGTGTACGCGCGCGCCTAGCCACGCGCGCCTTTCCTTTCCCGCCGGGGGGAGCCCTGGGGACTCAGACTCTGGAAGGTTGCCAAAGGAAATGTCCAGACCCGGAGCAGTTCCCAGGGATGGTCTGAAGCCTTTTCCGCATAACTCATTTCCTTACCCCAGTGTTCACTTGTGTTCACCTGTACGCGCATCTCGTTCGGGCTTTTATTCTTAATGTTTTTGTTCTGCCCTAATTCCATCTACCTATGGGCAGGGCTCAAAAGGAGAAGAAATTTAACTAATCTTACTGGCATTTTACGCCCCTCTCCTTTTATTTTTTAGAGCTCTACAAAGAGGCAAATCTCAGAAAGATTAAACTTGCCTGTTAGAATGCGATTTTAGATAGTATCTATAGAGTTCAGTTACCACATGTTATTCCTACCCTCCTGTATCTCAAGTAATCAAGACTATTTTAATCAGCTGCTTCGCTGTTCCCTGATACCTTGGAAGGATGGCTGCTACCTTACCAGTTTGTAAAGTGCTATAGTTTACAGAGGGCCTTATTTGATTCTACACGATCATTGTTTGAGACAGAACTGGGACAGCCATCCATATTTTTGTCTAGCGGAGGAAACAAGTCTTTGGTGTGGCAAAGACTCGGGAAGGCAGGCAGTGACACTATTTCTAAAATGACCTAAAGGGCTCCTCATCAAGAAAATAAAAAATGGTGGAGCCAAAACCTACACTCCCACCTGTCTGGCTATAAATTGCCTATCCATGACCTCTTTTCCCTCTACTATTTTTATTAGTTGTACATGCTAGACAGATTTCGTCGTGTAAAAATGTGGGAGTGGAGGGCATAGTATGATTCACTCTGGACCTGAAATCCTACTGGGTCCCTTTGCGCGGTGGTGGAAGGCCTTTTTTTTTTTTTTTTGAGAAGAAGTCTCTCTCTGTCACCTAGGCTGGAGTGCAGTGGCGGAGTGCACTGGCTCGAATCTCGGCTCAGTGCAACCTCCGCCTCCCGCGTTCAAGCAATTCTCCTGCCTCCGCCTCCCAAGTAGCTGGGATTACAGGCGCGTGCCGCCACGCCCCGTAATTTTTCTGTTTTTAGTAAAGAGGCGGTTTCACCATGTTGGCCAGGGTGGTCTTGATCTCTTGATCTCATGATCCGCCCACCTCGGCCTCCAAAAATGCTGGAATTACAGGCGTGAGGTGGAAGGCTTTTAAAGACCTAGAGAGGAGGCCGGGTGTGGTGGCTCATGCCTGTAATCCCAGCACTTTGAGAGGCTGAGGCGGGCGGATCACCTGAGGTCGGGAGTTCGAGACCAGCTTGACCAACATGGAGGAAACCCCGTCTCTACTAAAAATACAAAATTAGCCGGGCGTGGTGGCACATGCCTGTAATCTCAGCTACTCGGGAGGCTGAGGCAGGAGAATCGCTTGAACCCGGGAGGCAGAGGTTGGAAGGAGCCGAGATCGTTCCATTGCACTCCAGCCTGGGCAACAAGAGCGAAACTCTGTCTTAAAAAAAAAAAAAATTAAAAAAAAAAGACCTAGAGAGGAAATTAAAATCCCATGACCACCACTTACTCTGTGACCTTGAGTGGATCACTAGCCAGTCTCCTTATCTGTAAAATGCAGTTAAACAGTACCATGTGCTTCATACTGTTGTTATGATTATTAACCAAGGATGATATGAGAATGTGGTGTGTAGAAGATGGTCAGCACTTCCAGAGTCTCCATGTGATTCAGAGACCCACATCTCTCCTTACCATCCATTCCCCTTTCTCCTCCTCTCTCCCCCTCCACAGAGAAAGCCCCAGCCCCTTAGCCCAGGAACCTGCCTTAAGTTGGCTGGTGCTCTGGATAGATCTGACGTCACTATCTGGCCCCTACAGCCTGGTGTGAGGCCAAAAACAGCTTCTCACTGGATAGGAACATACAGGAAACTGCCAGCAGGATCCATGCAAAGAGCCAAGTCTGGTCTGAAAAGCATGGATAGACAAGATATGCCTTTAAATAAGGATGTAATCCCAGCACTTTGGGAGGCCAAGGCAGATCACTTGAGGTCAGGTGTTCGAGATCAGCCTGGCCAACATGGCGAAACCCTGTCTCTACTAAAAATACAAAATTAGCCAGGCATGATGGCACATGCCTATAATCCCAGCTACTCAGGAGGCTGAGGCAAGAGAATAGCTTGAAACCCGGAAGTCAGAGGCTGCAGTGAACGGAGATCTCGCCACTGCACTGCAGCCTGGACGACAGAGCCAGACTCTGAAATAAATAACTCATGGAGGCTGTATGTGGTATGTGGTATTTTGTCTTGCACAAAGTAGGACCTCAATACATATTTACTGAATTAATCCAAAGGAAGTCCTGCAGCCCTGGTGTCCTTAGCTTCCTGATCAATTGATTTGGATATCACCAAACTAGAGACATCTTTGTTGGTGGCAAGAGGCTTTTAGCTTGCCTGAGCTGAAGAACTGATTTCAGCAGATCTTATTAGATTTCATTAAATCAACTGATTTCACTAGATCAAAGAGCTTAAAAAAATGTCCTTGGCTCAGTCATGAGATCTGATGGAGCCATTTCGCCTTTTGCTTCTAGTTATGTTTCCTACAGAAACTCAAACCTACAGTTCCAGGAAATTTGTTTTCATCTTATTTGATAGCTTACCTCACTCATCAGTGTAGGGCTTAACTTTAAACAAATGAGAGCACTTCAATTAAAGCAGGTAATTAACCACTTCAGCACCCTTTGTACTAAAGGATATTTGTGATGACTTGTAAATCAAAGCTTTGAAACCATGAAATTTGGCAGGGCACTGTGGCTCATGCCTGTGATCCCAGCACCTTGGAAGGCCAAGGCCGGGGGATCATTGAGCTCAGGGGTTCAAGACCAGCCTGGCCAACAAGGTGAAACCACGTATCTACAAAAATTAGCTGGTGCATGCCTGTAGTCCCAGCTATTTGGGAGGCTGAGGTAGGAGGATCGCTTGAGCCCAGGAGGCAGAGGTTGCAGTGAGCCAAGATCATGCCACTGTACTCCAGCTTGGGAGACAGAGTGAGACACTGTTTCAAAAAAATAAAAATAATTTTTAAAAAAGTATTAAATTATTAAAGAATGCTAAAAAAGAAGAGAAAAACTTGCTTCGATAACTTAGAGCTCTTCAGTCTGTTTTTAAGATTTAATGGCAATGAATAAAAGCATCATTTACTCTTGACTTCATTATCTATTGTTGAAGATTCAAAGAAAACAATGTGCATCAAGGTGATGTATTGGTTTTTAGTTTGCTGGTTTATCTACAAAGAGAGTCCTTGTATTTCAAGGATCAACAAAATAAACGTATCTCCCTCTAGTTTAACCCTGCTCTTCTTAGGATATAATTCAAATTTTCTCATTTTCTCTCCGAGGTTGAAACGTGACTACATAAAATTGTAGACAAAAAGCAACATATTGGAATTGGTTTGTCTGTATTTAAACTTCAAAAGACAAAATTATTGATAGGCTCATTTGCTCCTGTGCTTGCTTAACTCTACAATGATCCTGCTGTGGTAAAAGAAGATGGGTTTTATGAAAAAGTTTATTGTCCTGTAGTGGTTTCTTTTCTTCCTTTAGTTATTCTAGAATCAGCTGTATCCACTTACAGACCTCTAAAATGTCATTGAAGGAACATTATACAGCCATCAAAATGGTAATTATGAAATCACAAATTCCTTTCACTTTAAATGAAAAAAATCAAAAGTATGCATCCATTGTAATTATAATAATTAATCGTATAAAAGGCATACACCTTTTATAAAATACTGACATGAAAATAGAGGCCTGAGGACAGGCACAGTGCCTATAGTCCCAGCACTTTGGAAGGCCTAGGTGGGCAGATGCCTTGAGCCCAGGAGTTCAAGACCAGCCTGGGCAACATGGCAAAACCCTATCTCTACAAAAAATTTTAAAATTAGCTGTACATGGTAGTGCATACCTGTAGTATCAGCTACTCGGGAGGCTGAGATGGGAGCATCACCTGAACCTGGGAGGTCAAGGCTGCAGTGAGCCGTGAACACACCACTGCACTCCAGCCTGGGTGACAGAGTGAGACCCTGCCTCAAAAAAGAAAGAAAATAAAGCCAGGCACAGTGGTTCACACTTGTAATCCCAGCACTTTGGGAGGCCGAGTTGGGAGGATTGCTTGAGCCCAAGAGTTTGAGACCAGCCTGAGTAACATAACAAGACTCCATCTCTACAGAAACTTTTAAAATTAGGGCCTGGTGCAATGGCTCACACCTGTAATCCCAGCACTTTGAGAGACCAAGGCAAATGGATCACTTGAGGCCAGGAGTTTGAGACCAGCCTGGCCAACATGGCAAAACTCCCTCTCTACTAAAAATACAAAAATTAGCCAAGCATGGTGGCGCACACCTGTAATCCCAGCTACTCGGAAGGCTGAGGCACGAGAATCGCTTGAACTCAGGAGGTAGAGGTTGCAGTGAGCTGAGATCATACCACGGCACTCCAGCTTGGGCAACAGAGTGAGACTCTGTCACCCAGAAAAAAAAAATACATACATATATATATACACACACACACATATATATATACACATATGTTTTAGCCAGGTGTGGTGACACGCACCTGTAGTCCTAGCTCCTTAGGAGGCTGAGGTGGAAGGATCCTCTGAGCCCAGGAGTTTGAGGGTGTAGTGAGCCATGATTGCACCACTGCACTCCAGCCTGGGTGACAGAGTGAGACCTTGTATCTAAAAACAAAAAAAGAGGTTTTTCCCCAAGAAATGTTGATACATGATTTCCTAATTAAAAGGAGAATTGTAAGAACTTGAACTCCTGAGTGATATTCTGTATGTAAAATCTGACTGTTACTTCACTGAAATTTGTCTTAGGCCAAATGTGTGTCCATAGCACTACATATTTCCAGCTGTCCTTCTTATCTCTGTGACTGCCTTGGTCACTTTTGCTGGCTCCTTCTCATTCTGACCCTTGAAAAGTAAGAGTGCCTGAGAACCTCATCTAAGCCTTTCACTTCCTAGACTGGCAGCTGCATTTGTGCCCAGAATTCCACTGACCATCACACTGCCATCTCTTCAACTGCCTGCTTGGCATCTCTTCTCCTATATCTCACAGGTACCACAAACCTTGTCCACAAATAAAATTCATCATCTCTTCACCACCACCAACTGACTCTTCTTGCAGTCTTCCCTATCTCAGTCAGTGGTACCACCATCTTCTAAGTAGTCTAAATCAAAACCCTAGAAGTCATCTTGGCTCTCCCCCTTCCTTGGGGTAAGGCCAGTGAATCACTGTGTTTTAACTACTCTTGTTCCTAAATCGCTCATGAATCTACTACTATTCTCCAGGCATACCATCCCTTCTAGCCAAGCCTCTATCTTCTCTGGCCTGCACTCTTACTCTTACTTAGCCAGTCTCTCTAGATCATCTCTGCCCCACCCTACTTCTCCAAGCTCCCAATTCCCCACACATCTATATAGTGGTATCTTAAAACCACAAATGTAATCACCTCACTACACAGCCTAAAGCTTACCATCCTTTCTTAGGACCAATCTCCCAGTCCTGAGGCTTCCCATAACTTCCATGGGCCCACCTCTGACCTCTGTTCCTCTCTAGGCTCCCGCCATTCTGCTCCTCTTTCATTTCCCCCAAAAACAATACTCTCATCCTAATTCCTTCACACATGTTAGTTCTTCTCCTTGGAACACGTCTCACTCTTGTCACGTGGCCAACTTCTCAGTTTTTAGATGGAGGAGGCCTGGGTTGTCATACCCACCCACCCCACTTAAGTTAGTTTCCCTGGGTTTACAGTAACATCATACTTCCCTGTTATAGTCATCATAACATGATTATTTGTTCAATATCTGTATTTCCTTCTCAGTGTTAACCTCCATAAGAGCTTATTTGTTCACTCAACAAATATTCATTGACTGCCTTCTATGTGCAGAGCACTGTGATGGCTTTACAGTGGTGAGCAAACCCACAAGCTCCTTGTCCTCATGGAGTTAACATCTGCTGGAGACAGTGAGCAAGTAAATAAAACATGCATGGGTGCAGACACATATAACTACACATGTAAATAGATTACAATTTGCAAAATTCTGTAAAAAAAACACAGTGCCATCGAAGAGAACAATAGTAGAGATCTAGCTAAGCTAGGTGACAAGTCCTTTCTGAAGTTAAGATGGGACCTAAAAGATAAGAATGAGCCAGCCGGGTGTGGTGGCTCACCCCTGTAATCCCAGCACTTTGGGAGGCCGAGGCAGGCGGATCATGAGGTCAGGAATTCAAGACCAGCCTGACCAACATGGTGAAACCCCGTCTCTACTAAAAATACAAAAATTAGCCCGGTGTGGTGGCATGCACCTGTAGTCCCAGCTACTCAGGAGGCTGAGACGGGAGAATTGCTTGAACTAGAGAGGCAAAGGTTGCAATGAGCCGAGATCGTGCCACTGCACTCACTCCAGCCTGGGCAAGAGAGTGAGACTCCGTCTCAAAAAACAAACAAACAAACAAACAAACAAACAAAAAACAATAAGCCATCATGGAAAGAACATTTTAAACAGGAAATAGCTGCATAGAGCCTGAGAAAGGAAACAGCTCTCTTTGTTTAAGGAACCAGAGGAAGGGCAGCATCAGCAAAGGTGAGAGTAGTTCAGAGATAAGATGGGAGAGGTAAAGGCTAGATGATGCAGAGATTTTGAGACCCTGGTAAGGGATTCAGATTTTATTCTAAGTACAATAATGTATTTTGAATAGAGCTGAGCTCATTCATTGCCTCCATCAGCACAAGGTCTCACTCAAAAGAAACAACAGACACCTGTTAAAGTAGGACTGAAAGGCTATCTAATATGTACTGAAATCTATGAAATAAGCATGATATTTGACATATAACAAAACGTTATGAAAGGGGAATTTATTTGCATGAGTCTCAATAGACACGATAAAAAAACTTGATCTCTGTCTCCAAGTTCTACTCATCACAACACAGCAACAGTCTCCAGTCCCTCGTCTCTCTAAAAATAGGCCAGACCTGGGCCTGGCTCTTCTTTCTTTGGCCTCATTCTCTCACCTCCTAGGCTTCATTCTTGCTTCTTGAATAGCTCCCTGCCTTTGCTAAACTAAAGTATATCAATCTGTTCCTTCTGACCTCACTATTTCTGCATCTCTAATTAATTTATCCTGAGTAGCACAACAGAAGCTCCAGAACCCAGAGGAAGAATCTTCTCAGGAAGGTTTGGGAATTAAAGTTTGCTGCTGTTGCTGTTGTTTTCACGCTGAGAATCAACTCCACTCTGGCTACTGTATGGAGAATGGCTTGTAGGAGATCAGGAAGTAATGAAAATCGTAAGAAGCCTATTGCAAAGAAGTCTGAGCAAGGGGGATTTCAGAGACAGAAAAAGTGGATGGATTCACTAGAAGACCTACCTTCTAGGTAGAGTTAACTCGTCTTGCAGGTGATAGGAAGTATGGGAGGTCTCTTGGGGAAGTCCCCCAGATTTCTGGCTTGAAAATCGTGGTAGATGGTGGTGTGTTTATAGAGAAGGGGAAGAGTGGAGGAAGGAAAAGCCATGGTACTGAAATCAGTTTAGGTTTGTACATACTAGGTTTGAGTTTCTAATGAATTATTTAAAATAAATGTTGAGGCCAGGTGCTGTAATCCCAGCACTTTGGGAGGCCGAGACAGGCATATCACTTGAGGTCAGGAGTCTGAGACCAGCCTGGCCAATATGGCAAAACCCCCGTCTCTACTAAAAATACAAAAATTAGCCAGGCACCAAGGCGGGTGCCTGTAATCCCAGCTACTCCAGAGGCTGAGGCAGGAGAATCACTTGAACCCGGAAGGGGGTGCAGTGAGCCGAGACTGCACTATTGCACTCCAGCCTGGGTGAGAGAGCAAGACTCTGTCTCAAAAAATAAATAAATAGGCCGGACACAGTGGCTCATGCCTATAATCCCAGCAGTTTGGGAGGCCAAGGCAGGCAGGTTGCCTGAGATCAGGAGTTCGAGAGCAGCCTGGCTAACATAGTGAAACCCCGTTTCTGCTAAAAATACAAAAATTAGCCAGGTGTGGTGGTGTGCGCCTGTAGTCCCAGCTACTCTGGAGGCTGAGGCAGGAGAATCGCTTGAACCCGGGAGGTGGAGGTTGCAGTGAGCCGAGATCACGCCACTGCACTCTAGCCTGGACAACAGAGCAAGACTCCATCCCCAAACAAAAAAATAAATAAATAAAATATATGTTGGATATATAAAACTCAGTTTCAGAGAAGTCAGACCATGAGGTTTCAGCACATAGACATTATTTGCACCCGTGTGACACATGAGGCTACCTAGGGATTTACCATTACTTCTCTGCCTTACCACAGTGCCTGGTACACACTAAGTGCTCAAAAAAATTACAATTTAAGATCCTGTCTGTCTTGTCCACCTTTGTATCTTTATGCCTAGCAGAGGCTGGCATATGGCAGATACCCAATAATTTCCTGCTAAAGAAATGAATGATTTAGCAACTATACCATTCACAGTAGCAAACAAAACAAAACAAAACAAAACAAAACAAAAAACCTACTGATTTCAAACCCATGATTTTAGACTCCAAAGCCAATTTGGTTTCACCATATGATGGTACTCTAGTTCAGCAGACTGTCTCAAAAATCTAATAAAAAAGACAGGCATATGGTATCTTCATGATATAAATGAGGAAACTAAAGAGGTTAAATGGCTTCCTAAAATTAGAACTGGGGTCTTTCGACTCTTATTCCAGCATCCTTTCACCACAGTAGGGTAGTGACTTTCTTTTTTTTTTTTTTTTCCCAAGAGACTCTCGAGACAGGATCTTGCCCTGTCACCCAGGCTGGAGTACAGTGGCGTGATCGCAGCTCACTGCAGCCTTGAACTTCCAGGCTCAGGTGATTCTCCCACCTCAGCCTCCCAAGTAGCTGGGACTACAGATGCATGCCACCACGCCTGGCTAATTTTTGTATTTTTAGTAGAGATGGGGTTTCTACATGTTGCCAAGGCTGGTCTTGAACTCCTGGGCTCAAGCGATCCACCCGCCTTGGCTTCCCAAAGTGCTGGGATTACAGGCATGAGCCACCATGCCCAGTCAGGATGATTTTCAACAGACCAGCAGCTGCCCAAGATATTTTGTACCTACCATCTAACATGCTGGGAAGAAGAGAAAAGGGAAGAAGAAGGAGAATGAAAGAAATTATGTTTGGAATTGGTGAATATTACCACTTAAAACAATCTACTTTTCTGCCATGCTTCAATATTCCGTCAAGATTCGACTTAGGACCAGGCTCAATGGTGCATGCCTATAATCCCAGCTAATTGGGAGGCTGAGGTAGAAGGATCGCTTGAGCCCAGGAGTTGGAGACCAGACTGGGCAACATAATGAGACCCTGTCTCAAAAAGAAAAAAAAAAGAAAAAGTTTCAACTCAAATATCAACTGTCATAGGGCGTTTTCTGGTTCTTAAAAGGACAGTATTGCTCCTTCCTCTTTTGGTTTATTGATCCTTCCTCTTTTGGTTTATTGACATTGTACTTTCAGAGATATGGTTTCCACTATACCAGCAGTTCTTGTATCTTTTCAGAAACTCTTCAATCTATGTATTAAAATATATGTTAATTGAGGCTGGGCACAGTGGCTTACACCTGTAATCCCAGCACTTTGGGAGGCTGAGGTGGGCAGATCACTTGAGGCCAGAAGTTTGAGACCAGCCTGGCCAATGTGGCGAAACCTTGTCTCGCCACTAAAAATACAATAATTAGCTGGGCGTGGTGGCACGTGCCTGTAATCCTAGCTACTCAGGAGGCCGAGGCACAAGAATCACTTGAACCCAGGATGGGAAGGTTGCAGTGAGCCAAGATTGAACCACTGCACTCCAGCCTGGTAACAGAGTGAGATTCTGTCTCAAAAAAGTATGCTAATTAAACAAAAACATGATATAGAACAGTGTATACTACCAATAGCCTTTTCTTTCTTTTTTTTTTTTTTTTTTTTTTTGAGACAGAGTTTTGCTCTTGTTGCCCAGGCTGGAGTGCAATGGCGCGATCTTGGCTCACCGCAACTTCCGCCTCCTGGGTTCAAGCGATTCTCCTGCCTCAGCCTCCCGAGTAGCTGGGATTACAGGCATGCACCACCATGCCTGGCTAATTTTGTATTTTTAGTAGAGACGGGGTTTCTCCATGTTGGTCAGGCTGGCCTCGAACTCCCGACCTCAGGTGATCCACCTGCTTCGGCCTCCCAAAGTGCTGGGGTTACAGGCATGAGCCACCGCACCTGGCCGGCCTTTGCTTTTTAAAGACTTTAGTTATATGCATAGTTATATGCACATGCATAGAATATCTGGAGGTTCTCCCAAGAAACTGGCCTCTGAAAAGGGGAACTGGGAGGGGTAGAGAAAGGAAGAACATGTCCTTTTGTATACACCCTCTTTGTACTATTTGAAGTTTTAAAAGCAATGTTTATGTATTCATTTTAGCCCCTGAAGAAAGATCTAATGTAAAAAAAGTAATCTCAGAAAACAAGGTTATTTTGGTGAGCATTACAATTTGAAATTAGGGTTTATAAATGATAGTTTCAGTATCCAAAATATTTCTGTATTTTGTTTGGGTTGAGCAATATTGAGAAAATCCTTATTAATACAGAGAAGTAATTGCAAATGGCAACAGTGTTTTTTTGTTTTGTTTTGTTTTGTTTTGTTTTTTGTTTTTTGAGATGGAGTTTTGCTCTTGTTGCCCAGGCTGGAGTGCAATGGCGCGATCTCGGTGCCCCCAAAACCTCTGCCTCCGGGGTTCAAGCGAGTCTCCTGCCTCAGCCTCCCAAGTAGCTGGGATTACAGGCATGCGCCACCATGCCCGGCTAATTTTTAGTGGAGACAGGGTTTCTCCATGTTGATCAGGCTGGTCTCAAACTCCCAATCTTAGGTGATCCACCTGCCTTGGCCTCCCAAAGTGTTGGGAATACAGGCATGGGCCACACGCGTGGCCAACGGTGTGCTTTTAATTGCTCTGCAACTAGGCAGATTCAGACTTGAAATAGGAGCAATGGAAAATACTGGAAAAAATAATAATAAAGAGGAGATCAAATGGAGATATAGATGCTACAAGAATGGCAGAATATGGATAATTGTTGAAGCAGGGTGACAAGTATAGGGTGGTTCCTTATTCTATTGTTACTTTGTATCTATTTCAGCAGCCATGATAAATGTTTTAAAAATTGGTTCACAAAAACAGACAACTGCTCACATGCTTTCTTACAAAATTCAGGCAAACACTGAAAATGTATAAAGCTCTAAATTGAAGAATCTGCAAAACCCTATCTACCTTACCTGACATGTTATCCATGTATTTGTTATTGTACATAAGAATGTACATCAAACTGATGAATTTTGCTAGATGTTTAATTGTGCTCAGCACACAGAAGCTGTGGTTGTGTAGTTACCTGGAGATTTTTCTCTAAGGAGACATATGCAGACCTGGATTTTAAAAAGAACAGTTTAGCTGGCTGGTTAGTTCAGTTGGTTAGAGTGTAGCGCTAATGAAATAGACCAGGCTGGGTATGGTGGCTCACGCCTGTAATCCCAGCACTTTGGGAGGCCAAGGCTGGCGGATCACAAGGTCAGGAGATCGAGACCATCCTGGCTAACACGGTGAAACCCTGTCTCTACTAAAAATACAAAAAATTAGCCAGGCATGGTGGTGGGCACCTGTAGTCCCAGCTACTCGGGAGGCTGAAGCAGGAGAATGGCATGAACCCGGGAGGCGGAGCTTGCAGTGAGCCGAGATTCTGCCACTGCACTCCAGCCTGGTGACAGAGCCAGACTCCATCTCAAAAAGAAAAAAAAAAGAAAAGAAAAGAAAAGAAACAAACCAATGTAAAGCTACGACCTTTTTAAGTAATGACACGTTTACAATAAATTCAAATATATGCTCTAAAGTGACAGGAAAAATTTAACACTGAAGTCTACATAAAGAAAATATTGGCCAGGCGCAGTGGCTCATGCCTGTAATCCCAGCACTTTCGGAGGCCGAGGCAGGTAAATCACAAGGTCAAGAGATCAAGACCATCCTGGCCAACATGGTGAAACCCTGTCTCTACTGAAAATACAAAAATTAGCTGGGCATGGTGGCGCGCACCTGTAGTCCCAGCTACTCCAGAGGCTGAGGCAGGAGAATTGCTTGAACCAAGGAGGCAGAGGTTGCAGTGAGCCAAGATCGCGCCACTGCACTCCAGCCTGGCAACAGAGTGAGAATCCATCTAAAAACAAACAAACAAACAAAAAAAAAAAACCAAACACTGTCAGCAGATATTAACTAGTAGTGGCCCTGGTATATTAAAATTTATTATATTGGCCATGCATGGTGGCTCACACCTATAATCCCAGCACTTTGGGAAGCCAAGAGGCAGGTGGATCACTTAAACCCAGGAGTTTGAGACCAGCCTGGACAACATGGTGAAACCCAGTCTCTACTAAAAATACAAAAATTAGCCAGATGTGGTGGTGCATGTCTGTAATCCCAGCTACTCGGGAGGCTGAGGCAGGAGAATCGCTTGAACCCAGGAGGCGGAGGTTGCAGTGAGCTGAGATTACTCCACTGCACTCCAGCCTGGGCAACAGAGTAAGTGAGACTCTGTCTTGAAAAAATAAATAAATAAAATAAAATAAAATTTATTATATTAAATTAATTGAATTTTATTATTGGTTTTTAAATATTTAAAATATGTTTTGGGCCAGGCACGGTGGCTCAGGCCTACAATCTCAGCACTTTGGGAGGCCAAGGCAAGAGGATCGCTTGAGCTCAGGAGTTGGAGACCAGCCCGAGCAACAGAGCAAGACCTCATCTCTACAAAAAATCAAAAAATTAGCCAGGCAGGGTGGTGCACACCTGTAGTACCAGCTACTCAGAAGGCTGAAACAAGAGGATTCTTTTAGCCCAGGAGACAGAGGCTGCAGGAGCCATGATCACACCACTGCACTCCAGCCTGGGCGACAGACCAAGACACTGTCTCAGGAAAAGCAAAATATGTTTTGAAAATGAAATTCAGATCAAAACATATACTGCACCCCTGAAACACAGAGTACTTTAAAAACTGTTCCACTGGAGTGTGATAAAATTGAAGGCAGAAAATATATTTTATTCATGTCTGTCTCTCTAATACCCAAGACAATAGTTTGATGAATGAATATTGTTAACAGAAGCTATGGAAAAATTGATTTATAAGTCCAAAGTAATCATATTAGAAATTCATCTGTGTTGATTTTTTTCTGAGTACACGAAGTCCATTCTCACCTAAACAATTCAATATAAAAATTATTAAATTAGAAAACAAAATTCCACAATTCCCCCAACCTTTCATTTTTCTATGTATAATGTAATATACATTTATAAGACTTTTTTTTACTTAAAAAAATAGGATCGGCCAGGCACGGGGACTCACGCCTGTAATCCTAGCACTTTGGGAGGCCAAGGCGGGCGGATCACCTGAGGTCAGGAGTTCAAGACCAGCCTCAACATGGAGAAACCCCTTCTCTACTAAAAATACAAAATTAGCCAGGCATGGTGGTGCATGCCTGTAATCCCAGCTACTCAGGAGGCTGAGGCAGGAGAATTGCTTGAACCTAGGAGGCAGAGGTTGCGGTGAGCCAAGATCGTGCCATTGCACTCCAGCCTGGGCAACAAGAGCGAAACTCTGTCTCAAAAAAAAAAAAAAAAAAAAAAAAGGATCACATTATGGGTATAATTTTTGAAACCTGTATTTTTTTTTCCCTTAAACATATATCTAGGACATATTTTGACTCAGTAGACATCTAGAGTCTATCTCATTCCCTTTAAAGAATACATAGTATTCTATCATTTGGCAGTACCATAATTTAACCAGTCTCCTGCTAATGGACACACCATTACATACAACGGTCTATGATACTTTTACACTTATATCTTTTCACTCTTGAGAGAATATTTTAAATTTTAATGTTGTATAAAAGCAATCTACATACACAGTTTAAACAAATACTATTAGAAGGATGATTTTTTTGTTTTGGTTTGGTGTTTTTTGAGACAGAGTCTCGCTTTGTCACCCAGACTGGAGTGCAGTGACTTGATTTTGGCTCACTGCAATCTCCACCTCCTGGGTTCAAGCGATTCTCCTGCCTCAGCCTCCCGAGTAGCTGGGATTACAGGTGCACACCATCACGCTCGGCTAACTTTTGTATTTTTAGTAGAGACAGGGTTTCACTATGTTGGTCAGGCTAGTCTCGAACTCCTGACCTCAGGCAATCTGCCTGCCTCGCCTCCCAAAGTGCCGGGATTACAGGGGCGAGCCACCACGCCAGGCCAGGGATGATTTTTTACAGTAGTCATTTGCTTATTTTCATTGCCCTTCCCAAAACCTCAAAAGAATTGTTAAATCTCTCTGAAAGTGATAGTGGTTTGTTTTTTCCCTTAAAGGCAACCAAATGGAACCTTCTTTTCTCCTGCTCTGTCTGAACTCGATTATGTTCTAGGACTTCTGTATAGCTATCCTATGATTTCCTGGCATTTCCCTACACTTGTCTGTGCATGTATCCCACGTTCCCTCAACCCAGGGTCTTCCTTTTTTATTTGCTTGTTTATTCCTTTGTTTTATAATTGCTTCCTAAGAAAGAGCATATAGAAGATTAATTTTTTATAAAAATAACCAGCAGGATTGAAGCTGCACCTTCGAATTTGCAATTCAACATGAAAAATCTCCTCAGGGCTGGTAAAAAGAGGCCTTAACCTCTGTCTTTAGATTTACAGTCTAATGCTTGCTCAGCCATTTTACCCGCTCCCCCGACCTATGTTCATCAATCGTTGATTGTTTTCAACTAACCACAAAGTCACCGGAACACTATACCTGCTATTCGGCGCAAGAGCGGAGATAATAGGCACCGCCTTAAGCTTCCTAATTCAAGCAGGACTAGACCAACCAGAAACTCTACTAGGAGATGATCAGATGTACAATGTTATTGTTACTGCCCACGCGTTCGTTTTCATCTTCTTTATGGTGATACCAATCATAATTGGGGGTTTCGGGAACTGGCTAGTCCCTCTGATAACTGGTGCACCCGATATGGCATTCCCCCGGATAAATAATATGAGCTTCTGACTTCTCCCTCTATCTTTTCTGCTCCCTACTTGCATCCTCAATAGTAGAAGCCGGCGCTGGAACCGGCTGGACGGTTTATCCCCCTTTAAGAGGAAACCTAGCACATGCAGGAGCCTCTGTGGACCTGACCATCTTCTCGCTCCACTTGGCAGGTGCCTCTTCTATTTTAGGAGCCATTAACTTTATTACCACTATTATTAACATAAAACCCCCAGCTATGTCCCAGTATCAAACACCCCTTTTCGTCTGATCAGTCCTCATTATGGCAGTCCTTCTACTCCTTTCTCTTCCAGTCCTAGCCGCCGGGATTACTATACTATTAACTGACCGTAACCTCAACACTAATTTTTTTGAGCCTGCTGGCGGGGGTGACCCTATCTTGTACCAGCATTTATTCTGGTATAAAACTACCTTCCACCCCTACCGTATAACCAAAGATATTTTAGGTTTAATTTTTCTCCTCCTCCTTCTAATAACTCTAGTACTATTTTCACCTGACCTCCTGGGCGACCCAGGTATTTACGCTTTAGCCAACCCCTTCAACACCCCACCACACATTAAGCCAGAGCGGTACTTTTTGTTTGCCTACGCAATCTTACAATCCACATGACATGGTTCTCTAAAAATTCTATAATTTGAATCAACATGGTTATCCACAGCCTACTTATCGGTCTCATCAGCCTACTATATTTTAACCAATTCAACGATAAATAAGGTTGTTGGATCAGGTGGTTAATAGCCCTTGGGTAGTAAGTATTATTACTAGCATATTTAGTGAACCTGAGGTATTTTAAGTATGAACAAATGCTACAGGTAGAGGAAGGGATCCTACTAGTGTGTAAAATAAGAAGTATGAGCTTGCATTAAGGCATTCTGGTTGGTTGCCTCAGCGGGTGATGATAATTACGGTAGGAACTAGCGTGGCTTCAAAGAGGATATAAAACATAGTTAGTTCTGTGGCTGTGAATGTTAGGATTTTAAAAGTCTGTAGGGGCCGGGCACGGTGGCTCACCCCTGTAATCCCAGCACTTCGGGAGGCCGAGGCGGGTGGATCAAGAGGTCAGGAGATCGAGACTATCCTGGCTAACATGGTGAAACCCCGCCTCTACTAAAAATACAGAAAATTAGCCGGGCGCCATGGCAGGTGCCTGTAGTCCCAGCTACTCGGGAGGCTGAGGCAGGAGAATGGCGTGAACCCGGGAAGTGGAGCTTGCAGTGAGCCGAGATCGCGCCACTGCACTCTGTCTGCCTGGGCGACAGAGCGAAACTCTGTCTCAAAAAAAAAAAAAAAAAAGGCTGTAGGGAGATCAATATAAAAATATAGAGCTTTTTTCATGGGAGTGATTCATTGGACAGGTGATATTGGCTTGCTAGACTTATAAGAGGCAGTAGTCAGGCTGTTAAGATTAGAAGGGGTGATGTCAGCTGGTCAGAAGAGAAAACTAATGAGAAGTTGGATGAGTTATCATTGAATTGGTTAAAAAATAGTAGGCTGATGAGGCTGATGAGTAGGCTGTGGATAACCATCTTGATTCAGATTATAGAATTTTTAGAGAACCATGCCATTGGTAACAGTATAATTGCTGGAATAATAATTTTTAGCATTGAAGTAAATTTAGATTTTGTACATAATCTAGACCATATGTACTGGAGATTGAAACTAGTAAGGCAAGGCCCACTGCAGCTTCACAGGCAGCAAATACTAGGAGAATAATGGGTATTATCGATGCTAGAGTGAAATGTATATTTAAAGTTATGAGTATTTATGATAAATACTGATAGTATTATGCCTTCTAGGCATAATAGGTATGATATTAGGTGGGATCGATAGATGAATACTCCTAGCAGTGGTATGGTATATGCTAATATAATATTGATATAAATCGCAGGGATTTGGTAAATATGGTCTACCATAATCTAATGAGTCAAAATCATTTATTTTGACTTAAACTATTTACAATTCAACACAGTCTAATCCTTTTTAGGCTCATTCATAAATCAAGCCTAGGATTAAAATGGTAACTAGTATAAGGGCTGTGCTGATCATTAGTGTCAGGTTGGTTGTTTGAAGGGCTCATGGCAGGGGTAGTAGTAGAGCGATCTCTGAGTCGAAGAGGAGGAATGTGATGGCTACTAGGAAGAATGTAATGGAAAAGGGGAGGCAGGCGGAGGCTAGGGGTCAAATCCGCATTCATAGGGGCTGGATTTTTCTATATAGATATTAAGCTGTGGAAGCCAAAATGCGATTATTATTAGTAATAGGGCCAGTAAGGTGTCGGTTACTAGGGCTAGTGTCAGGTTGATTACTCTCTTTTGGATATTATGGAAACTAATTGATTGGAAGTCAATGGTACTGTTTATACTAAAAGAGTAGGACCCTCATCAATAGATAGAGACATATAAGAATAGTCATACTACATCTACAAAGTGTCAATATCCGGCGGCAACTTCAAAGGCAAAGTGGTGATTGGATGTAGAGTGGAATTTTAATTGGTGGAGGAGGCAGATAGTGAGAAATGTTGATCCAATAATAACATGAAATCCATGAAAGCCTGTGGCTGTAAAGAATGTTGAGCTGTAGATTCCATCAGAGATAGTAAAGGGGGCCTGGAAATATTCTGAGGCTTGTAGAAGGGTAAATACCTAAGGTAATTGTGATTGATAGTGCTTGAAGTATCTGCTTTCGACTACCTTCTATCAGGCAGTGGAGTGCAAGTAATCGAAAATCCTGATGTAAGTAATACAGATGTATTCAGGAGGGGGACTTCTAAGGGGTTGAGGGGAGGAATACCTGTTGGGGGTCAGTGTCCCCTTAATTCTGGAATTGGGACTAGACTAGAGTGGTAGAATACCCAGAAGAAACCAGCAAAAAATACTTCTCAGATAATAATAGAATTATTCCATATCAGAGGCCTTTTTGGACGATTGATGTGTGGTGGCCTTGAAATGTAATTTCTCAGATAATGTCACATCATCACTGGTATATAGTTAGTGTGTGGGTTTGTAGGCCCAGGGTTAAAAGGGTGATAGAGTTAAAATGAAATCACATGGCCAGGCCAGATGTTATTAGGAGAGATGAGAGAGCTCCTGTTAGTGGTCAGGGGCTGGGTTTGACTATATGGTAGGCATGTGTATAGTGGGTCATTATGTGTTGTTGTACAGGTAAAGGTTTACTAGCAGTGTTAAGACGTAGGCTGAATGAGGGCTACGGCGAATTCGAGGATGGTTAGTAGGATTAGAATAATGACAGCGATTGAAGCTGTGGGAAGACTGATAGTTGACAGAACTAGTGTGGCTCCTCCGATTAAATGTATTAGCAGGTTTCCAGCTGTAATGTTGGCTGTTAATCGCACAGCTGGTGCCATTGGTTAAATGAATAGGCTAATAGTTTCAATGATCACTAGCATAGGGATAAGTGGTATAGGTGTGCCTTGTGGTAAAAAGTGAGCTAAGGAGGTTTTTGTCTTGAAGCAGAAGGCTGTAATGACTGTGCCTGCTCATAAGGGGATTGCTATACCTAGGTTTATTGATAATTGGGTAGTTGGTATAAATGAATGGGGTAGAAGCCCAAGGAGATTGGTTGAGGCAATGAAGAGAATTAGGGAGATCAGTATAAGGGATCAGGTTCATCCTTTAATATTATGGGTTATTATTATTTGTTTTAGTACAAGTTGAATTAGTCACTGTTGAATGGAAATCAATCAGTTACTGATTAGATGACTGGAGGTTGGAAATAGTACAGGGGAAAATAAAATGATTAATACTACTGCAGGTAGACCTAGAATTGTCGGGGTAGTAAGAGGTGAATAGATTTTCGTTCTTTTTAATTCTCGGGGGCTTTATGTTTTTGGGTTTTGATTGTTTTTGGTATAGGGGCTGTATAATAAATGAAATTTGATAATTTTAACTGAATAATGGAGCATAAAGTTACGATTATTGACAGGATGACAATGGATCATGTGGAAGTATCTAGTTTAGGCATTCACTGCAAATAGGTGCAGATCCCCTCCATCTTTAACTTAAAAGGTTAATGCTAGATAGCTTTACAGTGATATTATAGTGCAGACGTGGATCAGGTTTCAAAGCATTTTAAGGGGGTTAATTCTAGGACAATAAGTATAAAACTGTGGTTAGACCCACAAATTTCTGAGCACTGTCCATAGTAAAGGCCTGGACATGTAGCAGTTAAGGTAGTTTAATTTAAGCGTCCGGGGATTCCATCTGTTTTGAGGCCCAGTAAGGGGATAGTTCATGAATGCAGGATGTCTTCGGATGAGATTAATATATGGACAGGGATCTCTGTTGGGAGAATTGTTCAGTTATCAACTTCAAGGAGTCGAAGTTCTGGCTTTAAGTCTGCTGTTGGAATCATATAAGAATCAAAGCCTAACTCTTCATAGTCTGTATATTTAGAGCTTCAATATCACTGGTGGCCAACTGCTTTGACAGTAAGAGAAGGATTGTTAACCTTGTCTATTATGTGCACAATACGTAGGGATGGGAGGGCAATTAAAATTAAGATAATGGCAGGTAAAACAGTTCACACAGTTTCGATTTCTTGAGCATCTATGGTGCCAGTATGAGTTAATTTTGTTGTGAGTATTAGGGAAATGATGTCTAGGACCAGGGAACTAATTAGGAAAATAATTATAAGAGCATGGTCATGGAAAGTGAGTAGTTCTTCTATAATAGGGGATGTGGTGTCTTGAAGGCCTAATTGAACTGGATAAGCCATTAAGACATATAGGATTTAACCTATAAATTCGCTCTGACAAAGTTATGTAATAATTTTACTAACATCTTATCAAGAGAGTCATAGAAGTTATGGGATTGGCTTGAAACCAATTTCTGGAAGTTCAATTCCTTCCTTTCTTGTTTAGGCTTTCACGAAAGTTGGCTCTCCAAATGTGCAGTAGGGTGGTGGACATCTGTAAAGCCACTCTAAATTAGTAGATGGTTATTCAATTGTCAGTACTTTTCATTTTGAAGGAAAGGCTTCTCAGATTATAAATATTATTAGTATAACTGCTGTTAGTGAGATAAATGAGCCTATGGATGAGATAATATTTCACATGGTGTGCACATCAGGATAATCGGAGTAACATCGAGGCATACTGGATAGACCAAGGAAGTGCTGTGGAAAAAAGTTAAATTAACACCTATAAATAAAATGGTGAAGTGGATTTTAGCATAGGTCTGATTAAGTGTGTAGCTTGAAAATAGGGGGGAATCAGTGGACAAAGCCTCCTATGATGGCAAATACCGCGCCTATTGATAGGACATAGTGGAAATGGCCTACAACATAATATGTGTCGTGTAAGACAATATCTAGTGATGAATTAGCTAGTACGATGCCGGTTAAACCTCCCACTGTGAAATTTTTTGAAACATTGCATGTTTGCAAATGTCTTTGTTCTACCCTTACACTTAATTGACAATTTGGCTTGAAAATAATATTTCCAGCAGGGCATGGTGGCTCACACCTGTAATCCCAGGACTTTGGGAGGTTGAGGCAGGCGGATCATCTGAGGTCAGGAGTTCAAGACCAGCCTGACCAACATGGAGAAACCCCGTCCCTACTAAAAATACAAAATTATCTGGGCATGGTGGCACATGCCTGTAATACCAGCTACTCGGGAGGCTGAGGCAGGAGAATTGCTTGAACCCAGGAGGCAGAGGTTGTGGTGAGCTGAGGTGGCACCATTGCACTCCAGCCTGGGCAACAAGAGCGAAACTCCGTCTCAAAAAGAAAAGAAAAGGGAAGGGAAGGGAAGGGGAGGGGAGGGGAGGGGAGGGGAAGGGAGGGGAGGGGAGGGAGAAAAGAAAAAAGAAAAGAAAAGAAAAGAAAAGAAAAGAAAAGAAAATTTCCTCAGAAATTTGAAGACATTGCTCCATTGTCATACTGCATTCAGTGCTGCTGATGATCAATCCAATGCCATTCTGGTTTTTGATCCTTTACATATGAGCTCTTCTTTCCGCTCTGCAAGCTTTTAGGATCTTTTCTTGGTTAATATTTTTCTGAAATTTCATTATGTTCTGCCTCGTGCAAGGCTTTTTTTTTTTTTTTAATTCCCTAGGATGGACACCAGATGTTTTTCAGATGGGAAAATGTTATTGTACTATTCTTTGATAATTTAGTTCTTTCCCATACTAGACCTACCCTACCCTGAGAGGATGACTATAGACTATATGAACTATAGACTCTCACCCAGTCTTCCTTCTGGTTAGGTCTGGCCAATATCAGATCAGATCACAGGAAGAGAGAGAGGTCAGAATATTTCTCCTGTATACTCAAATTATTATCTCCGTATACTCAAATAATACTTGTCCTCTGGTAGATTTCACTTTGGAGTCATCGAGCGGGATCCACTTGCTTCATTGTAGGATTCCCGAATGTGCTTTCTTGTCTTGTTGTTGTTGCAGAGCCCCATCTCTCAGGCACGAGCTATACCTATCACTGGAAGGTCCTTCCTCCTTGGCTCTAGTTCTTATTGGACCCCATTTACACGGCCTCCTCCCCTTGCACTTTCAGCCCTGGGAGTGTAATAGCTTCTCACTGCTGCTGGTCCCTGGACACTATACCACCTTTGTTTGTCCCCTTAATCCTTGCTGCTCACACTCCCGTAAATAGTCCTTTCATAAAAATCTCTTTATCCCAACCATGTGCTAATGTGCTGAATTAGGCTTGCTGTTGGGACTCTGATACGATATTTCTCTCTCTCTTTTTAGAGATAGTGTCTTGCTCTGTCATCATAACTCACTGCAGCCTCAACTCCTGGGCTTGAGTGATCCTCCTGCCTCAGCCTCCTACGTAGCTGGGACTACAGATGTGAGCCACCACGCCTGGCTAACTTTAAATTTTTTTTTTTTTTTTAATATTGACACATCTTGCTATGTTGCCCAGGCTGGTCTCGAACTCCTGGGCTCAAGCAATTCTCCTGCCTCAGCCTCCCAAAGTGCTGGGATTACAGGCTGATCCTTTAACTTTGTCCTCTATTTTCCATCTATATGTCATCTCTTGAATTTACCTTCTGGGAAATTTCCTCGTCTTCATCTTCCACACTGTCTATGAATTTCTCATTTCAGCAATCATATTTTTCATTTCCAAGAGCTCCCATTATTCATTTTCTTTCTAATTTTGTATTGTGGTCAAATACACACAACATAAACTTGACTGTCTTAACTATTTTAAGTATATATTTCAGTGGCATGAAGTACATTAATACTATTGTGCAACCATCACCCATCTTCAGAACTCTGCCTCTTGCAAAATTGAAACTCTTTCTCCATTAAACAATAACTCCCCACTCCCCATTCCCCCAGCCCTTGGCAACCACCATTCTTTCTCTTTCTCTACCTCATATAAGTGGAATCATATAGAATTTGTCTACAGATAATTCTTTCTTATCATAGCATTCCATTGTTGTTTATGTTTCATAATTTATTTCTCTTCCTGCATTGTCTTTGTTTACTCTAAATTCCATTGTTTTAGTGTCTGATTTCATGATGGAGGCATTCCTCAGATGTCAAGTGACTTTCACGTAATAGTTTATTATTACCTCCGTATACTCAAATAATACTTGTCCTCTTGTAGATTTCACTTTGAAGTCATCAAGTGGGATCCACTTGCCTCATTGTAGGACTCCCGAATGTGCTTTCTTGTGCTGTTGATTTTTTTCCAGAAGAGAATTTGCCAGTCTCTTGCCTAGCATTCTTGGAGCCAAGTGCAGGAATTAGCCTGAGCACTTCAAGTTCAGAATGGACTTTCGTTTAATGGGAATATTTGTCCGGAAGAAATTCCTTGAAGTGAAATTGTGATACCCAAGGGTATGCATTTTAAAATTTAATGGATTCCAATGCAATTTTGGAAGCATCCAAAGAAAAAGGCTTGTTTTTTGTTTTGTTTCTTTTAGAGACAGGGTCTTGCTCCCAGACTGGAATGCAGTGGTGTGACCTTGGCTCACTGCAGCCTCAACCTCCTGGGCTCAAGCAATCCTCCCATCTCAGTTTCCCAAGTAGCTGGGACCACAGGCACATACAACCATGCCCAGATAAGTTTTGTGGGTTTTTTGTAGAGACGGGGGTCTTGTTTTGTTGCCCAGGCTGGTCTTGAACTCCTGGGCTCAGGCCATTCTCCCGCCTTGGCATCCCAAAGTGCTGGTATTACAGGTGTAAGCCACCAAGGCCAGCCCAAAGAAAAAAGTTTAGTATAGTTAAAAAGAACCAAGAAACACATTTTTTAAGCTTTCTATGTCAGCAGAATTTAATGAAGTGCTTTCCTTATGGAATTAATGTTCCAAGAGGTAAAACAGACTGAAAGCAATCCTGTTTTTCCATGGGTCCTACTTGGCTTGAGAATCAGTGCTAACATAGGCTATTTGAAAGACTAAACTTCTCTCATCTTTCTAGAAAACAAAATTAGATTACTTTAAAAACCATTTGATCGGTCTTACAGTAGAGACAAAAAATGGAAACCTATGAAGAGGTGCTTGGTCTTATCTATCTATAAGGACCAAAGGAAGTAGCAGCTAAAAAAAAAAAATTGCTAAAACCATATGATCTTTGGTAACTGATATTTAAGTTTATGACAACTGTTTGCAGAAAATCCCAGGGTGGTGATTGTCCTATAGGTTGCCTACCTCTTTCTGGGTTATAACTGGATTATAACCCTAACCATTCCCATAACCTATATGTCACAAAACATGAAGATTAGTGATTTCCAGAGTACCTAAATCCTATCCACGTCACAACCGACTTATAGGATCTAGCTCTACGCTAATCTAAGTAGGTTTTCCTTTTTTTTAAAAGTGCTGATTATCTTACCCCATAAGGTTACTCCAAATTTTGTCCTAAATTCCTCACTACGTAGCAGATAGTAAGACATGCTTTATAAACTCCTCTCCAGAGAGGCCAAGCCTCAGCCAGAAATAGACATTTCCCTTCCAAGATGATTGAAAGGAAGTCTTTAAGTTCTCAGTCTCTATGGTGACAGCTTGATGGAGATAGTTGAGGACTCGTACATGAAATATGCCTTGCCCTTTCAAATTCTGTAACAACTGCTCAACATGAGCTCACAGACACCACTCATTGCTGTGTGATAGCAATCACTTTACCACTGCTGAACTGGAGCTGCGATTTCTTAATAGCGGGGAAGCTGAATGTAGAAAAATACATCCAAACGACATTGTATCTAATTCATTCCTTTTCTCCTATTCTTTACTCTGAAGATATAGTTGAATTTTGCTTGAAGAAATGTAGTTAAATGCTGCATATTGGCAAATGTACAGCCCAAACATTGGTTTATAGTCCACAAAATTTGATCTTCTACTATTTGCAAGATACTGTGTTCTTTACAGATGTTCTACTATTGTCAATAAATATTTGTGAGTGAATGGTTTTAAGAGCACTAATGTTACCAAAGATTACTGCTATCTTTTCTCAATATCACTTAGCCAGGCCCAGAATACACAATGAATTCAAAGGGCAGAGTGCCATGTCACTCCTTCCTGTTACACACAGTGGGGTGTAGCTTTGCCCTCACTTATATAGTCCTTGGTCAGTTGACAAAACTAACTGAGCCACGGTACCAAGCAGAATGACTTAGGCAGCCAACATATGAAAAAACTTAACCACTTACCCCTCCCATGTAGTGAAAAGATACTTGACTCCTCCCATGTAGCGAAAACACAGGCCTGCCCAGACTTGGTATTTAGAAAACTAAAATAAGACTCTTTGTTTGACTCAGCTCCTAAGTAGTCATTACATATGGGGCACAAAGACCTCTTCTTGAAGATCTCTCTAGGAGAAAAGAGCTGCAGTGGACTAGTGGCTCCCTGACCTATGAATAAGGACAATCATCTATTATGTTACTGGTTTTTTGTGTTTTCTTTAAAGCACAGTCCTTTCAAAATCTCTACTAACTTGATTTTAAGTACGTACAGTTCTGAGGGAGAGTTGCAGCATAGATTACTTCTCAATATATGCATGGTCTAGTAATAGTGAGGATGAAAAGAGGAAACCAAAAGGGAAGTTAAATTCATGCACAATGTATAAGTTACTAATAAAATGGCAATCCCATACTCTCTTGTCCACAACCCAAGAGGGTCTACACTAACCAGAGTCTTGGTTTCCTTTCCTTTCCCTCCCTTCTGACATGATTTTCCTTCAAGGACTTCTGATTGGAAAATAACCTCAACCCAAACTTCCCCTTCTTATTCTGGCAATTAGAGTTACTATCCTGGTAGGACTTCAGGTTCTTAGAAATAGGATGATAATAATCATTTTATTGATAGTTAACATTTATTGAGCAATCACTATGTCTGAGGCACTGGGCTGCACACTTTACACACTATATACCACATTTGTACCTTATAGCAACTTCATACACAGTTACTATTATCCCCCTCTTTTTTTTTTGAGACAGAGTCTCACTCTGTTGCCAGGCTGGAGTGCAGTGGCACGATCTTGGCTCACTGCAACCTCCGCCTCCCGGGTTCAAGCAATTCTCCTGCCTCAGCCTCCTGAGTAACTGGGATTACAGGCGCATGCCACCACGCCCAGCTAATTTTTATATTTTTAGTAGAGATGGGGTTTCACTATGTTGGTCAGGCTGGTCTCAGACTCCTGACTTCGTGATCTGCCCACCTAGGCCTCCCAAAGTGCTGAAACTACAGGTGTGAGTGACCGCGTCCAGCCTATTATCCCCATTTTTATGGATAAGGAAAAGAAAGGATAGAATGGTAAGTGGATTGTCCAGGAGTGTATGGTAAATGCTAGAGGCAGGATGGAATCCCAGGGAGTCTGAGTCTAGAGGTCATACTCTCAACAACTGCACTAGGGTAGTTTTCTTTCCTTGCTCTTTGACTTCAGAGACGCAATCTAGTACGATGTTAAGTTTGGAGCCAGAGTGCCTGGATTCAAACTGCAGTTCCTCTTTTACAGCTGCATGATCTAGAGCAAGTTATCTAACTTCCCCTCATGGTTCTAAGTCATCCCACTGGGTGCCATGACTCTGATTAACTCCATCCAGGTTTGATCATTGCAATTAATTTCTAAATATTTCTGGAAATACTATGTATTATGTTAATATGTATTTGTTTTTATAGTACTTAATGTTTCTGAGCATTCTCTATTCTCACAGCAATTTTTCAGTCTTCAATCCCTGAGATCATGGTTTCTCTTCCTTTTCAACCTTTCCTTCATGCTAAGGTAAGTGCTTTGTAAATGTTGAGTGACTGATGGCATGAAACAGTCATTGCAAGAAAGGTCTGTTAGAGGCAAAGTAATGTGACACTGGGCCTTGCCTTACTTTAAGTCCAGGTAACAAATAACTATGCATTCTGCAGCTTTGCAGATCAGGGTAATCTTCAGAATAAGTCAAGCCTTTGCTTCTGACAGAGCATCCTTTCAATGGCAGCCAGAAAACTGATCTCTTGATTCTCCATCCCTGGGTGTGTAGGCATGTAGACAGAAGAAAGCAAGGGATAGGCTGCCATGACATGTCTATGAGACTTTGCCAAGACACTGCAAAGCCAGTAACCCCCACAATGAGGAGAGGAGTTAGGCTGCAATTAACTCCTTGTCATCTGCTATAGCAAAGTCAGCAACATGGCAGCTTTCCCCTTCCTTTACCGAGAGAACACATTCTTCCTTCCAGATATCTCCTTGGATCTCTGATCCTGAGGACATCCTATGACCCCCCTCCTAATTCCAAAAGAAGCAAAAGGCCGGGCGTGGTGACTCATGCCTGTAATCCCAACACTTTGGGAGGCTGAGGTGGGCAGATCACAAGGTCAGGAGTTTGAGACCAGCCTGGCCAATATGGTGAAACCCCGTCTCTACTAAAAATACAAAAATTAGCTGGGCATGGTGGTGGGTGCCTGTAATCCCAGCCACTTGGGAGGCTGAGGCAGGAGAATTACTTGAACCCAGGAGGCAGAGGTTGCAGTGAGCCAAGATTGTGCCACTGCATTCCAGCCTGGGCAACAGAGCAAGACTCCATCTTAAAAAAAAAAAGAAGCAAAAGAAAATCAGATCCCTTCTCTCACCACTCCTATTCAACATAGTGTTGGAAGTTCTGGCCAGGGCAATTAGGCAGGAGAAAGAAATAAAGGGTATTCAGTTAGGAAAAGAGGAAGTCAAATTGTCCCTGTTTACAGATGACATGATTGTATATCTAGAAAACCCCATTGTCTCAGCCCAAAATCTCCTTAAGCTGATAAGCAACTTCAGCAAAGTCTCAGGATACAAAATAAATGTACAAAAATCACAAGCATTCTTACACACCAATAACAGACAAACAGAGAGCCAAATCATGAGTGAACTCCCATTCACAATTGCTTCAAAGAGAATAAAATACCTAGGAATCCAACTTACAAGGGACATGAAGGACCTCTTCAAGGAGAACTACAAACCACTGCTCAAGGAAATAAAAGAGGATACAAACAAATGGAAGAACATTCCATGCTCCTGGGTAGGAAGAATCAATATCATGAAAATGGCCATACTGCCCAAGGTAATTTATAGATTCAATGCCATCCCCATCAAGCTACCAATGACTTTCTTCACAGAATTGGAAAAAACTACTTTAAAGTTCATATGGAACCAAAAAGGAGCCCGCATCGCCAAGTCAATCCTAAGCCAAAAGAACAAAGCTGGAGGCATCACGCTACCTGACTTCAAACTATACTACAAGGCTACAGTAACTAAAACAGCATGGTACTGGTACCAAAACAGAGATATAGATCAATGGAACAGAACAGAGCCCTCAGAAATAACGCCGCGTATCTACAACTATCTGATCTTTGATCTGATCTGAGAAAAACAAGCAATGGGGAAAGGATTCCCTATTTAATAAATGGTGCTGGGAAAACTGGCTAGCCATATGTAGAAAGCTGAAACTGGATCCCTTCCTTACACCTTATACAAAAATTAATTCAAGATGGATTAAAGACTTAAACGTTAGACCTAAAACCATAAAAACCCTAGAAGAAAACCTAGGCATTACCATTCAGGACATAGGCATGGGCAAGGACTTCATGTCTAAAACACCAAAAGCAATGGCAACAAAAGCCAAAATTGACAAATGGGATCTAATTAAACTAAAGAGCTTCTGCACAGCAAAAGAACCTACCATCAGAGTGAACAGGCAACCTACAAAATGGGAGAAAATTTTCGCAACCTACTCATCTGACAAAGGGCTAATATCCAGAATCTACAATGAACTCAAACAAATTTACAAGAAAAAAACAAACAACCCCATCAAAAAGTGGGCGAAGGACATGAACAGACACTTCTCAAAAGAAGACATTTATGCAGCCAAAAAACACATGAAAAAATGCTCACCATCACTGGCCATCAGAGAAATGCAAATCAAAACCACAATGAGATACCATCTCACACCAGTTAGAATGGCCATCATTAAAAAGTCAGGAAACAACAGGTGCTAGAGAGGATGTGGAGAAATAGGAACACTTTTACACTGTTGGTGGGACTGTAAACTAGTTCAACCCTTGTGGAAGTCAGTGTGGCGATTCCTCGGGGATCTAGAACTAGAAATACCATTTGACCCAGCCATCCCATTACTGGGTATATACCCAAAGGACTATAAATCATGCTGCTATAAAGACACATGCACACGTATGTTTATTGCGGCACTATTCACAATAGCAAAGACTTGGAACCAACCCAAATGTTGAACAATGATAGACTGGATTAAGAAAATGTGGCACATATACACCATGGAATACAATGCAGCCATAAAAAATGATGAGTTCATGTCCTTTGTAGGGACATGGATGAAATTGGAAATCATCATTCTCAGTAAACTATCGCAAGAACAAAAAGCCAAACACCGCATAGTCTCACTCATAGGTGGGAATTGAACAATGAGAACACATGGACACAGGAAGGGGAACATCACATTCTGGGGACTGTTGTGGGGTGCGGGGAGGGGGGAGGGATAGCATTAGGAGATATACCTAATGCTAAATGACGAGTTAATGGGTGCAGCACACCAGCATGGCACATGTATACATATGTAACTAACCTGCACATTGTGCACATGTACCCTAAAACTTAAAGTATAATAATAATAAAATAAAATAAAATTAAAATTAAAAAAAAAAAATCAGATCCATAGTTGGTATCCAACTCTGTATGAGTGAGACATAGAGGGGAGGAGGTCTAGAGATTTGCGAAGTAACACTTGAAAGGGATCCAGCAGAAAATCTGAGTCATAGATCACCTTTAATCATTGTGCCAATTACTTCTTTGGTAGAATGACAAATGGAAAACAATCATTGAAACCATTGAAATAAGAACTAAATCATTCCAATTATAGCAAACAGAGCAGAGAAGGCCTGTTAACATTCACAGGAAAAGGTAGGGGTGATCAAATTCCATGAGGCTTAGGTATGGCTTTTACTTGGAAGGTAGAAAAAAATTAAATCCTTCATAATTCAGAAGGTAGAATCATAGGATTTTAGAGCCGAAAACATTTTTGAACTCATGTAATCCAAGTCTCATATTTTACAAATTAGGCAACTGAGGCCCAGGGAGGGAAAGTCACTTTCTAGAGACCACAGGAATGATAACAGAGCCAGGTCAGAGCTCTGGTCTCCTGCCTTTCTAATACATCCACTGACGAGAAAAGATGCCTATATCTGGGAAAGGCTCTCACGTTCAACTAAGGCCCAGGAAACATGAGTAAACCTGATAACTTGGTAGAAAGAGGAAGTTATCATACCTCCATTCCCTGTATACTGGGTCACAACACAACTGTCCCTGTTTTTCTCAAATTTTTCAGGTTCTCTGATTTGCATGTTGATCTCATGTTCAAGTGGGACAAAAAAAGCATGCGAAAAGAGAGAGAAAGAAAAAATGTAGCATAACGTAAAGCAGAAGCAACCTTCTTCACGGCTTAGCGGTGTTTAGTAGCAAACTAGGAATCAAGAGGACCTGGATTCTCCTGGCTCTAGCTCTGCCGCTTTGACAAGTCATTTAACATCTTTGTGCCTCAGTTTTCCTATCTGCAAAATGAAACCACTGTATAGTAAATGATTTCTAAGGTCTCTTTCATCACTAATATTTTAGAATAATATTAGAGCAATATTCAATCCTCATGATACTAATATAATTTTACCATATCCTAGATTAGAAAGATATATATAAAATAAGGGTGACGAGCAAATAGTTGATTGTGAATTCAATCGAACAAATATTTATTGTTCTTTGTTTGTTTTGAGATGGAGTCTCACTCTGTCGCCCAGGCTGCGGTGCAGTGGCATGATCTCGGCTCACTGCAACCTCTGCCTCCCGGGTTCAGGCGATTCTCCTGTTTCAGCCTCTTGAGTAGCTGGGACTACAGGCGTGTGCCACCGTCATTGCCTCAAATTTGATCCTGGGTCAAAGCAAAATGCCAGGAATCTGGAGTGCATCCTCATTGCTTTGCTATGAACATGGACATATCCGCGTGAGCATTTCTGTTAATTTGGGAAACCAAGGGCAAGAAGTGGCGTATGAAGTATGTGCTATATAATATGCAAAAAAAGAAAATGAAAGGATGAAATACTAGTATATAATTAAGAGACTCAATTGCAAAAACTCTTAACCTGAACACAAATTCTGAAAGTTAACTTTGTTCTAATATATTTCACCATTACTCTTCACCTTCATGTTACTAACAAACTTCCTGAAAGTTTTCTTCATCCTCTAATTCCACTCAACAAAATAACCTTTATTTTCTGGCTTTTCTAACTTACTTTTCAAACAACCAAGTTTCTCAAAGATTGCCTAACAAACAGCCCACTGACCTGTTCCTTCTGCCTCTCTTTGAAACCTGTATCACTGTTGCGCATCCATTCTTCCTTGAAATTTTGTCTTTTATCTCTTGTGGAGCATTTCCAGCACTATCCTAGTTCTCCTCCTGCCTTTTGCCTTTCTCTCATTTCTACTGTGTATTTTTTTTTTTTTTTTTTTTTTTTTGACACGGAGTCTCACTCTCTGTCGCCCAGGCTGGAGTGCAGTGGCGCGATCTCGGCTCACTGCAAGCTCTGCCTCCTGGGTTCACGCCATTCTCCTGCCTCAGCCTCCGGAGTAGCTGGGACTACAGGCGCCCGCCACCACACCCAGCTAATTTTTTTTGTATTTTTAGTAGAGACGGGGTTTCACCATGTTAGCCAGGATGGTCGTGATCTCCTGACCTCGCGATCCGCCCTCCTCGCCCTCCCAAAGTGCTGGTATTAGAGGCGTGTGCCACTGCGCTCGGCCCTACTGTGTATACTTTTTTGTTTATTTGAGACACAGTCTTGCTCGGTCCCCTAGGCTGGAGTGCAGTGGTGTGATCTCGGCTTACTGCAACCCCTGCCTCCTGGGTTCAAGTGATTCTCCTGCCTCAGTCTCCAGAGTAGCTGGTATTACAGGCTCGTGCCACCACGCCTGGATAATTTTTGTATATTTACTAGAGACGAGGTTTCACCATGTTGGCGAGGCTGGTCTATAACTCCTGACCTCAGGTGATCCACCCGCCTTGGCCTCGAAAAGTGCTGGGATTACAGGCGTGAGCCACCGTGGCCCCATTTCTACTGTGTATTCTTTGTTGGCTTTCTGTCCGTAAATATGGATCTTGTCCTTGAGCTTTTTTTTCAACCCTCACTATACATAGCAACCCCTCCTGGGAATCTCACGATATTCCCAGAGCTTAGACTCTCATTTCTGCAGAGGATTCTCAGTTCTAGAGACATTCTCAAGACTTATCAGAGGTGTAAACAAGGTACTTAATGCCAGCTACCCCTTCTATTGTAAGACTAAAATTTCAACTTCTGCTATTGTTGTATACTACCTACTTATGCAGGTATAGTGAGGCTAAATCTGTCACCACTCCATGTAACAACCAGGGGAGTGGCTGCATTTCACTTCACCAACAACAGTTTCAATGGCCATGCAGGTATATTATACAAAGTGAAAGCTTAGCTTGTAGAATCATGTACACAGCTAACCTCTAATTATTTTGTGTCTTGACGTAGATGTTGTCCTTTTATTCAAACGCTGCCTGTTTTGTGCATAAATCACCCAAGCTACAGAAGTAGAGGAAGGGCTGGACTAGAGGAATATAACTGGAGTGGTAGGCCCAGCCTCTAAAGAAATAACAGACTTTAGGAGAAAAACGCCTGCAGTCAATTCTCTCATGAATGAGACGTAAATAGGCACCCTGTGCTTCCAAAGCTAGAAATCACAGAGATCAGGACACTGAACACAGTCACCCTCCTTTCCTTTTGAGAACCCACTCTATTGTAAAATTTTCTCCCCAGGTTGGAGAATAGAGCTCAGAGCCTGTCTGATCATAAGTCTTAAACCAAGATGAATCATTCAATCATAATGTCATTGGCTTCAGCAATGTCCTATGATTAAGCAAAAGCCTTTCCAAAGAGCTTCCAAAAAGGAATAAAAGTACACCGAGCACTCCATTGCACGTTAATGAACAGGACATTACTATATAGGGGCAAATATAAACAGTTATGAACATTAAGTAAGCTTTCATATCCCACTGACACTCTCATTTGCAGCTAGAAAGCAGAAATAGCTAAAGGAAAACTACATGACTAGAAAACTGTTCTGTAAAACATGGTTTAGGCATGGCGTGGAGTTTTCCCTCTTCTTTCTTTTTTTGGGGTGTGTGTCTGTGCGTGTGTGTGCTGGGGGCAGGGGTTCTTCTAAAATATTACAAAGACTGGCCAGGCATGGTGGTTCACGCCTGTGATCCTAGCACTTTGGGAGGCTGAAGCGGGAGCATTGCTCGAGCCCAGGAAGTCAAGACCAGCCTGGGCAAGGTGGTGAAACCTCATCTGTACAAAAAATGAGACATAAATAGACACTCTCTGCCTCCAAAGCTAGAAATCACAGAGATCTTTGCAGATGATATGCTTCTTCATGTGGAAGACTCAATTCAGTGAAAAATGAAGGTGGCCAGTGACAAAACAATAACTAGGAAAAAAGGCAAGTACCTTCAGAGCTGCCCTGTCCACTCCTCCCACCCCACCTTTCTGGACACAGTCACCCTCCTTTCTTTTTGGGAACCAACCCCATTTTAAAATTTTCTCCTCAAGTTTGAGAATAGCCCTATCAGGCTCTGAGCTCATACCTATAGGTGTGGTGACATGTGGCTATAGTCCCAGCTACTTGGAAGTCTGAGGTGGGAGGATCACCTGAGCCTAGAAGGTAGAGGCTGCAGTGAGCCCTGATCTTACTACTGCACTCCAGCTGGGGTGGCAAAGTGAGATCCTGTCTCAAAAAATAATAATAATTGTTATTATATCTATATATCTATATATACTTCAAAGACTTAGTATGGGAAAATTTAAATGCACAGTTAAGCAATATATAGAAATAAAACAAAGAAAACTCATCCATATCATCCCCAAAATATAATGAACTTTTCCAGCCATTTTTCTGTGCATTTGTCTATGTATTTCACACACAGAAAGAGCGAGGATCATACTATTCATATTATTTTGTAGCCTGTTCTTTTCACTGACAATATATGCCATGAAATTATTTCTATGTCATATATAACCCTAAGGCCTTGTTTGTTGGTTTGTTTTTTGAGACAGGGTCTCACTCTGTCATCCAGGCTGGAGTACAGTGGCACGATCTCAGCTCACTGCAACCTCTGCCTCCTGGGCTCAAGTGATTCTCCTGCCTCAGCCTCCTGAGTAGCTGGGATTATAGGCATGCACCACCACACCCAGTTAATCTTTTAATCTTTAGTAGTGAAGGGGTTTTGCCATGTTGGCCAGGCTGGTCTCGATCTCTTGGCCTCAAGTGATCCACCTGCCTCAGCCTCCCAAAGTGCTGGGATTATAGGCATTAGCCACCACGCCTGACCCTAAGGCCATTTTTAATGGTGGTATTAAATATTCATATATGAGCTAAAAAGTATGATTGAACTATTGTACGGACTGCATCCTAATTTATTTATTCTCAATTCTTAGACGAGGTTTGCATAATTGGCTGAATTGTGTTCCCCCAAAATTAATATGTTGATATCCTAACCCCCAGTACCTCAGAATGTGACTGCATTTGGAGATAGAATTTTAAAGAAATAATTAAGTTAAAATGAGGTAGGTCATCAATGGGCCTTAATCCAATATGACTGGCACCCTTATAAAAAGGGGAAACTTGAACATAGACACTTACAAGAACCATGTGAAGATCCTGCTGACAGCTTGATCTCAGACCTTTAGCCTCCAGAATTGTGAGAAATACATTTCTGTTTATACCACTCAGTCTGCCGTGCTTTGTTATGACAGCCCTAGAAAACAAATATAGGTTGTTTACAGTTTTTTTCCGATTAAGAACATCTTTGTATTTCACTCTCTGGGCACCTATCTAACTATTTCCTTTGAATACATTTCAAAACAAGGATTGTTAGGTCAAAGAGTATATTTTTTATGCTCCTGATATGTATTGTCTGTCAAATTGTCCCGGCTAAGGGTGCGGTTTCCAGACTACTTCCAAGGCCACTAGTCTTCCTGGTGCCAGAGGTTTTCATAGGTTTTTCCTCTTTTTTCTAATTATGTGTTTTCAAGTTTTCCATTAGAAATACATATTACTTCTATAATAAAAAAAATTTTTATTTTTTTAAAAGGGAAAAAAGAGTCTTATTCAATATAAAATATCTCCATATTTGACTGAATTAAAATGAAACTGTTATAGAGTTTCAGTTCTGTTTTGTTTTGTTTATGTGTCCCCCAAGCTGGAGTGCAGTGGCCCTATCTCGGCTCACTGCAACCTCTGCCCCCCGGGTTCAAGCGATTCTTCTGACGCAGCCTCCTGAATAGCTGGGACTACAGGCGCCTGGCACCACGCTCAGCTAATTTTTGTATTTTTAGTAGAGATAGTGTTTCACCATGTTGGCCAGGCTGGTCTCAAACTCCTGACCTCAGATGATCTGCCTGCCTCAGCCTCCCAAGGTGCTGGGATTACAGGTGTGAGCCACCATACCCGGCTGAGTTTCAGTTTTATAAGATGAAAGAGTTAGGGAGGTGGATGGTGGTGATGGTTGCACAAAATTTTGAATATATACATACCACTCCACTGTAGACTTAAAATAGTTAAGATGGTAAATTTTATGTGTATTTTAACACAATAATTAAAAATTGAAAATGTCACATGAAACAGTGGTCTGAAGAGACAAAACTGAAAGCTTATTAAGAGAATGAGAAGATAAGTCACAGACTAGGAGGAAATAGTTGCAAAAGATGTATCTGATAAAACAGTGTTATATGGCCGGGTGTGGTGGTTCAGGCCTGTAATCCCAACACTTTGGGAGGCCAAGATGGATGGATTACTTGAGTCCAGGAGTTCAAGACTAGCTTGGGCAATATAGCAAACCCTATCTCTCCAAAAAAAAAAAAAAAAAAAAAAAGTAGCAGGGTATGGTGGCTCAGGATGGCTGGAGCCTGGGAGGTTGAAGCCGCAGTGAACTGTGATCACATCACTGCACTCCAGCCTTGGTGACAGAGTGAGCCTCTGTCTCAAGGGAAAAAAAATGTTGTTTTTAAAAAATATATACAAAGAACTATTTTTAAAATGTATTTGTTTGTTAGAGATGGGGTCTTGCTATGTTGCCTAAGCTGAATTAGAACTCGTGGGCTCAAGGGATCCTCCTGCCTCAGATTCTGAAGTAGCTGGGACAACAGGCACAAACTGTCATGCCCAGCTCAAAATACACAAAGAATTCTTAAAACTCTGGGAGCTAAGCTATGAAGATGCAAATACATAAGAATGATACAATGGACTTTGGGGACTCGGGGGAAAGGGTGGGGGGTGAGGAATAAAAGACTACACATTGGGTACAGTGTACACTGCTCATACACTGCTCATGATTTGGTGATGGGTGCACCAAAATCTCAGAAATTACCACTAAAGAACTTATTCATGTAACTAGATACCACCCGTCTCCCCAAAACTGATTGAAATAAAAAGAAAAGTAGCTATAATTGGTGTCATTTAAAAATAAAGTTTAATAATAATTTCTGGTCACTAAAAAAATAAAAAGAATTCTTAAAACTCAACAATAAGAAAATAACCCAATTTAAAAATGGGCAAAAGAGGCTGGGCACGGTGGCTCACACCTGTAATCCCAGCACTTTTGGAGGCCAAGGCTGGCGTATCACGAGATCAGGAGATCGAGACCATCCTGGCTAACATGGTGAAACTCCGTCTCTACTAAAAAAATACAAAAAAAAAAAAAAATTAGCTGGGCATGGTGGTGGGCGCCTGTAGTCCCAGCTACACAGGAGGCTGAGGCAGGAGAATGGCCTGAACCCGGGAGGCAGAGCTTGCAGTGAGCAGACATCGCGCCACTGCACTCCAGCCTGGGCAACAGAGTGAGACTCTGTCTGAAAAAAAAAGGGCAAAAGACCTGAACAGATTCACATCACCAAGAAGATACACAGAAGGCAAATAAGCAATGAAAAATCCTCAACATTGTAAGTCATTAGGGAATCGCAAATTAAAACAACAATATCAGTACCAACCTACTAGAAAGGCTAAAATCCAAAAGAGTGACAATACCAAATGGTGACAAGGAGGTACAGCAGTAAGAACTCTTACTCATTGCTGATGAGATATCAAAATGGTATAGAAGACACTTTGGCAGTTTCTTACAAACTAAACACACTCATACATATGATCTAGTGATTGCATTCCTTGCTATTTACCCTAAGGAGTCAAAAACTTAAGCCTACATGCCAGGCATGGTGGTGCACGTCTGTAGTCCTAGCTACTGGAGGGGTTGAGGTCAGACGATAACTTGAGCCCAGGGGTTCAGGTCCAGCCTGGGCAACATAATGAGATGCCGTCTCTAAAAATTTTTTAATAAAAAAAAATTACACAAAAATCTGCACACGCATGTTTATAACAACTTTATTCATAATTGCCAAATCTTGGAAGCAAATAAGAAGTCAACTAAGGATAAATAAACTGCAGTACATCCATTGGATGGAATTTTATTTAGCGCTAAAATGAAAGGAGCTATCAAGCCATCAAAAGACATGGAGGAAACTTAAATGCATATTGGTAATTAAAAGAAGCCAATCTGAAAGGGCTGTATGATTCTAACTATATGATATTTTGAAAAGGCAAAACTATGGAGGCAGTAAAAAAGATTAGTGGTTACCAGGGATTAGGGGAGGGAGGGATGAACAGGAGAAGCACAAAGGATTTTTAGGGGAGTGAAATTATTGTGTAGGATACTATAATTGTGGACACATTATACATTGTGAAACCCAGAGACTGTACAACACCAAAAGTGAACCCTAATATAAACCATGGACTTTGGATGATAATGTTGATGTATGCATGTAGATTCATTGATTGTAATGTAAGTACCACTCTAGTGCATGATGTTGATAGTGAGGGAGGCTGGTCGTGGGGAAGAGGTCATAAGAGAATGTGCTATATTTTCCACTCAATTTTTCTGTGAATTTGAACTGCTCTATAAAATAAAGTGTATTAAAAAAACACAGGCCAGGAGCCATGGCTCAGGCCTGTAATCCCAGCACTTTGGGAGGCCGAGACGGGTGGATCACTTGAGGTCAGTAGTTCAAGACCATCCTGGCCAACATGGTGAAACCCCATCTCTACTAAAAATACAAAAATTAGCTGGGCGTGGTGGTGGGCGCCTGTAATCCCAGCTACTCAGGAGGCTGAGGCAGAAGAATCACTTGAACCTGGGAGGTGGAGATTGCAGTGAGCCAAGATCGCACTACTGCACTGCAGCCTGGGCGACAGAGTGAGACTCCGTCTAAAAAAAAACCCCAAAAAATTAAAAAATAAATTTAAAAAAAACTAAAGTCTCAGAGAGAGATGCATGTTGGATCAAGTCATTATTAGGAAAGTAATCTGATCTTAATCAGATCATTCTTATGTATTTGTATCATTCTTTTGTATACGACTTGATCTATTGGATCAAGTCATTATTAGGAACCTGTCCCAGCAAACTTTCCAGTTCAGTAAAAGCCACCATCATTCTCCCACTTACTGAAGCCAGAAACCCAGGTGTTGTTCTCGACAACTTCTTTGACCTCACTTCCCACTTTCAAATACTCATACTCAAACATATTTTAATTTTCTTTCCATCACTGTTGCCACCTTTTGAGACCAACCCACCATTGTCATTCTCCAAAACTAAAAATAGTCCAACAGGTCAACTAGCTTCTATTTTTTGGCAGATTTCAATCAATTCTCTACACAGTGGCCAGACTAATCTTTTGGAAACAAATTTATGTCACTTTACTACTTAAAACTTGAATGGATTTTTTTCCTGCGCCTTTGAATAAAAGTAAAAGTCTGTAAGGCTGTTCAGGCATCTGCCTATCTTCTAACCTCAACTCACATCTCTCTCCCTCTTGCTCATCAGGCACCAAGGACATGAACCATCCTTTACCACCCAGCCTAGCAGAGTCTCCTGTAATTCTTCCTGTTACTCTCTGCTTTGGGATCTAGTTTGTTTCCTTCTATAGCTCTTTGAACGTTATAAATTCTTGTTTACTTATTCTCTGTTGATCGCTCCCACTAAACAGGAGCTCCATGAGAGCAAGACTTCATCTGTTGGGTGCCAGGCAGTGTTCTGCCTAACATGGCAATACCAGCACCTAACATTGCCTGGCACATAGTAGGCAGTGGTGTGCCAAAGGTGAAGCAATGGGAGTAAAAAGCTTTAACCTCCGGGGTTAAAGCGATTCTCCTGCCTCAGCCTCCCAAGTAGGTGGGGTTACAGGTGCCCACCACAATGTCCTGCTATCATTTCATTATTCTTTTTTTTTTTTTTTTCCGGGAGACGGAGTCTTGCTCTGCCGCCCAGGCTGGAGTGCAATTGGCGTGATCTCAGCTGACTGCAACCTCCGCCTCCCAGGTTCAAGCAATTCTCCTGCCTCAGCCTTCCAAGTAGCTGGGACTACAGGCGCATGGCGCCGAACCCGTCTAATTTTTTGTATTTTAGTAGAGACGGGGTTCACCGTGTTGCCCAGGCTGGTCTCGAATTTCTGAGCTCAGGCAATCCGCCCGCCTCCGCCTCCCAAAGTGTTGGGATTACAGGCGTGAGCCACCGCGCCCGGCCAAAAATAAATTGTATAAAGGAGCAGACTAATGTATACATTAGTCAATTTTATTATTATCACTATTTTGAGATGGGGTCTCGCTCTGTCGCCCAGGCTGGAGTGCAGTGGGACGATCTCTGCTCACTGCAAACTCCCCCTCCCGGGTTCAAGCGATTCTGCTGCCTCAGCCTCCCAAGTAGCTGGGATTACAGGGATGTGCCACTATGTCATGCTAATTTTTGTATTTTTAGTAGAGACGGTTTCACCGTGTTGGCCAGGCTGGTCTGGAAGTCCTGACCTCAGGTGATCCGCCCACCTCGGCCTCCCAAAGTGTTGGGATTACAAGCTTGAGCCACCGCGCCCAGCCTACCTTTTCCTTTTTTAAACTGAGCAGTTAATTTCCTTCCTATTTACCCACTATCTGTTTGGAGAGGAGTTCATTTACTTAGTCTAGAGGAGAGAGAAATGAAACCCTTTAATTTTGCTTTTGGGTGGAGACTTATTAAGGAAGGTGCAGGAAAGAGCAGTGTAGAATTACAGGACTTACAAGAACATATCGTTACTTCCTATAAAATTGGCAGCTCTTATATTGCTTTAATTTGCACAGTTTTCTTCTCACCCTCCCAAATTATGCAACTGCATGTTGATTTGCATGATAAATGTGTAACTGAAAAGACTATTTGTACCAGAGGAGAGTCTATTTAATGAAAAGTATTGGTGAATCCTTTTAATTAAAGAATCAGTTTTTGTTCTATAAAATCATGTTTTCAGGTAGCAGATTTGCTTAAAGAGAGGCATATCTGTATGCTGAATAATGGATTTTACGCTTTTTGAATTCTAGCCTGAATTTCACTCACATTTTGGTCCAGAAAAGGCAGTTTAACAGGATCAGTAGCATCAATAACCTTACCCAATATAAAATTGTAAGTTATCCATTGTATACTAAAGTTGAAAACACTAAAAGTCAAATTTGGGCCCCCATAATTTAGGTGAAGATAAATCAGATAAAGTTTAGCAATAAATGAGGAGAGCATTTCCAAATAAGATATCTAAGAAAGAGGCTAAAGGGATCGGGAGAAGGAGAAGGGGATTTTGTAGTTTAGAGAAGAACAAACTATAGGGAAGATTTTCATTAATTTTTTTTTTTTTTTTTCCTGAGACAGAGTCTCACTCTGTTGCCCTGGCTGGAGTGCAGTGGTGCAATCTTGGCTCACTGCAAGCTCTGCCTCCCAGATTCAAGCTATTCTCATGCCTCAGCCTCCCGAGTAGCTGGGATTACAGGCTTGCGTCACCACGCCTGGCTAATTTTTATATTTTTAGTAGAGACGGGGTTTCACCATGTTGGCCAGGCTGTCTCGAACTCCCGGCCTCAAGTGATCTACCCGCCTTGGCCTCCCAAAGTGCTGGGGTTACAGACTGAGCCACTGCACCCAGCCTCATTAACTTTGAAATAGATAAAAGGATATCATCTACTGCTTTCTTTGACAGGAGAGACTATAAGAATAAATAGCCCAGGGTTACTATTAGAAAAATTTTGGGTGAGAAACAGTACAAATAAATCTTTGTACAAATAAGACTGTGAAGGTGAAGGACACTGGGGTGAGTTTCTGAAGTTACTAGCACACAGCTCCGTACTTCTTGGCCTCAGTTAGCAGGGAGGCAGGGGCTTGATTTAGAGCGAATATTCCTGAATGCCTCTTCCCTTTGGTCCTAACATGCTAAAAGACTGACTTGAAACTCTTTTTGTTTAACCTTTCTTTACTCAAGCATGGCTTTCCTTTTCTACTTTTATTTCTCCTATCAAGTTAAAAGAAAAATGCATTAAAAAGAGAAGCCTCAGCCGGGAGCAGCGGCTCACGCCTGTAATCCCAGCACTTTGGGAGGCCAAGGTGGGCGGATCACAAGGTCAGGAGTTCAAGACCAGCCCGACCAACATGGTGAAACCCCGTCTCTACTAAAAATGCGAAAAGAAAATCAGCCGGGCGTGGTGGCGGCTGCCTGTAATCTCAGCTACTCGGGAGGCTGAGGCGGGAGAATTGCTTGAACGCTGGAGGCGGAGGCTGCAGTGAGCTGAGATAACGCCACTGCCCTCCACCCTGGGCGACAGTGTGAGAATCCATCTCAAAAAAAAAAAAAAAGAGAGAAGCTTCTATGCAGACAACCAAGCTGAGTGTATGATGATTCTGAGTACCCCATTTGCTTGGTGATGCTTATATAATGAAAGTTTATTTGGGGTTTAAGGTAAGCCAGTTTTGTTTAGTTTTGGGTAGTCATTTATCCCATGAATAAGTATTGGAACCTTATTTAGATACAGGTTTCAGTGAGAGATGTGGGCATGGAGAATGGAGAAATAAGGTAACCATGGACTTCCTATGGAAGAAGACAAAAGTGTGCACCACTGGAGAGGGCAGAAAAGCTGCCCTACGTCAGAGTCTTAGACAGGGATGGCTCACCTCTCAAGTTCCCCTCCTCTCAATTCCACAATGCCAAGCTTTTCCTCTAGGCTCTTATATTCACATTATGTCTGCGACGAAAGTTCTTACAGCAGGTACAAACCAAAGATTACAAAGATTAGGAAGGTAATATAAATGGGTAAATCTAGTTGGATTAAGACAACTGGAAGTTGCTGGGTTTGGGGAAGGTCCAGGTCCCACCTAAAAGGCATTCAGATAAAAACAAATGTTAAATACTCTGCAGGCCAAACAAAACACAGCTGGCTGGCTAAATTTAGCCCTATGCTCATCATGCTTTCCTCCTTTCTTAGAGAATAGAGCTTAAAGTATTCCTCTTGTATGCAGATATGTATATGATACAGAAAATCAGAAGTAATTGAGAGGGAGGACTAGATAGAGCATGGTTTACTGAAATTCTACATACCTTAGGAGAGACTATTTCCATAATTTTATTCAAACTGTGAATTGAAGAATCTTGGTTCTGGTTCCTTGTTTTATTTTCACTTTTTTTTTTTTTTCTGAGAGAGTCTCACTCTTGTCACCCAGGTTAGAGTGCAGTGGTGAGATCTCAGCTCACTGCAACCTCTGTCTCCCGGGTTCAAGAGATTTTCCTGCCTCAGCCACCTGAGTAGCTGGGATTACAGGTGTGCACCACCATGCCCAGCTAATTTTTTTGTATTTTTAATAGAGACGGGGTTTCACCATGTTGGGCAGGCTAGTCTCAAACTTCTGACTTCAAGTGATCCTCTCGCCTTGGCCTTCCAAAGTGCTGGGATTACAGGCATAAGCCACCGCACCGGGCCTGGTTTCTGGTTTTAATTCTTCAAATCTGCTTTGGGATGAGAAATATAAACTATTTCTGCGTAAATCCCTTTGAAAGGGTGGACTTCCTCCCCCCCATCACCCCAATAGGTTGAAATTTGATTGCTGAGTCAGATATAATCCATGATACTTTAGCACTCCCCAGATTATTTGGAGGTATTTTGATTTATCAGGATAGATACAGTCATGTCTCATTCTTTCCTTTTTTTTATTTTTTTTTTTTGAGATGGAATTTCGCTTTTGTTGCCCAGACTGGTATGTAATGGTGCAATCTCGGCTCACCACAACCTCCGCCTCCCAGGTTCAAGCGATTCTCCTGCCTCAGCCTCTCGGGCAGCTGGGATTACAGGCATGCACCACCATGCCCAGCTAATTTTGTATTTTTAGTAGAGATGGGGTTTCTCCATGTTGGTCAGGCTGGTCTTGAACTCCCGTCCCCAGGTCTGCCTGCCTCGGCCTCCCAAAGTGCTGGGATTACAGGTGTGAGCCACCGTGCCCAGCCTTTCCTCATTATTTCATGTTCATCTTTAGTAAAGCAGCTATCAGTAGCTTCACTTGCCACCTAAAACTTCCAATATACGTTCTTATAACTGGAGAACTTTCAGTCAGTTTATACATCTAGAGGAATCTTTTTTAATTTTTTATTTTTGAGACAGAGTCTCACTCTGTCACCCAGGCTGGGGTGCAGTGGTGCAATCTCAGCTCACTGCAAACTCTGCCTCCTGGGTTCAAGCATTTCTCCTGCCTCAGCCTCCTGAGTAGCAGGGACTACAGGCACATGCCACCACGTCCGGCTAATTTTTGTATTTCTAGTAGAGATGGGATTTCACCATGTTGGCCAGGATGGTCTTGATCTCCTGACCTTGTGATCCACCCACCTCAGCCTCCCAAAGTGCTGGGATTACAGGCATGAGCTAACATGCCCGGCCATCTAGAGGAATCCTAATGAAAAATTAAAGACTCAAAAAGCTTTATAGTAATAGGAAAATAGTACCTGTTTGTTTTTATTATGATAATATACAAAGAGACACTGAAGCCTCTTCAACAATTCTGAATGTAAGAAAGCAATTTTTAGGTAGAAAGTATCAGAGAAGAGAAAATAAGGAGAAAAAGTAATTAGAAATTGTTTCCTCAAAAAATTAAGTATCAGCTTGGCATTATGCTTATGCCTATAATCCCAGCACTTTGGGAAACTAAGGTGGGAGGATCACTTGAGGCCAGGGGTTCAAGACCATCCTGGGCAACATAGTAAGACCCCATCTCTTTAAAAAAAAAAAAAAAAAAGAGCCAGGCATGGTGGCATGTGTCTGTAGTCCTAGCTACTTGGGAGACAGAGGTGAGAGGATCACTTGAGCCCAGGAGTTTGAGGCTACTGTGAGCCCTGATCATGCCACCGCACTCCATCCTCGGCAACAGAGTGAGACTCTGTCTTTTAAAAAATAAATAGGCTGGGTGCAGTGGCTCACGCCTGTAATCCCAGCACTTTGGGAGGCAGAGGCAGGTGGATCACAAGGTCAGGAGCTGGAGACCATCCTGGCTAACACGGTGAAACCCCATCTCTACTAAAAATACAAAAAATTAGCCGGGCGTGGTGGCACACGCCTATAGTTCCAGCTACTCTGGAGGCTGAGGCAGGAGAATGGTGTGAACCCGGCAGGTGGAGCTTGCAGTGAGCCGAGATGGTGCCACTGCACTCCAGCCTGGGCGACAGAGTGAGACACTGTCTCAAATAAATAAATAAATAAATATCAAACTAGTCAGCTTCTTGTAGCAGAGAGCAGAGGGGAGGGTAGATCTGGAGAGGAAATATGAAATATCCAACAGCCATGAGTAGAAATTGATATGGGAAAGAGGAACAGGAAGATCAGTGATGGCTGACTAGAAACATTGGATGCCAGTTCTCCTCAGAGAGAAGAACCAAAGGTGAATAATCATGGCCCAAGTGGAATACTGATCGAAGAGTGACAGAACCCACAGGAAGAAGTTGGGGCACAGAAAAAAGAGGGAAGCAAGAGTTTGGCAGAGATAATACCCAAGGGACTTGCAGTCCTGTGGAAAGGGTAGGTGGGGATGTTTTTAGCTCATTTCACTCACCCTTGCTGCAGCAGACTGCTGGTTTCCAAACTGTTGAAGAGCCCCTCTACCCTCTTGAATTGGCACCAGTATGAGCAGTGATTTGAGAACTTCTTGCGGGCAGAGCACCAGGTTGCCAGCTCATGCAGGATTGCTCACCCTGCCCGTAGACCCGAGCTGAGGTGGTGGGTGCCATACTGGTTGTGCACCCATTGAGGGCCTCTGTCCTGCCCAAGGAGTCTCAGCCCTTGTGTTGCTGCATTACTGGATCCCCTGTAAACATTCCCTTGCACCTCCTCAGGCTGTAGCAACCACAAAGGGCCAGTGGGATCCAGGGGGAGCTGTGGCGTTGCTGGAGGTGTAACCCTCAGGGCAAACTGTCCATAGGGGAAGGGAGTGTACACCGTGCCAAAGCACCCCTTGGGACAAAGGAGACGAGAGTACAGGGTCTCCTGTGCCTGAGAGCTCCCTGCTTGCGCACTGAAGGTGACTGTGCCCCTTGCAGCAGAGGCAGGTGTGGTGCTGGAGGAGTGTGTTTCAACCCCAGTGGGCAGGCAGCATTGGTGCTCAAGAAGGGACACAGAGAGGGGGACTTCTCCCCTACAATCATTGCTGTGTACATAGCCAGGCTGTTCCTGTGGGGGGTTGGCACAGGTGTGCCTATGGATGGTCAATGCAGGGCTATTAGGGGTGGGTGCACCCCAACTGGCAGTGTTCCCACCACCCCAGGCCCGGCTTGCATGAAGAGTAGGGCCCCTCTCCCTCTCTACATGGAGCAACAGTTTTCCTGCAGTAGAGATCAACGAAGCCACAAAGTTGTCTGTGTTCAGCTGAGGGAAGAGGTTCCCACGGGAAGCCGTTTCAGTGGAGGGCTCTGGGACAGGCATTTCTGTGGCCCTCAGCTATATTGCAGCCTAGAGACAAACGACATTGCCTATTTCAGGGTCACAAAGCCTCGGGACAGGGGTGTGATTGGGAGGCAGATGGCATTCCTTCTTGGTCAGGACATAGAGCTGGTGCAGCCCTCTCTGCCTGTGATGGAAACCTCAGCGCTTTTCACCACAAGCCCCCGACCAGCCTCATCAGGGTTTGTGCTTCCACTGTCATTGGGGTATCCGAAGGTGAGCTTAGCAGTCCAGCTGCACCCAGCTTCGTCTTCCTTTCCTGGGGTAAGTAGAGAACTCAGGGCACCCAGCATTCCACAGATCAGTCCACCCACAGATCAGCCCACCGCCTGAGACAACAGACAGCCCCTCCCAGTAAACAAAGATTAAGCACGCACACACCCTGGGCATCTGGCTCTTACCCGTATTCGCCACCTGCTGGTCTAGAGACGGAACTGCACAACCCAATACAAAACCTTTTGACCGAAGTGCACAGCGCTATGAACCAGGTAAGCTTCCTGAGACCTCCACAGTCTCAGCTCTGCAGAAGGTAGTGAGCCTGCTAATATGCCCAGCACAGTGTTACTACAACCAGCACTTGAGAAAGCCACTGCACAAAGGCTAACTATAACCAAGGAATTCATACAGAACTTTGGCACCCTGACAGCACCCAGAATTGAAGCCAAACAACCATTCACAACATACATTACAGTCACACCCTTGAAGGGGATAATTCTTTTAAAAGTCCCATGCAATGAAAAGTAAATTCAAAAACAAGTAGTGAGAGATTCTCCAGATGAGAAAGAACCAATGTAAGAAGTCTGACAGTATGAGAAAACAGAGTATTTCAACAACCTAAAAAGATTACATTAGCTCTCCAGCAAAAGATACTAACCAAAATGAAAATTCTGAAATTACAGACAAAGAATTTTCAAAATATATATTGTAAGGAAGTTCAATGAGATCCAAGAAAAGGTGAAAAAAACAACATGAAAAAATTAGAGAAACAATACAGGATATGAATGAAAAATTTACAAAAAAGAAGAAAATTTACTAAAAAGATAGATATTTTAAAAAAACAGAACTTCTGCAAATGAAAAATGTATTATAGGAATTACAAAACACAGTTGAAAGACTTAGAAATAGACTAGACCAAGCAGAAGAAAGAAATTTAGCAGAAGAAGACAGGTCTTTTAATTTAACCCAGTCAGACAAAAATAAAGAAAAAAGAATTTTTAAAAATGAGCAAAGCCTTCAAGAAATATGGGAATATGTAAAGTGGCCAATCCTATAAATCATAGGTATTCCTAAGAGAGAATAAGAAAAAGTAAAAATCTTTTGTTTGTTTTTTTTTTTGAGATGGAGTCTCACTCTGTCACACAGGTTGGAGTGCAATGGCATAATCTCGGCTCACTGCAATCTCCACATCCTGGGTTCAAGCCATTCTCATACCTCAGCCTCCTAAATAGCTGGGATTATAGGCATGCACCACCACACCTGGCTAATTTTTGGATTTTTTTTTTGAGATGGAGTCTCACACTGTCGCCTGGGTTGCAGTGCAGTGGCCCAATCAGGGCTCACTGCAACCTCCACCTCCCAGGTTGAAGTGATTCTCCTGCCTTAGCCTCCCGAGTAGCTGGGACAACAGGCTCCCGCCACCAGCCTGGCTTTTTTTTTTTTTTTTTTTTTTTTTTTGTATTTTTAGTAGAGACGGAGGTTCACTATGTTGGCCAGGCTGGTCTCAAATGCCTGACCTTGTATCCACCTGCCTTGGCCTCCCAAAGTGCTGGGATAACAGCCGTGAGCCACTGCGCCTGGCCAATGTGTGTACACCCACCATCACATTAGAACTAACATCCCGCTAGAATATTACGATTAATATCACAGGGTGTACACACATGGTGTACACTCACTGTGACATTAGAAATAACATCCTCCTAGAATATTACGATTAATATCACAGGGTGTACACACACGGCGTACACCCACTGTGACATTAGGTGTAACATCCCCCTAAAATATTACAAATAATATCACAGGTTGTACACACATCGTGTAACCCACTGTGAAATGAGCAGTAACATTTCCCTAGGATATTACAAATAATATCACTGGTGGTTTACCCACATGGGGTACACCCCCTGTGACATTAGAAGTAACATCACTTTAGGATATTACAAATAATATCATAGGGGGTGTGCACACATGATGGACATACCCTGTGACATTAGGAATAACATCCCCCTGGGAGGCTGAGGCAAGAGAATTACTTGAAACCGGAAGGCAGAGGTTGCAGTGAGCTGAGATCGCGCCACTGCACTCCAGCCTGGGTGGAAGAGCAAAACTCCGTCAAAAAATAAAAAAATAAAAAAAGGAATAACATCCCCCTAGGATGTTATGAATAATATGACAGGGGGTCTCAATCTCCTGACCTTGTGATCCGCCCTCCTTGGCCTCCCAAAGGGGATGTTACTTCTAATGTCACAGGAGTTGTACACCATGTGTGTACACCTTCTGTGATATTCTTTGTAATACCCTAGGGAGATGTTACTTATAAGGTCACAGGGTGTGTACCCCATGTGTGTAAACCGCCAGTGCTATTCGTAATATTCTATGGGGATGTCACTCCTGTGACATTAGAAGTAACATCACTTTAAGATATTACAAATAATATCACAAGGGTGTGCACACACGGTGGACATCCCCTGTGACATTAGAAATAACATTCCCCTAGAATAGTATGCATAATATCACAAGGAGTGTACACATCCCCTGTGACATTAGGGGTAACATCCCTCTAGAATATTACGAATAATATCACAGGGCATGTACCCACATGGTGTACACCTCCTGTGATATTAGGAGTAACATCTCACTAGAATATGACAAATAATATGACAGGTGGTGTACACACACGGTGTACACACCCTGTGACATTAGAAGTAACATCCACCTAGGATATTACAAACAGTATCACAGGGGGTGTACATAGATGGTACCATATGTGTAAACCTCCTGTGACAGTAAGAGAAACATCTTCCTAGCATATTACGAATAATATCACAGGGCATGTACACACATGGTATACAATCCCTGTGACATTAGAAGTAACATCCCCTTTGGGAGGCCAAGGCGGGCGGATCACAAGGTCAGGAGATTGAGACCATCCTGACTAACATGGTGAAACCCTGTCTCTACTAAAAATACAGAAAAAAAATTAGCCAGGCATGGTGGCAGGTGCCTGTAGTCCCAGCTACTTGGGAGGCTGAGGAAGGAGAACGGTGTGAACCAAGGAGGCGGAGCTTGCAGTGAGCCGACATCGTGCCACTGCACTCCAGCCTGGACGACGAAGCGAGACTCCGTCTCAAAAAAAAAAAAAAAAAAAAAAAAAGAAGTAGCGTCCCTTTAAAATGTTAGGAATAATGTCACAGGTGGTGTACGCACATGTTGTACACCTTAAGTTACATTAAGATTAACATCTTCCTAGGATGTTATGAATAATATCACAGGGCTTGTACACACATGGTGTACACGCCCCGTGACATTACGAGTTAACATCCCTGTAGGATATTAGGAATGATATCACCCCCTGTGGTGTACACACATGGTGTACAACCCGTTTCATAGGAGTGACATCCACCAAAATATTAGGGATAATATCCCCTAGCATATTACGAATAATATCACAAGGGTTGTAAACACATTATACAACTCGTGAGACATTAAAGGTAAAATCCCCAGAGGTTTTTATGAATAACATAACACGGAGGTGTACACACATAGTACATATCTTAAGTTACATTAGTAGTAACATCCCCAAGGATGTTATGAATAATATTACAGGGTGTGTACACATATGGTGTACACCTTAAGTTACATTAGGAGTAATATCCCCTTAGGATATTATGAATATTATCATAGGAGGTATACACACATGGTGTACACTCCCTGTAACATTAAAAGTAACATTCCACTAGGATATTACAAATAATATCACAGGGGGTGTACACACATGGAGTATTTCCCCTGTGACATTAAGAGTAACATTCCCCTAGGATATTACAAATAACATCACAGGGTGTGCACCTTCTCTGACATTAGAATTAACAACCCCCTAGGATATTAGGAAGAATATCACAGGGTGTACACCCTCTGTGACATTAGGAGTAACATCCCTCTGTGATATTAGGAGTAATATCACAGGGTGTACACTCCTTGTGATATTAGGAGTAATATCCCCCTATGATATTATGAATAATATCATAAGGTGTGCAGCACCTGTGACATTACGAGTAACATTCCCTTAGGATATTATGAATAATATCACAGTGTGTACACCCCCTGTGAGATGAGGAGTAACATCTTTTTAGGATATTATGAATAATATCACAAGTTGTAAACCCCCTGTGACATTAGGACTAATATCCCCGTAAGATATTATGAATAATACCACAGGAAGTACACCCCCTGTGACATTAGGAGTAACATCCCAGTATGATACTATGAATAATATAACAGGGTGTAGACCCATTGTGACATTCGTAGTAACATTCCCCTAGGATATTACGAATAATATCACAAGCGTACACCTTCTGTGACATTAGGAGTAATATTTTTCTAGTATATTATGAATAATATCACAGTGTGTACACCCCTTGTGACATTAGGAGTAACATCCTCCTAGGATGTTATTTATAATATTACATGGTGTACACATTAGGAGTAACATCCCCCTAGGATATTACGAATAGTATCACAGGGTGTGTAGGTGATCCACCCACCTTGGCCTCCCAAAGTGCTGGGATTACAGGTGTCAGCCAGCACACCCAGCTGTAAAAATCTTTTAAAACCTATTTGAGGAAATAATTCAGGAAAATTTCCCCAGTCTTGCTAGAGACTTAGACATAAAGAAAGACTGAGAGGTTAAAGAAAGCTCAGAGAACAACATGCCTTGTTGAACTTTGCAAGACAAATCTCAACTAGTCATATTGCCATCAGACTATCCAAAGTCACTAGGAAGGAAAAAAATTTTAAAAGCAGCAAGAGAGAAGCATCTAATCACCTATAAAGTACTTCATAGCAGAAATCTTACAAGCCAGAAGAGAGTAGGGTCCTATTTTCAGTCTTCTTAAGGAAAAAAACCTGCCAGCCAAGATATTGTATCCTGCTAAGCTAAGTTTCATAAATGAAGGAGAAATAAAGTCTTTCCCAGAAAAGCAAACATAAAGGGAATTTGTTGCCACTAGACCAGACCTACAAGGAATGATCAAAGTAGTTCTGAACATAGAAATGAAAGGACGATACTTGCCACCATAAAAGCACACAAAAGTACAAAACTCACAGATCTTATAAAGCTATTACACAATTGAGACTACAAAGCAACTAGGTAATAATTAACATTATGACAGAAATAAAACCTCACATATCAATATTAACCTTGCATGTAAATCGACTAAATGCTCTACTTAAAATATATAGGCTGGCAGAATGGATTTTAAAAAAACAACAGGCCAGGTGTGGTGGCTCACACCTGTAATCCCCACACTTTGGGAGGCTGAGGTGGGTGGATCATCTGAGGTCAGGAGTTTGAGACCAGCCTGGCCAACATGGTCAAACTCTGTCTCTACTAAAAATACAAAAAAATTAGCCAGGCATGGTGGCACACACCTGTAACCCCAGCTACTTGGAAGGCTGAGATAGGAGAATCACTTGAACCCAGGAGGCGGAGGTTGCAGTGAGCCAAGATTATGCCATTGCACTCCAGCCTCAGCAACACAGTGAGACTTCATCTCAAAAAATAGATAAATAAATAAAAATAACAACAACAAGATCCAATTATATGCTGCTCACAAGAAATCCACCAAGGGCCGGGTGCAGTGGCTCACGCCTGTAATCCCAGCACTTTGGGAGGCCGAGGCGGGCAGATCACGAGGTCAAGAGATTGAGACAATCCTGGCTAACACGGTGAAAACCCGTCTCTACTAAAAATACAAAAAATTAGCTGGGCACGGTGGCGGGCGCCTGTAGTCCCAGCTACTAGGGAGGTTGAGGCAGGAGAATGGCGGGAACCCAGGAGGCGGAGCTTGCAGTGAGCCGAGATAGCGCCACTGCACTCCAGCCTGGGGGACAGAGCAAGACTCTGTCTCAAATAAAAAAAAAAAAAAAGAAATCCACCTAATGAGTAGTCATCATTTACAGACTTAAAGGAGTGGAAAAAGAAATTCCACACAAATGGAAACCAAAAGTGAGTAAGAGTAGCTATACTTGTATCAGATAAAACGTACTTTAAATCAACAACAGTTAAAAAAAAAAGGCAAAAGAGGTCATTATATAATGACAAAGATTTCAACAAGAAGATACAACAATCCTAAATATATATGCACTCAACACTGGTCCACTCAGATTCATAAAACAAATACTACTAGACCTAAGAAAAGAGATAGACAACAATACAACAGTACAATAGTAGGGGGACTTCAACATTTCACTTATAGCACTAGACAGATCACCAAGACAGAAAATCAACAAATAAATTCGATTTAAATTGAACTCTAGGCCAAATGAACCCCACAGATGTTTACAGAACATTCTACCCAAAATGGCAGAATATACATTCTTCTCATCTGTTCATGGAACATTCCCCAAAATAGACCATATCCTTGGCCAATAAGCAAGTCTCAACATATTTTGAAAAATCAAAATCATATCAAATATTTTCTCAGACCATGGTGGAATAAAACTAGAGATCAATGCCAAGAAGGACTCTCAAAACTATATAAATACGTGGAAATGTAACAGCCTGTTCCTGAATGATCTTTGGGTAAATGATAAAATTAAGATAGAAATTTTTAAACATTTTTCTTTTTCCTCTTCTTCTTCTTGAAACAAGGTCTCACTCTGTCACCCATGCTGAAGTGTAATGGCATGACCATAGTTTATTATAGCCTCAAATTCCTAGGCTCAAGCAATCCTCCTGCCTCAGCTTCCCAAGTATCTGGGACTACAGGCACATGCCACAGTGCCTGGCTAATTTTTTTTTTTCTTTTTTGAGACAGAGTCTCACTCTGTCACCCAGGCTGGAGTGCAGTGGCATGATCTCAGCTCACTGCAACCTCTGCCTCCCGGGTTCAAGCGATTCTCCTGCCTCAGTCTCCCAAGTAGCTGGGATTACAGGTATGCGCCACCAAGGTCAACTAATTTTTATATTTTTAGTAGAGACAGGGTTTCACCATATTGGCCAGGCTGGTCTTGAACTCCTGACTTTGTGATCTGCCCGCCTTGGCTTCCCAAAGTGCTGGGATTACAGGTGTGAGCCACCGCGCCTGGCCCAAATTTTTTTTTTAATTTTTTAATAGAGATGGAGTCTTGATATGTTGCCCAAGCAGGTCTTAAACTTCTGGCCCCAAGTAATCCTCCCACTTTCACCTCCCAAAGTGCTGGGATTACAGTTGTGAGCTACTGTGCTTAGCCTAGAAATTTAAAAAATATTTGGAATGAATGAAAGCAGAGACACAACATACCAGAATCTCTGAGATACAGCAAAAGCAGTTAGAAGAGGGAATTTTATAGCATTAAATGCTTACATCAAAAAGATAGAAAGATCTCAAATTAACCACCTAATGTCGCACCTGAAGGAACTAGAAAAACAAGAACAAACCAAACCCAAAGCTATCAGAAAAAAGAGAAATAACAAAGATCAGCCAGGTGCGGTGGCTCACGCCTGTAATCCCAGCACTTTGGGAGGCTGAGGCAGGTGGATCACCTGAGGTCAGGAGTTTGAGACCAGCCTGGCCAACATGGTGAAACCCCATCTCTACTAAAAATACAAAAATTAGTAGGGCGTGGTGGCAGGTGCCTGTAATCCCAGCTACTTGGGAGGCTGACGCAGGAGAATCACTTGAATCCGGGAGGTGGAGATTGCAGTGAGCCGAGATCGCACCACTGCACTCCAGCCTGGGCAACAAGAGAGAAACTCTGTCTCCAAAAAAAAAAAAAAGGAAGAAAGAAAGAAAAATAACAAAGATCACAGCAGAACTAAATGATATTGAGGCAAAAACAAAACAAAAAACAAACAAACAAAAACCAATACAGGCTCAGTGCAGTGGCTCATGCCTGTAATCCCAGCACTTTGGGAGGCCAAGGCAGAAGGATTGCTTGAGCCCAGGAGTTTGAGACCAGCCTGGGCAAGATGATGAAACCCTGTCTCTTCAAAAAATACAAAAATTAGCCAGGCGTGATGGCATGTGCCTGTAATACCAGCTATTCAGGAGGCAGAGGTGGAAGGATGGCTTGAGCCTGGGAGGGTGAGGTTGCAGTGAGCCATACTGCGCCACTGCATTCCAGCCTGGGTGACAAAGCAAGACCCTGTCTCAAAAACCAACAACAACAATGGATCAATGAAATGAAAAGATTCTTTGAAAATATAAACAAATTGATAGACTGTTAGCTGGATTATCCAAGTAACAAAGAAGATTCATATAAGCACAGTAAGAAATGATAAAGGTGATATTACAACTGATACCACCAAAATAAAAAAGATCATCAGAGACTACTATGATTATCTATATGTGCACAAACTAGAAAATCTAGAAGAAATGGATAAATACCTGGAAACATACAACCTCTCAAAGAATGAGCCAGGAAGAAATAGAAAATCCTGAACAGACCAATAATGAGCCATGAAATTGAAACAGTAATTAAAAAATCTCCCAACAAAAAAGGCCTAGGACCAGATGGATTTACAGCCTAATTTTATCAGACTTACAAAGAAGAACTGGTACCAGTTCTTCTACTCCTACTGAAACTGTTCCAAAAAATCGGGGAGAAGGGCATCCTGTCTAACTCATTCTACAAAGCTAGTAACACTGTGATACAAAAGGCCAGCAGGACACAACAAAAAAGGAAAAACTAATGCATATATATATACATATACATATATATACACATACGTATATACACATACATATACACACACATACATATACATACACACACACGTACATGTATACACACACACACACACACATACATATATATATATATAGAGAGAGAGAGAGAGAGATGGAGTCTTGCTCTGTCGCCCAGGCTGGAGTGCAGTGGCTCAATCTTGGCTCACTGCAACCTCTGCCTCCTGGGTTCAAGCGATTCTCCTGCCTCAGCCTCCTGAGTATCTGCACTGCAGGCACCCATGACCACGCCCAGCTAATTGCTGTATTTTTAGTAGAGACGGGGTTTCACCATGTTGGCCAGGCTGGTCATGAACTCCTGACCTCAGGTGATCCGCCTGCCTTGGCCTCCCAAAGTGCTGGGATTACAGGCATGAGCCACCGCACCGAGCCTACCTGCCAATATTCTTGATGAACACAGATGTAAAAATCCTCACCAAAATACTAACAAACTAAATCCAACATCACATTGAAAAGATAATACAACACAATAACTAGGTTTTATTCTAGGGATGCAAGGATGGTTCAACATACACAAATCAGTAAGTATGATTCAACATGTAAACAGAATTAAAAACAAAAAACCATATGACCCTCTCGAATGATGGCAGAAAACGCATTTGATAAAATTCAGCATCCCTTCCTGGTAAAAACCCTCAAACAAACTACCTCAAAATAATAAAACTCATGTATGACAAACCCACAGACAACATCATACTGAATGGGGAAAAGTTGAAAGCATTCCCTTAAGAACTGGAACAAGACAAGGATGCCCACTTTCACCATTCCTATTCAATATAGTACTGGAAGTCCTAGTTAGAGCAATCAGACAAGAGGAAGAAATAAAAGGCATCCAAATTAAAATTATATCTGTTCGCTGATGATTTGGTCTTTTATCTAAAACACCCTAAAGAATCCTCCAAAAGACTCCTGGGTTTGATTAATGACTTTAGTAAAGTTTCAGGATATGAACTAATGTACCAAAATCAGTAGCATTTCTATATACCAATAATGCTCAAGCTGAGAACCAAATAAAGAACTCAATCCTACTTATAATAGTTAAAAGAAGAATAAAACACCTGGGAATACATTTAACCAAGGAGTTGAAACATCTATACAAGGAGAACTATAAAACACTGATGAAAGAAATTGTAGAGTAAACAAATGGAGAAACATCCCATGCTCATGGATTGAAAGAATCAGTATCATTAAGATGACCATACTACCCAAAGCAATCTACAGATTCAAAGCAATTCCTATCAAATTACCAATGTCATTTTTCACAGAATTAGAAAAAGCAATCCTAAAGTTCATATGGAATCAAAAAACAGCTGGACTAGCCAAAGCAATCATAAGCCAAAATAACAAAGCTGGAGGCATCACCTTACCTGACTCCAAATTATACTACAAGATAGAGTCACCAAAACAGTATAGTATTGATGTAAAAACAGACACTTAGATTAATGAAACAGAATAGAAAACATAGAAACAAAGCCACACACCTACAGCCAAATGATCTTCAACAAAGTTCATAGAAATATAAACTGGGAAAAAGATACCTTATTCAATAAATAGTGCTGGCAAAATTGGATTGCCATATGCAGAAGAATGAAACTGGATCCCTGTCTTGAGTTAATAAAAATTAACTCAAGATGGATTAAATCCTTAAATGTAAGACCTGAAATTATAAAAATCCTGGAAGAAAACCTAGAAAAAACTCTTTTTTTTTTTTTTTTTTTTTTTTTTTGGTGGCTGAGCTTGGTGAGGTGTGTTTTTATTTTTTTATTTTTATTTTTTTTTATTTTTTTTTTTTTAATTTTTTTTTTATTGATAATTCTTAGGTGTTTCTCACAGAGGGGGATTTGGCAGGGTCATGGGACAATAGTGGAGGGAAGGTCAGCAGATAAACAAGTGAACAAAGGTCTCTGGTTTTCCTAGGAAGAGGACCCTGCGGCCTTCCGCAGTGTTTGTGTCCCTGATTACTTGAGATTAGGGATTGGTGATGACTCTTAACGAGCATGCTGCCTTCAAGCATCTGTTTAACAAAGCACATCTTGCACCGCCCTTAATCCATTTAACCCTGAGTGGACACAGCACATGTTTCAGAGAGCACAGGGTTGGGGGTAAGGTCACAGATCAACAGGATCCCAAGACAGAGGAATTTTTCTTAGTGCAGAACAAAATGAAAAGTCTCCCATGTCTACTTCCTTCTACACAGACACGGCAACCATCTGATTTCTCAATCTTTTCCCCGCCTTTCCCGCCTTTCTATTCCACAAGGCCGCCATTGTCATCCTGGCCCGTTCTCAAGAAAAAACTCTTTTAGACATTGGCCTAAGCAAAGAATTTTGAAATTTATTTGCTCAAAAGCAAATGCAACAAAAATAAACGTAGACAAATGGGGCCTAATTAAACTAAAAAGCTTCTGCACAACAAAGTAAATAATTGGCCAGGTGCAGTGGCTCACGTCTGTAATCCCAGCACTTTGGGAACCTGAGTAGGGAGGATCACTTGAGCCTAGGAGTTCAAGACAAGCCCGGGCAATACAGTGGGACTCTGTCTCTACAAAAAAATTAAAAGATTAGCTGGATGTGGTGGCACATGGCTACAGTTCCAGCTACTTGGGAAGCTGAGGTGGGAGGATAACTTGAGCCCTAGGGAGGTCAACGTTGCAGTGAGCCATGATCACACCACTAAATTCCAGCCTGGACAACAAAGCAAGACCCCGTCAGAAAAGAGAAGAAAAGAAGAGAGGAGAGGGGAGGGGAGGGAGGAGGGGAGTGGAAGAGAGAGAGAGACAACCTACAGAATGGGAGAAAATATTTGCAAACTATACATCTGACAAAGGGTGGATATCCAGAATCTACAAGGCATTCAAACAACTCATCCAGAAAAAAAAAACATCATCAACAAATAGCCCCATTAGAAAGTTGGGAAAGGAAATGAACAGGCATCTTTCTTTTCCTTCCTTCCATCCTTCTTTCCTTCCTTCCTTCTCTCTCTCCCCCCTTCCTTCCTCCCTCCTTCCCTCTCTTCCTCTTTCCCTCCCTTCCTCCCTATTTCTTTCTCTCTCCTTCCTTCCTTCCTCCCTTTCTCTTTCCCTCTTTTCTTCCCCTCTCCCTCTCTCTCTTTCCTTTCAGATAGGGTCTCCTTCTGTCACCCAGACTGGAGTGCAGTGGCACCAACTCAGCGCCTCACTGCAATCTCCGCTTCCCAGGTTCAAGTGATTCTCTTGCCTCAGCCCCCCAAGCAGTTGTGATTACAGGCGCCTGCTGCCACGCCGGCTAATTTTTGCGTTTTTAGTAGAGGAGGTTTCACCATGTTGGCCAGGCTGGTCTTGAACTCCTGACTTCAAGTGATCTTTCTGCTTCAGCCTCCCAAAGTGCTGGGATTACAGGCATGAGCCACCACATCCATCAGCATTTTTCAAAAGAAGACATACATGTGACTAACATGAAAAATAATCAAGAATACTAATTATCAGAGAAATGCACATTAAAACTACAATGATCATACTGGCACTTTGGGAGGATGAGGTGGGAGGATTGCTTGAGACCAGGAGTTCAAGACCAGCCTGGGCAACACAGCAAGAATCCCATCTCCATTAAAAAAAAAACAAAAAACAAAAAAAACAAACACAATGTGTCACCAGTCAGAATAGCTATTATTGAAAAATAAAAAACCAACAGATGTTGGTGATGATGTGGAGAATAGGAACACTTATACGCTGTTGGTGGAAATGTATACTAGTACAACTTCTATGGAAAACAATATGGAGACTTCTCAAAGAACTAAAAATAGAACTACCATTCAACTCAACAATCTCACTACTTGGTATCTACCTAAAAGAAAAAAAATTATACCAATAGATATCTTCACTTGTATGTTTATCTCAGCACTATTCATAATAACAAAGATATGGAATCCATGGACTACTACTCAGCCATAAATAAAAATGAAATCTTATCTTTTGTAGCAACATGGATGCAACTAGACTAGGTCATTATCTTAGGTGAAATAACTCAGAGACAGAAAGTCAGATACAGCATGCTCTCACTTCTGGGTAGAAGCTAAATAATGTGTACACATGGACACAGAAAGTGGAATAATAGACATTGGGTGGGAAGAGGGTAACTGATGAATAATTACTTAATAGGTATAATGTACACTATTTGGGCAATGGGTACATTAAAAGCCCAGTCTTCACCACTATGTAATATATTCGTGTAGCAAAATAGCACCTGTACTGACTAAACCTATTTAAAAAATTAAGTATCAAGAAAGCCAGAGTTGTCTGAGGTTGGTGGCTCACTGATCCTGTAATCCCAGCAGTTTGGGAGGATGAGGTGGGAGGATCACTTGAGCCCAGGAGTTTGAGACCAGCTTGAGCAACAGAGTGGGACCCCCAACTCTACCAAATAAAAACAATAATAAGATGGGTGTGGTGGTGTGTCCGGAATTGGTTCCTTCTGGTGGGTCCTTGGTCTCGCTGATTTCAAGAATGAAGCCGCAGATCCTCGCGCTGAGTGTCACAGCTCTTACAGATGGTGTCCGGAGTTTGTTCCCTCAGATGTTCAGATGTGTCCGGAGTTTTTTGCCTCTGGTGGGTTCGTGATCTCACTGACTTCAGGAGTGAGGCCACAGACCCTAGCAGTGGGTGTTACAGCTCCTAAGGCGGTGCCTCCAGAGTTGTTTGCTCCTTCCAGTGGGTTTGCGGTCTTGCTGACTGCAGGCATGAAGCAGTGAGTATCACAGCTCATAAAGGTAGTGCGGACCCAAAGAGTGAGCAGCAGCACAATTTATTGCCAAGAGCAAAACAAGAGACACTCCACAGGGTGGAAGGACACTGGAGTGGGTTGCCGCTGCTGGCGCAGGTGGCCAGCTTTTATTCCCTTATTTGGCCCTCCCCACATCCTGCTGATTGGTCCATTTTACAGAGTGCTGATTGGTCCATTTTACAGAGTGCTGACTGGTTCATTTTACAGAGTGTTGATTGGTCCATTTTAGAGAGTGCTGATTGGTGCGTTTTTACAGAGTACTGATTGGTGCATTTACAATCCTTTAGCTAGACACAAAAGTTCTCCAAGCGACACAGAAGCCCAGCTGGCTTCACAACTTTCAGTGGCATGCACCTATAGTCCCAGCTACTTGGGAGGATGACGCAGAAGGATTGCTTGAGCCCAGGTGGTCAAGGCTGCAGTGAGCTGTGACCACACCACTGCACTCCAGCCTGAGTGACAGAATGAGACCCTGACCCCTCCAAAAAACAAAAAACCAAAAAGAAAGCCAAAGTCAATAATGGTTTTTTAAAACCCTAAAGCCTAACTTTGCACATAAAAGGCTTTCATGGAACTCTGCTAAACTTTGATAGAATCCTGGCAAATGTTAGGGTTCCATGAAAATGTCTGAATGACTATACAGACACCTCTTCTGATGTCTCAGAAATTATAAATTATATTTTACTGTGGGACGAAAGTGAAGTCATAAGGTAGCAGAGTCATGCTTATTCAGGCCTGGCTTTGGTATTTGCATTGTCCTGGAGAGGAGTTACCAGTAGGCTTTCTGCCAAGCCCAAACCTTCTCAGCCCATGGAAAGCACTGGACTCTTTAAATGGTGTTTACAGAGCCTGTCCTACTAAGTATTCATAATCAGTAAGAAAATGTTGACTGGGCATGGTGGCTCACGCCTATAATCCCAGTACCTTGGGAGGCTGAAGTGGGCAGATCAACTGAGGTCAGGTCTGAGACCAGCCTGGCCAAAATGGTGAAACCCCATCTCTACTAAAAATACAAAAATTAGCTGGGCATGGTGGTGCACGCCTGTAACCCAAGCTACTCGGAAGGCTGAGGCACAAAAAATCACTTGAACCTGGGAGGTGGAGGTTGCAGGTCCTGGGAGCTGAGATCGTGCCACTGCACTCCAGCCTGGGCAACAGAGTGAGACACTGTCTTGAAAAATGAAAAAAAAAATACAAATACAAAAATTAGCCAGGTGTGGTGGCGCACACCTGCAGTCCCAGCTACTGAGGAGGCTGAGGCAGAATTGCTTGAGCCACAGGGAGGCAGAGAGGTTGCAGTGAGCCGAGATGGTGCCACTGCACTCCAGCCTGGGTGACAGAGCTAGACTCTGCCTCAAAAAAAAAAAAAAAAAAAAAAAAAAGGAAAAGAAAAAGAAAAAGAAAAGAAAATGTTATGAACCAAATTCTACAACAGAGATACCTATCCTTTGAAAAGAATGAAGAGGCCCCCAGTTACTAGAACATGAAACGAGAGAGCCACCTAGTGGTCAAGGTGGTGCAGAGACTTGCCCCTGAGCACCAGAGAAATGGTGATTTTAGTGTTTTATTAACATAATTGAAAAAGTAAGGAATAGAAACACTGTAGCAAAAAACAAAAAAGTAAAAGCATTGAAGAAAGACCTATTTTTCAAACTTACCTTCACTCTTTCTGAAACCATGGTGTTGAATGCAGGTAATACTGGTACTCATTTAAAGTTCTCTGTATATATTGCACATTCATATATTCCCTCAGTGCTTATTATTTTGTCCTTTTTAACCTGAAAGATGTGCACAAATCTCACAGAATAACTAAATAAATTGCCTGCAGTTAAATTACTTTCCAGCACATTGAGTGACTCAGATGGACTAAGAAGCCTGGTTAATAGAGGTTAAATGAGAATGCACTTTAAAATAAAAAGACTATTTTGGTATCATAATAGCATTAAATTATATATTGGTACTTCAGGAACAGAAAAAACTGTTAAGACTCCCTCCCTGATGCAAAAGGCTGACAATTTAGTAAGGAAATATATAAGCAGCTTAATAAAGTGTGAAGTAGAGATAGAGTAAGATACGTTTGGGAAGGTACATGGCTACTATATGGTAGGAAACTTGGAATTTGAGGTTGAGTAGGTTGAACCCGGTGTGCTGGTAAGAGCATTGAGAAAGATGACTTGCAGCAAAGTATAAAATTGCTTGGAGAAGGGAGAAACTATATAAAAAAAGGAAGACCAAGGTTACAGTGGGGTTTTGAAACTCAGCTAAGAAAGAGTAGTGGAAGTTAAGACAAGGAGATGTAGTAGTTTTTACTTACTTTATAAAAAAAATTTTACTTTTCTAAAAGTGAGGTGTGACTTCTAGATGGCATCACCAAGTGTCACGGATAAGCCAATTTACTAAAAAAAATTTTTTTTTCTTTTTCTTTCTTTCTTTTCTTTTCTTTCTTTCTTTTCTTTTCTTTCTTTCTTTTTTTTGGGGGGGGGGACAAGGTCTTGCTCTGTCGCCCAGGCTGGAGTGCAGTGGCGCTATCTTGGCTCACTGCAACCTCTGCCTCCCGGGTTTAAGCGATTCTCCTGCCTCAGCCTCACAAGTAGCTGGGAATACAGGCGCATGCCACTATACCCGGTTAATTTTTGTATTTTCAGCAGAAATGGGGTTTCACTATGTGTTGGCCAGGCTAGTCTCAAACTTCTGACCTCAGGTGATCCACTTGCCTCGGCCTCCCAAAATGCTGGGATTACAGGCGTGAGCCACTGCGCCTGGCCAATAAAATGTTTATTTAAAAAAAATAGTAGTTCTGAAGTTCCGCATGACATATAAAGAGAATAATGCATTTCCTTAAATATTTTTTTCCTTAGGAATTTAAGCATATTTTCCATGACATTTTATATAAACGATTGATTAGTTCAATCATCATTGAAAAAGTTGGTAACAAAGGAAAACTTCCCTTTTATCTGTCCCATTTATCACAATTTCAAAAAAAACTTAAATAGGCCGGGCGCAGTGGCTCACGGCTGTAATCCCAGCACTTTGGGAGGCCGAGGTGGGAGGATCACGAGATCAGGAGATCGAGACCATTTTGGCTAACACGGTGAAACCCCATCTCTACTAAAAATACAAAAAAAAAAAAAAAAAAAAATAGCCAGGCATGGTGGCGGATGCCTGTAGTCCTAGCTACTCGGGAGGATGGCGCCACTGCCTTCCAGCCTGGGCGACAGAACAAGACTCTGTCTCAAAAAAAAAAAAAAAAAAAAAAAAAATTAAACATACATACAAATAAGGGATGCTTGTTTCCTTGAATAGGAAATAGTTTTGAGGTTTTGTCACCTTTTCTAAGTAAGTAGACAGGAATGGAACAGCTCCAGGGTTGGAAAGTTAGCTAGTTGAGGACTTGATGGGAAAGGGAAGCACTGGGCAAGAGAAGGGAGCTGTCCTTGGAAGATCACATATCTACAATTGATAGAACCCCCTCTCCATCTTTCCAGCACCCACCATTTCAGGACACATTTTTCCTTTTAAGGCTGCTCTTCATACTCATTTTTTTTTTTTTTTCTGAGATGGAGTTTTTGCTCTTGTTGCCCAGGCTGGAGTACAAGAGGTTGCAGTGGCGCGATCTTGGCTCACTGCAACCTCTGCCTTGCAGGTTCAAGTGATTCTCCTGCCTCAGCCTCCCGAGTAGCTGGGATTACAGGCATGCGCCACCACGCCCGGCTAATTTTGTATTTTTAGTAGAGACGGGGTTTCTCCATGTTGGTCAGTCTGGTCGCAAACTCCCAACCTCAGGTGATCCGCCCACCTCGGCCTCCCAAAGTGCTGGGATTACAGGCGTGAGCCACCGCACCCAGCTTCCATGCTCATTTTACAGTACAGGCACAGGGCCACTTCATCAAAATTTCCTAGTACAAATGCTGTGTGCAACAAGTTGGTCTCATAACACATTCATTTAAAAAGATTGAACTGAATTTCTGAGTGACTTACCCAGGGAAGGCTCAATTCTTGAAGCATTTCTGCAGAGACCATAGGTGAAAGTTGTCTACCTATATTTTCGGAACCAAAAATTTGAACACATGATATAATAACAAGACAATATATAAAAATTTTTCTATTTTTAAAACTTATAAAGGCAGGACCCTTTGTCAGCTGCACATTCCCTGAGATTTTTCATTAACCTCCCTTTCCAAATTAGAACCCTGAAGTTAACAGTCTTTCTCTCTCCAATGCTCATCTTAATGGTTCACTGGGTCCTACTGATTCTCTTTAACCCAGACCCAATCTGCTCCCTCTTCTCTGCCATCACTGACTCTACCTTGGTTTAAGGCTTTCATTATCTCTCACCAGCACCATACCGTTCTATGTATTTCTTTCTTTTTTATTTATTTTTTAATAGAGACAGGGTCTTGCTTTGTTGGCCAGGTTGGTGTTGAACTCTTGGCCTTAAGCAATCTTCCTGCCTTGGCCTCCCAAAGTGCTAGGATTACAGGTGTGAGCCACCAGGCCCGGCCAGGTATATGTATTTCTATGTTTCTCCCTTCCTCTCAATTCATCCTATATACTACCAACTGAGTTACCTATTTTGAAACCCCATTGTTTAAATTCTTCCATGACTTCTAGGTTAAGTTCAAACTCTAAGAACAGCATGCTAACCCTCTGTAATAGCTGTGTGTGTAGTCATCTCTCTCCATCCTTCCATATAACATCTCATATCCTACTCTCATTGAATGTCCTCTCATCCCCCTGAAAAAACTCTACCCTCTCAAGCTTTCTAGGGCTTTGTGGATACTGTAACTCTGCTTAGAGAGTCATTGCTCATCTCTTAATTCTTATTCACATTTTGACAGTCATCATAGTTATCAAAAAGTTACCCAATTCAGCAAGACTGGATTAAGTATCTTTGCCATGTACTCCCACAACATCCTGGGCTTTCACTTCCATAACAATTGAATTTGTACTATAATTTTCTCCAAATCTACTGTGAGCAACTTGAGAGCAGGGCTGTTTATCTCCTAGAATAGTATTTGCCACACATTAGATGTTCAAAAAAATTTTTCTGATGCTCCTTGAAAATAGGACTTACTGGTCACAATGGAAATTGCATTTTATTTGTAGTTTCTCTCATGTCCCCAGTGCAATCCCTCCCCTTCTAATCTATCCTGCATACTTGTCAGTCCAAACCTCGTCACATTGCTTCTATCAAGCTTCTTCCTTCCTCAGAAACTTTGTTCTCCCTACTGTCTATGACAGCAGCCCAAACACTTGGATCTGGCTTTCAAAAATTATACTATCTGTTTGGATCCACTTTGTCTGTTTTATTTCCAGTCCATGTCCTCCCTTACTTCTGGTCACTTCAAATATTGTCTTCACTTTTTTTTTTCTTTTATTTTCTTTTCTTTCTTTTTTTTTTTTTTTTTTTGAGATGGAGTCTCGTTCTGTTGCCCAGGCTGGAGTGCAATGGCACCATCTTGGCTCACTGCAATCTCCACCTCCCAGGTTCAAGCGATTCTCCTGCCTCAGCCTCCTGAGTAGCTGGGATTACAGGCACGTGCCACCATGCCTGACTAATTTTTGTACTTTTAGTAGAGATAGGGTTTCACCATGTTGGTCAGGCTGGTCTCAAACTCCTGACCTCCTGATCCACCTACCTTGGCCTCCCAAAGTGCTGGAATTACAGGCGTGAGCCACCGTGCCCTGCCTCTCTTCACTTTTTCTATTGATGTCTCATACATCTTTTCGAGACCCTGTTCAACATCATTTCCTCAACTGAAGTCTTCTTTGGCTCTTCAAACACATATTGAGCATGTAATTTACCACTTACTTGGGCCCTTACATGTCATCTTACTTGAATGCAACAATTTCCTGGATAGGCATGGAGGAGACAAGGCCAACCCAGGAAATTGTTGGGTAAGGGAAGGCAGGGATCATATTATACTTTTTGGTATTTCTCAGTACAGCAATGATTCAATTTTGAAAAAGTGAGTAATAATATATCAATAAAATGAAACCTGCTAAAATATAAAATTTGGCCTTTGGTCTGAAAGATGTTGTAGAATAAAGAGGAAGATTAATCACTAGTTTACTAGCTGTTTCGCAGAGAAGGATGTAAACCAGGTAGATTAGATAGGTATAGGTGTAAATGAGAATATTTTACTTGTGGCAAGTCATTATTAAAAGGTTCAGCAGGTTATTATTACACATTTTTCCCAGGTTATCACATTTTCTCTAAGGACATTCAGGTATAATTTTGAATATTACATAGTGGGCTCGGTAGAAAACTGCAATGGTATCCTGTAACATACCAGATTGTAAGGTTACGCATATGCATATGAGTCCAAATGAAAAGGATACCCCAAATCTCTTCCATCCCTAAAATAAAGTATTATTTAAGGTGACAACAGCCTATGGGAGTAGGTCATGTTTTCCACAAGCAAAAGTTCCCTAGGCATATAGGTAAAAGTGGCCCAGCACCCTTTTAAGGATAGTTGTCCCATGGATTGACACGAGATCCTGCTCCAGGACACTTCGCTAACACATTGAATTAATCTGGAGACAAACAATGTGTGCCTTCACAAACTCATATTCTGCTTTAACAAGGCCTTCTATTTAAAATACTAGATCCAACCCAAAAGATTATTTGATGATGTGAAGCACAAACACAATATTAGGCCAATAAAAATAGCTGTTTTGGTACCTGATAGCTTTCTGCACCTTTAAATTACTCCATGAATATTCCTGGTTACTCTAACTACTGAACTGTTTTTATTATTTGTTTATTTTTTAGACGGAGTTTCACTCTTGTTGCCCAGGCTGGAGTGCAATGGTGCGATATCAGCTCACCACAACCTCTGCTTCCCGGATTCAAGCGATTCTCCTTCTGCCTCAGCCTCCCGAGTAGCTGGGATTACAGGCATGCACCACCACACCCAGCTAATTTTGTATTTTTAGTAGAGACGGGGTTTCTCCATGTTGGTCAAGCTGGTCTCGAACTCCTGACCTCACGTTATCCACCTGCCTCGGCCTCCCAAAGTGCTGGGATTATAGGCGTGAGCCACCACGCCCGGCCAGTTTTATTTTTATTTTTGAGTTTCTCTTGCCACAAGGAGAGCTTGAAAATTGCAGTTCAAAGCAAAACGTAAAATGCGTTACAATCTCACTTGCCAGTTCTGTGACTGGGCAGAGTATTTAATTTCTCTTTCAGTTTCTTCATTTATAAAAGGGGGATAGTAATACATATTATGTAGGATTGTTGTGAGAATTATCAACAATGTATGTAAAATAACTAACACAGTGCCTGGCATATAATACATGGTCAGAAAATAGCAACTATTATACTAAATTTAGTTTTTTTTTTTTTTGAGACGTAGTCTCGCTCTGTCGCCCAGGCTGGAGTGCAGTGGCGCGATCTCGGCTCACTGCAAGCTCCGCCTCCCGGGTTCACGCCATTCTCCTGCCTCAGCCTCCCGAGTAGCTGGGACTACAGGCGCCCGCCACCGCGCCCGGCTAATTTTTTGTATTTTTAGTAGAGACGGGGTTTCACCGTGCTAGCCAGGATGGTCTCGATCTCCTGACCTCGTGATCCACCCACCTCGGCCTCCCAAAGTGCTGGGATTACAGGCGTGAGCCACCACGCCCGGCCTATTTATTTTTTTTTATTTTTTATTTTTTGATGTATCATACTGAGTTATGAAAGTCATATTAGATAGAACATTTACTATTCTAGTGCAAACTCCCTAATTATCATACTAACAATTTCTGGTGACCTCTTAAAATAAAAAAACACAATTACTATTGTCATTAATATGATCTTTAATAAACGGAATAACGCACCATTTTACAGCAAGCCTTTTTAAACCTAAAGAACTGCCTTAAAATCTCCTTCTCCAATGTCTCTGTATCAATACAATCTTTTTATTTAGGTTTATATATATCAAAGCATTTACTTACACTTATTCATAGAAAACTCTTTAGTGGCTTAATGTCAGCTTTCATAGTGGCATCCATAGATAATACAAAAGAAAAGTGATTTGCTTTATTTTATACTCACACTGATCCATCAAACACAACTTATACAGCATAGCAAGGCTTCAGACAGCTTATACAAAAGCAAAATAACTGAAATTATTCATAAAGTCATATATGATAGTCTATCTGTAATGTAAGAGCAAAACACACCAACAAAAGATACCCGTTAACAAGAAAGAGGGTTCTGAGGAAGTGCGAGTATTTTCTAGCCTTTCTTTTTCCGGAAAAGCATCCTCAGAAGTGAATACTCCGTAGCTTATGTTTCTCCTGTCCATTCAGAAAAAGCATGACAGCTACGCATCTCCATGTTTCAGCTACTACAACACCCTAAGAGTTAGTGTATTTTACAATTATCCATGTATCTTTATTTGAAAAATTATCAGCAAAAAACTGAGGATGATTCCAGCTTACATAAACACTGATACAATATAATCTCTATGGAAATGAAATAACAAGGCATACAAAAATTGCTTAAATAAATAAATGTGGCCAGAAAAAGAAAAGCCACAGAAGTCAAGCAATTCAGTGTTAAACTGGGACCTATCTTTGAATTGCATCTTTTAGTAATTTTTTCTTACTGTTAAGCTTCTTTAAAAATATGTTTCCTTTACATACTTACGAGGATTGGTAACAAGGTGAAGAGCCTGAGACAAGAGACTGGTTACAGATAACTTCCTAGGATTTTAAGTATATAGCACATCAATTTAGAGCTTGAACTTGTCTGATTCAAAGAAAAATTCTGTTTGACAATGTGATAAATACAGGTTATTTTCTCAAAACCATCCAAGCTATTACTAAAGTTATAAAATATTTAGTTCACTTTTAGAAGGCTTTATAACGTTAAATTGTCTCTTGAGAAAATCCTATCTGACAGGAACTACTTTACCAAGTTCCCTTATTAAAAAACAAACAAAATGAAACAATTTGTCCCATATCATGTATGGTCATTTGACCAAAGAACAGAAATGTAAGTCGTTTTAAGTCAGTGCTTCAACTCTAAAGGCCTAAATTTGTTGCAACATGTAGCCAATTAGTTGAGTCATTCCCTCTGTTCAGTAATTACAGAACTGGGCAACTTTTTATAATTAATGAAATCTGATATTATATCTATGTGAAAAAGTCAAATAAGATGAAACATTAAATGAACTGTGCAACAAACACTTTAAATATTCAACTGGATCTAATTGCTTACTTGCTAACAATTGAACTTTTTCAGTGTACAAAGGGATGAAAGGGGCCCTGAGTTTTTAAGTAACATGATGTCTGTAGAATGCATCTAAAACATGAAGATGTTTCTGAAATCTAAAGGTATAAATAAAATGGATAAAACCCACATGTTGCCTTTTAAAACTGAAAACCAAATCAAGTTGTAGTTTCAAATACAGTAATTTGCTTAAAAATTCAATCATAAACTGGACACCCTAATGATGTGATTTTGTTCTGAAGATTCCTTCTCTCTTACCCAGATTTTAAAATGGGTTTCAAGTTGTTTTAAAAATGTGTATGTTCACAATGTTTAATAGTAACACTACAAACATCACAGTAATAACAGAATTGGACTTTTAAAGATACGATAGATTTATTTTGAGCCTAGTTTTAATATACAGCATAAATTCTTCTGAAGTACTTTCAAATGTATCTGCCATGAGATAAATTTCTAGGTTTTTCTCTATATGCACACTCAACTTAAATCAGTCACCTAAAAGTTAAATGAAAGTTGTATAGTCCAGTCTATGTTGCAAAATAATAAGTATTTCAAAAGTGGTCTACAAAAATGTCCATAGATAATACCTGATTAATGTAGGGTTTGCTTTTGAAAGTTAATCTTGCATTTAGTGTTTAATATTTCATACAAAAAATATGTAAAAGGTTGTGGCTCAATCATAAAACTAAGCTTGCTGCAATATGTTAAAAAATTTTAATGGCAAAATGATATACAATTCTGTGTGCATGGCTTTTTAGTTATAACTAATGAGAATATAAAATCATAAAATTCCACAATAGAAAATGTTAGATAACACAAAAATTAAGTGCCGATTTGCTGGTGGTCTGATGGTTGAATCCACTTTCAAATAGAAACATCTTAACTCTCGATTCTATCAAACTATCAAACTATTACTTAACTGGAGTAATGAATTTGAATATAAAAGAAAATATAATTCTATATTCTTAAATATAAAGTCATTAAAATAGGACTGAGGAGAAGAGCTTAAGCAATTTTGTCTGAAGAATTGAGACTTAAGTGTTCATTGAGAGGCCTGAAGCATACTGAAGACTAAGAATATTGGGGATGATGACCAACTGCTCTTTTTTGTCCTACTGGGTAAAAGAAAAAAATTTAAAATCAAAGAGGAGGGAGACAGAATAGATATGAAGAAAACTTTCCTGACACAGACTACAAATCAGATAACTGAGGTTTGGAGTAAGTCAGACATAAACTATGAGGTGATTTTTTTTGTTTTTTTTTGAGATGGAGTCTCACTCTGTAGCCCAGGCTGGAGTGCATTGGCGCGATCTCGGCTCACTGCAACAACCTCCGCCTCCCGGGTGCAAACGATTCTCCTGTCTCTGCCTCCCGAGTAGCTGGGACTACAGGCGCGTGCCACCATGCCTGGCTAATTATTTGTATTTTTAGTAGAGATGAGGTTTCATCGTGTTAGCCAGGATGATCTCAGTCCCCTGACCTCGTGATCCACCGTCTCGGCCTCCCAAAGTGCTGGGATTACAGGCGTGAGCCACCGCGCCCAGCCTAACTATGAGGTGATTTAAGGAAAGTAATGGGAAGGTGCACTTAAATGCCCTGTGATTCCCTCTTTTCTTTATGTTAATCTGGAAACTTGTAGAAAAGCCTTCTCTTGATAACAAATTTTATGTAACTAGCTCAAACAGTGATTTGCCAGATTTACTTAATCAAGGAATATATTTAGGAGGGAATCATGCAAGATAGTTTTGGGTAAAGTTTGCACAGTTCATAATCTAAAAGTTAAAATGCAACCTTATATGCTGGAGAGTAAACTGCCAGTAACAGTACATTTAGAAACATTGCATTCTGAAAAAGTCTCCTGGGGTTTATGTGGGAGTGTTACAATTTCCAGAATGACTGGTCTAGATAATCAACATGTGTGTCCGGATTTTAACTTTAAGAAGTTAGATGGGAAGATAAAGCAATATATGAAGCAATCTGTGAATAGTTACATAATAACCTGCACATAACAGGTAGTAAGTTCAACATAACTTTATAAAATGTTGTATGGAAATATAATCTCAAATTCTAGGAGTTAATGATCTCCAATAAAATATTCATGTCCATAAATATGAAAAAAGGAAAAGCTCATTGAAATATTTTTCCATTTTAAATGACTTTCAGGAGGCACTTACAAAGACTAGAAATTTCAGTGTAACAGCTACAGCCTACCAATTCCACTTGGCTGTAGAAGTCAAATTTGAAAATAATTTAAATAAAAATACTTGCCAATGTTTTGTGATAATTCCCACTGAAGCCCACACTTACTTGAGTGTTCCTTTCTCTCTTTAAATATTTTCACATTCAGAACCAATGCACATTTTCTGGAACAAGTGGATACATGTAAAGAAGCTATACTAAACTTTTATAAAAAGGACATTATATCCTTGTATCCTTCCTATATCCTACTCAATTAGTTCTATAGATTAGTAAATTTTCTAAAGTTATTAAAAGCAGAAGTTTTGAAGATGGATTCAAAGGATTGATGAGACTGAAATTCTTTGTTAATTCCCCCAAATCTGCTATGGAATCAATTTAGGGAAAGGTCTCTGTTCCCAAAGCTATCTTAACTTTTTCCGTAAAATTTACTTTACCATTAGTTCTGCAATGTAAGAAATGTTAGGAGTGAAGTGAAATGATTTTAAGATTCATGATGGAAGATACAGGATTGAGTTTTGTCTAGAATTAGTAATTATTTCTCAAGCAACAATCAGCATAGATATGTCTACATATCTCATATTTGCCTAACTTCCCAAATCATTAAGGTATGTGGTTTGGCTCATATACAAATGAAAATTGTGCCAGAGTATAGTGACTGAATTTTTATGTTTTTTTTTTGAGGCAGTCTTGCTCTGTCGCCTAGGCTGCAGTGCAGTGGCGCGATCTCAGCTCACTGCAACCTCCACCTCTCGGGTTCAAGAGATTCTCCTGCCTTAGCCTCCTGAGTAGCTGGGACTACAGGCGCCCACCACCACGCTCAGTTAATTTTTAAAAAATATTTTTAATAGAGACGGGGTTTCACCATCTTGGCCAGGCTGGTGTTGAACGTCTGACCTCATGATCCACCCGGCTCGGCCTCCCAAAGTGCGGGGATTATAGGCATAAGCCACTGCACCTGGCCTGAACTTTTTAAATAAACGTTAGCCCATTACACATCCTGTCATATGGCATGTAGGCAGTGTGGTATGGATGAAAGAGATGTGGAGAGAGGCAGACATAGACTGAAATCCCAGCTTTGTCTGTTACTAGATGTGGACCTTGGGCATATTACTTAGCTTCTCTTAGCTTCAGTTTCCTCATCTGTAAAATGGGAATATTAATTACAATGCTCATATGGTTGCTCTGAGGTTTAAGAGAAATAGCATATGTATACTTCAGCATTCAGTATGTGCCTTCTTGTAACTTCCTACACTGGTAACAGTGGGTTTTTTTTTTTGCCAATTATGCATTTAGAAAGTTTTAAGAATTTACAATTAAATCATTTTTGTCTAAACGTAATTCAAATCAAGTTCTTTCAGTGACCTAATTCTGGTATACAGTTAGGATTTTGTTAAGGGAACTAATATTAGACTTTACCTATTATGATGCTTTTAAGGTTACATTACCATCCAGTGAAATAAATTTTAATATTTTTAGTTGAATGATCTTTTATTCAAAAGGACCCCACTTTTCTACATATAAAACTTTGTGATAGCAGTTAAATGTCAACTTTAAGAAGCATTTATTATCAGATGAGTATTAGCATACAATTAAGTCATTTAAAATAATTTTGCTTGCTTGTATATTACAGATTTTAAAAGTCTGATGTACAATTTAAAATTTATAAAAATGATATATACTTTCCACCTTTCCTACTTTTTCAGGAGTTTACTAAGAAAAACTGGTGAAAGGAAATTATTTGTTTTAAACATGCTTGAATGAAATAGTAAACTATTCAGTTATTTTAATCTGGCATATTAATTTTTAAAGCATTTTATCATAATTTTCCCAATATTAAAAAATGTTGGACAACCTACAATCAACTGGCCCAAATACAAATATAGCAGAACGTAAGATAACTCTTCTGGCAGGAAAAGATCAGTTAGACCTCAAATGGTCATTTATCCTCAATGCTTCAAATTGGAGAAGGAACATAATTTATTTTGATTCAAAGTTGTCCTACAAATATTTGAAAAGAATATCCTAAAATGCATGTGAAAGATATTTAAGGGCAAGAGAACTAAGTGAAAATGTACTAGGAAAGATAAAAATAATTTGTTAATAGAAGAATAATAACTGTGAAAAAAATTACGTGCCAGAAGACTGAAAATAGATTAAGGGGCTGAATAAAGAAAAGGGCCAATAAAACACAAAACGTGGAAATCCTGGGCACTAACAAGATATTCTTAATTCTATGAATCCAGAACTGTGTTCAGCAATCCAGCTGAATAAATGGTAGGTATAGTAACATCTAACTTGTAAGATCACAGCACATGGCAAATGAGAAGGCTTATATACAAGTAAATCACAAATATTTTGGACAGAAAATTGGGAAATTTAGGCTGTCTTTAGCTAAGTGATAAGATAGAGGAATATGAGTGAGAAAATATTGTTCAGGAGATAAAAACATAAATCAGAAATTTGGTGATTTGTGTTTTCCTCTTAACCTTTTAATCCCTGGAACTATCTTAGAACTAAACTATATAACATTTACTAAGTACTCTGATAATCGAAAAAAAAGTAAAAAAAAGTGAAATCATCAGTTTGCAAATTAATAGAAAATAATTTCTGTTTAGAAAAAAGTCCATTATTTGACAGAAAGTGCTTTATTTAAAAAAAACATGCAGAGGTTGTTTTAGAGGAGATTATAAGTAATGAAAGAAGCAAAGGGCTTTTAAAAATAATATGATTTCAAGTCATTTTATTACTAAAAGGTATACTCTAATGTAAATAATAAATGTTGCTCACATATCAAAGATAATGTGAAAAACTGGCAAAAGGAAAAATTATGAAAATAGGATTAAGGAAGATAACACAATTTTGAAAAGAGAGAAGTTTAGTCTCAGTTTGCTCAAAAAAGGTAGGTTTGATAGCAGCCCTTCCTTCATAGGGACTTGGCATGCCACTTGAATGATTTTTCCTCACAGTGTTTTAGGTCATGGGAAGAGGAATCATTTTCAGATAAAGTCACCAGTCTTTGCTTGGGAACAGGGTAAAAGATACTATAGGTTCAGAACTATAAATTACTTCTGAAGTTATAATAAACAGTAAGGGTAATTTTATGAGTCAAAGATGGCCTATTCAGAGAATGAAGGCTATAACACTATTTTGTCTTAACCATTTATTTACCTACTTAAAAATTCCATAAGTGTAGCTCTATAAGCTTACCAATAAAAATGTATTTCTTAAATAAATGAACATGGAACATGAACCTACATAGAAAAATAAAATAAAATGGGAAATGGCTAATATTTGATGTCCTGTATTTTGTTCTATTCTCTCTTATGAACTCCCAAAACCAGAAGCAAATAAGTTTATTAAGATGCCTTGAAGGAAACATTTAGGATTTGGAAGGTTAAAAGAAATGGCATTTCAAGTCAGGTTTTGGTAGTTCCTTCTTTAGAGCCCTTTCAGACAATGTTTCTGTATTCTCCATGATAAGGAGAGAGAAAGTAAGAAATCAGGTAGCTGCTTCTCCTGTGCAAAATTCACTGTCATAGAACTGACCTTCAAAAGTATGGGAGATGGGGCAGAAAAGTGTTTATATTATGGAAGAATATGTGCCCTGTTAGGAAGAGAGCTTACAAGAAAGCTTATTTGTGGCCTATAAACTATTGCACATTCAAACAAAACACAAGAGAAAAGATGTCCAACAAGATAATATGTTCAGGAACGTATCAACATAAAAACTAGCTTGTGCCCAGAAATAAAACATGGATACCAGACACCACTGCAGTCAAACCTGTCTTAATTTGCTTCTGTTTTAATGACCTTAAGAAACTGGTCCAAACTGATTATCAGCAATACATTGTTTTTGCTTTTTTTCTTAAAAAAATATTTTGAGACCACTTTTGATACACACACATATAACTCTGTGGTCATAACAGACAAATATAACTTTAGCGAGACTAAACAAAAGTGCAAAACTTAAAAAACAAAATTTAAAAATATGGAAGCATAAGCTAAATTTTTCTGCATAGCTGAAATCTATTTAAAGCAAGTCTTTGTTGCAGGGGTGGGAGGGGGTGCTGACAGGAGGATAAAGCAGTTTTTTTTTTATTTTTAAACATCTTCTGCATGTTTAAATGATGCAAAAAATAATTTCACTCCATAGGCTTGAAAACATTTCACAGACAGTTCATTCCTATATCTTTAGACACCATGGTTGTAGCAGTGCCTCCTTCTGCAAGGTAAACAGCAGTGCTGGATTTGGAATGAACTGCCCTGTTACTGCCATTATTGTTGACTTCACAGTCCAGCGATTCAGTGGAGATGACCCAGGTGGAGGGGCGCCACCGCTTAAGAGAATAGGGAGTTTTCACACGTTTCTTGATCTTTTCACCTGATCCTGATTTGCCATCTTGTGTTGACTCACCTACTGAAAATAAAAGTGCAGAAAAATGAGCTATTTAACAAACTTAAGAAATAACGGGTAAGGGATGTAACTCAAGAAAAGGTCAAACCAATGTCTCAGGAGGGTGCTAATGAACATTTCTTGAAATTCATAATGCCAGACAATGTTTTTCCAGGAAAAGCTTAACCAACTTATTTTTGAGACTCTTTAACCCAAATGTTTTAATAACTGATTGACTTATTTTATAAGGCAAGGGAAAACACACACACACAAAACACAGGAGAACATTTAAACTTCTCAGCTGTATTCTCAAATCTTCTGGTTTTGGTAGCGATCTTAACTTGGTAAAATGTACTTAATTATTGTATTTAATTGTATTTAATGCTCAAGGTGGATCAAATTTTTTTTTTTTTTTTGGGGGATGGAGTCTCACTCTGTAGCCCAGGCTGGAGTGCAGTGGCATGATCTTGACTCACTGCAACCTCTGTTTCCCGGGCTCAAGTGATTCTCACGCCTCAGCCTCTCAAGTAGCCGGGACTACAGGCGCATGCCACCATGACCAGCTAATTTTTTGTATTTTAGTAGAGACGGGGGGTTTCACCATCTTGCCGAGGGTGGTCTCAAACTCCTGAGCTCAGGCAATGTGCCCGACTCAGCCTCCCTAAGTGCTGGGATTACAGGTGTGAGCCACCATGCCCAGCCTGGATCAAATTTTAAAGGCACCTGGCATACAATATTTTTCAGAAGAATAACAGAAATATTAGAGTACAAACATTCTAATAATTTCCTCTTCCTATATCTGACAAGATTTTTTTTTTTTTTTTTTTGAGATGGAGTTTCATTCTTGTTGCCAGGCTGGAGTGCAATGACATGATCTCGGCTCACCGCAACCTCTGCCTCCCAGGTTCAAGCAAGTCACCTGCCTCAGCCTCCCAAGTATCTGGGATTACAGGCATGTGCCACCACGTCTGGCTACTTTTGTATTTTTAGTAGAGACCGGGTTTCTCCATGTTGGTCAGGTTGGTCTCGAACTCCCGACCTCAGGTGATCCGCCCGCCTCAGCCTCCCAAAGTGCTGGGATTACAGGCGTAAGCCACCATGCCTGGCCTATCTGACACGATGTCTTACTGACTCAGAGCCCTGCAATAAAGGTCTGTCAACTGATCTGTAATACAAGCCACTCAAGCAAGGGGCTAAATTTTCCTGATTGTGTTTTGAGACCTGTATCCTTCCTTCAAGCCCATTTTGTAGCCCTTGACAATAAAACATAACTTTTTTTCATAAATGCCTTAGTCTAAAAGAGAAATAGGCTGGGCGCAGTGGTTCACGCCTGTAATGCCAGCACTGTGGGACACTGAGGTGGGTGGATCACCTGAAGTCCAGTGTTCGAGACCAGCCTGGCCAACATGGCGAAACCCCTCCTTTACTAAAATACAATAATTAGCAGGGCATGGTGGCACATGTCTGTAATCCCAGCTACTCGGGAGGCTGAGGCAGGAGAATCACTTGAACCCGGGAGGCAGAGGTTGCAGACCACCACACCAAACTAAGTTTTAAATTTTTTGTAGAGATGGAGTTTTGCTATGTTGCCCAGGCTAGTCTTGAACTCCTGGCCTCAAGTGACCCACCCACCTCAGTCTTCCACAGCACTGGGATTACAGGCGTGAGCCACCGTGCCTAGCCTACAGTTTCTTTATAGTAATTTTCCCAAAATTTCTCTGGATCTTTAAGATTTATTAAGGTTAGTTTGATAAAACCTAAATGCAGACATAATCAATATTAATATATGCAATAAAATGTTTCAAAGATTATACTGGTATAACATTACTTGGAGCTCTTGAACTGTATTTACTTTATTTCAACTTTTCATAGCAAGTATGTGAGTTGCATTATAAAGCAGCAGCCACATAAAGCACATATTAAATTGGGTAATTATTCTGACTATTGTGACACTGACTTTTTAATTATCAATGACAAAAATATTACTTTTTTCTTTACAATAGTCTAATTACCTTTGAGGCCCAACCAAATGGCTTATTTATTTTTTTTCCTGAGATGGAGTTTCGCTCTTGCTGCCCAGGCTGGAGTACAATGGCGCAATCTCAGCTCACTGCAACCTCCGCCTCCTGGGTTAAGGCGATTCTCCTGCCTCAGCTTCCCAAGTAGCTGGGATTACAGGTGGGCACCACCACACCCAGCTAATTTGTGTGTGTGTGTGTGTGTGTGTGTGTGTGTGTGTGTGTGTGTGTGTGTGTTTGAGACAGAGTTTCATTCTGTCACCCAGGCTGGAGTGCAGTGGCATAGTCTCGGCTCATTGCAACCTCCGCCTCCTGGGTTCAAGCAATTCTCTGCCTCAGCCTTCCGAGTAGCTGGGATTACAGGTGCCCACCACCACACGCGGCTAATTTTTTGTATTTTTAGTAGACACAGGGGTTTCACCACCTTGGCCAGGCTGATCTTGAACTCTTGACCTCGTGATCCACCTGCCTCAGCCTCCCAAAGTGCTGGGTTATAGGCATGAGCCACTGTGCCTGGCCATTTTTGCATTTTTAGTAGAGACGGGGTTTCACCATGTTGGTCAGGCTGGTCTCGAACTCCTGACCTCAGGTGATCCACCTGCCCTGGCCTCACAAAGTGCTGGAATTATAGGCATGAGCCACCACGCCTGGCCCAAATGGTTTATTTTATTTCATTATTGAGATGGAGTTTCACTTTTTTGCCCAGGCTAGAGTGAAGTGTCGTGATCTCGGCTGGGATTACAGGTGCACGCCACCACGCCTGGCTAATTTTTGTATTTTTTAGAGATGGGGTTTCACCATGTTGGCCAGGCTGGTCTTGAACTCCTGATCTCAAGTAATCTGCCCGCCTTGGCCTCCCAAAGTGCTGGGATTACAGGCGTGAGCCACCGCGCCTGGCCTAATTTTTTTTATTTTTTAGTAGAGATGGGGTTTCGCCATGTTGGCCAGGTTGGTCTTGAACTCCTGACCTCAGGTGATCCACCTCCCTTGGCCTCCCAAAGTGCTAGGATTACAGGTGTGAGCCACTGTGCCCCGCCTCAAATGGATCATTTACAAAAGTGGTAAAGGTAAATAATCACTAGTTGAAATATATCTATTAGTTGATTCTAAATAGTTATTTAAATGGCCCCAAAAGACACACAGGAGAGATTATATGATCCCTCCACTTACTCTGTATACTGCTGCCATCCAGGACATTTGTGGCTGAAAGATCCAGAGAATTAGGCCTCTGTGCTCTTCTGGGCTTTGATGGCCCAGGATCTGCTGCTGTGCTTGGAACACCCTGTGCAAGAACATCTTGTTCTGAACATGGATTGCTGTTGTTGTTATTGGAATTAGTTCGGCCACCTTCTAGTGGCCGTTCCCTCCTGTCCACAAGACGATCCAGAACACCTTCATCATGGCCAGCTTGTTGCTCTCGTCTCAGTAAAGGCTCATGCTCATCAGGACTGGAATTAATATTCAGCCGGGTGTCCTCACCAATAAACTGATTCTGCAACATTTCTTGGGCCCTATGTGTCACTATGTTGGTTGTTTGGCCAGATAGTACTGTCCCATTGGCATATTGGGTTGTGGCAGCATGGGAGTTAACACTGTGGTTTCTACCTGCCACACCATTCATGGTGACTGTCACCACATGAGGTTCTGCTGCATTGATTGTATTCATCTTGGCAACTCCAGTTTCGACTTGTTTCAAGTTTGATTTGTGCTTGCTGCCAAATTTTAGCCGGGGCTCTTTTGTTGAATTTTTGGTGTTCAAAGGCAAACTAGTAGGTCTCTTGGGAAGGTTCTGCTGCTTGGGGAGAGGATAGATCTGAGTAGGCAGAACATCAGGAATCAAACATGCTTGGCCATTTGCAGTCTGTGTGAAGTCCTGCTGTCCAGTTGCTTCTACTGCAAGTTTTATGAGTGGGTAAAGCAAGCTAGAACTAGTACTGCTCAGTGGGTCTGGGCCACTGAACTGTTTAAGAGAGTGCTCCATGAGATTCTCATCAGAGCTTTCCTTGAGGTTCTTATCAACTTCTTTTGGGTCTAGCTTGTTGGTTTCCAAGTCTTCTTCTGTCAGCTGTAAGCAGACAGGGGTTGGCCCAATTGACTGTGCAACATTTGTGGTATGCAGATTTGTTTCATCTGGGTATGGCATCTCAGATATAGTAGTCATGCCAGTACTTGGCGTGAGTCCTGTGGTGTTTGTGGTTGTTGTGTTGGTGGAGAGGCTGGTGACACTTGTTTCAGGGCTGGGGATTCGAGCTTGTGCTTGCTGTCGTTCATAGTTAATTGAATTTCGGTTTTTTTCCCCTATAGTCAAAGGTGTGCTGGACATAGAATGCTCAGAGGAAATATTCTTCACGATGCTGTCAGTATGATGGATAGAGTCTTCAATGTATGAGGAGGAAGAATAATCTGGATAAGGACCAATTTTTGGCACACGCCTATTATGTGACAGGTTGCTTAAAGAAAGAAAAAAAGTATCACATTGAGAACGTACATTTATGACAAACTGTCTCTCCAAATTTAACACCTCTGATTTTAAAGTCTGAGTTGTTTTTCATTTTCTTCCAAACGTACATTTTTCTAAAGGTTAAAAAGTCTAATCAAATAATCAAGTGTCAATTAATAACTTGATAAGTGTTAGTTTTATGTGAATTAAGCCTACTGAAAAATGTATGTGGATGAGATATAATTTTTATAAATGTTCATTATTTTGGTTTATAAGTTAATTAAAAAATCTCCCCTATAGTTTTATAACATCATGAAATATATATTTATGGAATGTATATTCATACAACCAGACGTTATGTTTTATGAGAGGAAGAACCATGGTATATGTTTTCTGTATTTCCATAATTCTAGATGCATAGTGCCTACTCAAAAGGTATGTTATCAATTAAGTTCCAATGGCCAAATAGTAAAAAGAATATAAGCTTTTAGGTTGTTCCAAAGGCCTCCATTAAGAGGCATGCCCTAGTAATGGCACATATCTTTCTGGGGTAGTCTGAGTCATATCAGTAAAAGTCCTTGAGCCTAAGGTATAAGGCAGAATATGATGTTCAAATAAAGGATCAAAGATTCAGAACTGCTCTCCAATTATCATGGGTTCTTTGCTGTCATTGTCATTCCTTGGGAGTGACAGTTATTTATAAGGGAGATGATAGAAGGAAAAGAAGAAAAAAAAATTGTTATACAGTACAAGAAAAGGAAGCTAAGGAGACATGGAGGGTAAGACTCAGGAAAATAAAACCTAGAGTTAGCGTAACTATGGGATGAATTATAATTTTGAGGAAATTATTAGTAGAGACTGGAGATGAGAAGATGCATGCAGAAGGTTGAGCCGAATGACACAGGAGGCGAAAAGTGGCCAAATCAAGGTGGGCCATCAAGGTTTTTTTTTCTTACCATTCAAGAAAAGTTTGAAAGCATTCAAAATAAAAGCTTTAGCTGACTTTTGAGAGAGGTAAAAACATCATACTAGAGGACATGGGAAATACAGAGATGAGGGGAGATAAAAGCAGAAGACTGTCCTCAGGTATGTGTAAAGTGAGAAAATTTATAATTAGAATTGCCAGTGTCTAACTTTCTTGATTTGCTGATATACAAGGTATAAGAGTTTATATTTGAAACTAATTTGACCTATACAAAAGTAGTGCAAACCAAATTTTTCACCTATGGCTAATACAAATAGCTTTCACAAATTAGAACAGAAAATAGGCCGGGCACGGTGGCTCACACCTGTCGCCTATAATCCCAGCATTTTGGGAGGCCAAGGCAGGCAGATCACCAGGGGTCGGGAGTTTGAGACCAGTCTGGCTAACATGGTGAAACCCTGTCTCTAATAAATATACAAAATTAGCTGGGCGTGGTGGCTCGTGACTGTAATCTCAGCTACTCGGGAGGCCGAGGCAGGAGAATCGCTTAAACCTGGGAGGCAGAGGTTGCAGTGAGCCAGGATCACGCCACTGCACTCCAGCCTGGGGGACAGAGTAAGACACAGTTTCCAAAAACAAACAAACAAAAAAAAACAAAAACCACACAGAAAAAAAAAAAGTTTCAAGAATCGAGTTTATTTTTATTTCAATTTTCTCCAGTAACCCTTTCCTGGATGCCTTTCTGAAAGTTTTAAACATGTATTAGACAAAATGACAAAGTCATAGAAAGGCTTTTTTACCCCAAACATGGAAAAAAGAAATACAGATGTAGAAAGTTCCAAATTGTAGGAATTTTTAAAAAGCCTTTCTATTTAGAACCAAAAATCATAGTTCTAACAAAGAAAATGTCTTGTAAAATAATATTAATGATGGAACAGAAAGACCTTTGAATTGCTTTCATATAAAAGTAGTAGTAGTATATTCTATAAGAAAGAGCATTAGATAGGAAGTCTACAAACCTTAGTGTCAGTGAAACAGTGGTTAGATAGGCAAGTTCATAGTTCCATTTACTTAAAAAAAAAAGCAGAGGAAGAAGGAATAACAACAAAGGATAAATGAGACAATTTATATAGAAGTGCTTATGAACTTTTGGAGTTATAAAAACATTTTACCTTTATTATTGCAGGAAAGTTGGACCATAAATAGAGAAAGACTAACTTCTTTCACTATACCTTTACATATTAAAAAATGCAGATTTCATCTTGCACTTGTACCAAACAAAAATGTTCAATAGAAGAATAGGAATATTGAAAGAAAAATGATAACTTTAGATTGTATGAGGTAATCATTGAACTATTAGGCTGGTTTAAAAGTATTTATTTTCTATTCTTTGTTGGGTCTCAGTTTCTAATACTGATTGATAGATGCCACACCCCTTAGGGTCTTACCGTTCATTCTGCATAGCAGTAGACATTGGATTGACTGTTGGGCTCACAGATTTGTTTCTTTCCCAAATCATCATAAGTTCAGCCATCCTTTCCTCAGCACACTGTGCAGTAAGCCGAGCCTCTGCATCCTGGTCCCAACAGTCTTCGATTGTCTCCTTGAGTGACCTCACTGCCTGTAAGACAAAGTACATGTCAAACCATGTGTCTTTAAAAAAAAAAATGTATTGAGCTTTTCAGTTTACCACATGAGGTAAAAGAAAAATCAATTACCTTAACCAGTATTTTACATAGCTCTAATAACATATTTTAGGCTTCAAGGATTACGGAACATGCTCAAAAGGTGATGAACAAGTAAGCAAGCAAGATTTACCTTAACTCCTTGAAGAATTATTCATAAAAGTAAAAGCAACAATAAGTCGTAGATGTTTCTTCAAGGCCACAGGTTTAGGTCATTGTTGCTAATTCAGTTACGTTATGTCAATCAATAGCCACTAATTCTGCTTCAAAAATAAGTTTTGAGTTTGATGGAACTTGGGGACATTTGGCTGTCTTCTATCTCTAGGTGAGCTTTTCTCCTTTACCCCCAGTTAAGGATACTTGGTTGGGCGCAGTGGCTCACGCCTATAATCCCAGCACTTTGGGAGGCTGAGGCAGGAAGATCACCTGAGGTTAGGAGTTTGAGACCAGTTTGGCCAATATGGTGAAACCCCATCTCTACTAAAAATATAAAAAAATTGGCCAGGCGTGGTGGTTCACACCTGTAATCCCAGCACTTTGGGAGGCCAAGTCGGGTGGATCACGAGGTCAGGAGTTCGAGACCAGCCTGGCCAATACAGTGAAACCTCGTCTCTACTAAAAATACAAAAATCAGCTGGGTGTGGTGGCATGCGCCTGTAGTCCCAGCTACTTAGGAGGCTGAGGCAGAAGAATCGCTTGAACCATGAAGGCAGTGGGCCGAGATCATGCCACTGCACTCCAGACTGGGCGACAGAGTGAGACTCTGTCTCAAAAAAAAAAAAAAAAAAATTAGCCAGCATGGTGGTATGCATCTGTAGTCCCAGCTACTTGGGAGGCTGAGGCAGAATTGCTTCAACCCGGGAGGCAGAGGTTGCACTGAGCCAAGATCGTGCCACTGCACTCCTCCCCGGGTGACAGAGTGAGACTCCGCCTCAAAAGAATAAAAAAAAGAGTGCCTCATTTCAACCTTAAAACTTACAGACATCTCTTCTTTAAACTAGTTCCAAAACAGTAGTATCAAAAACAGTCCCATTCTGCAGTATTCCTATCTATTAGCAATGAACAATAGTCTCCCTATAATAGTCTCCCTTTGGGGGAAAGCTAGTTTTTTGTTTGTTTGTTTGTTTTGAGATAGAGTCTTGCAATGTTGCCCAGGCTGGAGTACAGTGGCACGATCTCTGCTCACTGCAACTTCCGCCTCCCGGGTTCAAGTGATTCTCCTCCCTCAGCCTCCTGAGTAGCTGAGATTATAGGCGCCTGCCACCACGCCCGGCTGTTTTTTTTTTTTTTTGTATCTTTAGTAGAGACGGGGTTTCACTATGTTAGCCAGGCTGGTCTTGAACTCCTGACCTCGTGATCCACCTGCCTTGGCCTCCCAAAGTGCTGGGATTACAGGCATGAGTCACTGCGCCTGGCCAGGGGAAAGCTGGTTTTAACTCCCTTTTTAAAAACAGACTAGGTTTGTTTTTAAACATCCACATGATTCAATCATCCTACTCTTAGGTATTTACCTAAGTAAATGAAACCATATGTTTATACAAAGACTTGTATATATCTACATCTGCTATTTGGGATGCTGAGGCAGGAAAATTGCTTGAACCCAGGAGGCGGATGTTGGAGTGAGCCGAGATCGCGCCATTGCACTCCAGCCTGGGCGACAGAGCAAGGCTCTGGCTCAAAAAAAAAAAAAAAAAAAAAAAAAAAGCTGATATGCTCTACAAGAAATGTTAAAGGGAGTCCCTCAAAGGACATTAGATAATAAGTAGAACCCAAAAGCCTACTTAGGTAACTATAAAAGCCACTATTATTATATTTTTGGTTTGTAACTCCTTTTTAAAAACAAAAACAAAAAAAGAGGTCTCATTCTGTTGCCCAGGCTCGAGTGCTGTGGCATGATCACAGGTTACTGCAGCCTTGAACTCCTGGACCTAAGCAATCCTCCTACATGAGCCTCCTGAGTAGCTGGGACGACAGGCAAGTACCACTGTGCCTGACTAAGGCACCACTGTGCCAAAATGTTCCTTCTGCCTCGGTCTCCCAAAGTGCTGGGATTACAGGCAAGACCCATCACATCCAGCCTCCTCCTTTTTTCTTATTTAAGAGAGAAAAGCATAAAATGATAATTATAAATCTAGGCTAGGCATGGTGGCTCATGCCTGTAATCCCAGGACTTTGGAAGGCTGCAGTGGGAGGACTGTTTGAGGCCATGAGTTCAAGACAAGCCTGGGCAACATAGCAAGATTCCATTTCTACAATTTTTTTTTTTTTTTTTTTTTTGGAGATAGGAGTCTCGCTCTGTCGCCCAGGCTGCAGTGCAATGGCGCGATCTCGGCTCACTGCAAGCTCCACCTCTTGGGTTCGTGCCATTCTCCCGCCTCAGCCTCGCGAGTAGCTGGGACTACAGGCACCCGCCACCACACCTGGCTAATTTTGTTTTTGTATTTTTAGTAGAGATGGGGTTTCACCATGTTGGCCAGGATGGTCTTGATCTCCTGACCTCGTGATCCGCCCACCTCAACCTTCCAAAGTGCTGGGATTACAGGCGTGAGCCACTGTACCTGGCCAAAAATTTTTAAAAATTAGCTGGATGTGGTTGTGCACACCTGTGGTCCCAGTTACTCAGGAGGCTGAGGTGGGAGGATCACTTTAGCCTGGGAGGTCAAGGCTGTAGCGAGCTATGATGGCAGCACTGTACTCCAGCCTGGGTGATACAATGAGACTCTGTACTCCCTCCACCACCCCCAAAAAAGAATGTTTAAAATTAAAAAGACTGGCAATACCAAATGTTGGCAAAGATGCAGAGAAACTGGAACTCTTATGCACTGCTGGCCAGAATGTAAAATGGCACAACCACTTTAGAAAACTGGCAGTTTCTTTTTTCTTTTCTTTTCTTTTTTTTTTTTTTGAGACAGAGTCTTGCTCTGTCGCCCAGGCTGGATTGCAGTGGTGCGATCTCAGCTCACGGCAGCCTCTGCCTCCTGGATTCAAACGATTCTCAAGCCTCAATCCCGAGTAACTGGGATTACAGGTATGCACCACCACACCCGGCTAATTTTTGTATTTTTAGTAGAGATGGGGTTTCACCATGTTGGCCAGGCTGGTCTTGAACTCCGCCACTGCGCCCGGTCACAAAAACTGGCAGTTTCTTAAAAAGTTAAACATATACCTACCACATGATTCAACCACTCTACTCTTAGATATTTACCTAAGTAAATGAAACCATATGTTTATACAAAGACTTGTACATGAATATTCACAGCAGCTTTATTTATAAAAGTTGAAACTGGAAATAAGTCAAATATCCATCACGAGTGGATGGACAAACAAACTGTATCATATGCATACAATGAAATACTACTTAGCAATTAATAAACTATGGCTACACATAAGAACATGAATAATAATTATAACTAATAATAATATTATAACTAATAATGAACATGAATAATTATAACTAATAGTTAATTATAACTGAAAATAATCATACTGAAAGAAGCCAGAAAAACAGTACATTTATATGATTCCATTTATATAAAATTCTAGAAAATGTAAACTAATCTCTAGTGACAGAAAGCAGATCAGTGGTTGCCTGGGGACTCATGGGGGATAGAGAAAGTTGAGGAGAGATTACAAAAGGGCACAAGAAATCTTCTGGGGGTAATTGACATGTTCACAATCATGACTGTGATGATGGTTTTATGGGTGTATACATATATCAAAACACACCTAAATGTACACTTTAATACGTGCAGTTTATCAATTATAGCTCTTTAAATGTACAAAAATTGAGAATAAATCAGAAGTGAAAACATAAATATTCAGGCAAAATCTGATGCGTCCTTTGAAAGGGGACTCTAACTCTAGGAATAGGTAAATAATGATACCTTAATGCTTGTGTAAATAAGTTAAAGGGAGTGGCATTATTAACACTAATGAGGAAAGACAAGTAGGGGGAAAAAAAAGTAGAAAAGATAAACAAGGAACTTTTTCAATCTTTCCTACCCAAAGGAAGGAAAACGTAAGTTGGATCTCATGGGTGGGTCATAAAATCAGCTCAGTGGTTTAAAACAAACAACTCTAACCAAAACTGAAATGCTCTAGACTAGAATAGAAAACACTAGGACATAGAGTAGGTGGTAAGGTTAAGTATTATACTATATGTAATGATGTAAACTTTGCTTTTTTTTTTGAGATGGGGTCTCACTATGTTGCCCAGGCTGGACTGCAGTGGTTATTCACAGGTGGGATCATTGTGTACTACAGCTTCACATTCCTAGGCTCAAGCGATACTCCTCCCTCAGCCTCCTATGTAGCTTAGACTACAAGTGTGCACTATTGCACCTGGCTGAAGTTGTATTTCTTAATGTGGGTTGTGTCAGATGAAAAAGTATGTAAAATGTTGAATTCTAGATCACAGAAGTCTATAGATTTTGTCCAAAAGAGAAAATGGAAAAACTAAAACTATGTGAAAAGAACTGGTAGTTTCTTCTGAAATGTACTATATATTTCTTAAAAAGACCAGAGGGCAAACATAAACTGAGGAAGAGTTGCCGCATTTTTTTTTTTTAAGATGGAATCTTACTCTGTTGCTCAGGCTGGAGTGCAGTGGTGCAATCTCGGCTCACTGCAATCTCCACCTCCCAGGTTCAAGTGATTCTCCTGCCTCAGCCTCCTGAGTAGCTGAGATTACAGGCACCTGCCACCATGTCCGGCTAATTTTTTGTATTTTTAGTAGAGACAGGGTTTCACCATGTTGGCCAGGCTGGTCTAAAACTCCTGATCTCAAGCAATCCACCCACCTCGGCCTCCCAAAGTGCTGGGATTATAGGCATGAGCTGCCGTGCCTGGCCTTTTTTTTTTTTTTTTTTTTGTGATGGATCTTGCTCTGTCGTCCAGGCTGGATTGCAGTGGCATGATCTCTGTTCACTGCAACCTCTGCCTCCCGGGCTCAAGCGATTCTCCTGCCTCAGCCTCCCAAGTTGCTGGGATTACAGGCATGCACAACCACACCCAGCTCATTTTTGTATTTTTAGTAGAGATGGGGTTTCACCATGTTGGCCAGGCTGGTCTCGAACTCCTGACGTCAAGTAATCCACATGCCCCAGCCTCCCAAAGTGCTGGGATTACAGGCGTGAGCCACCGTGCCTGGCTAAGTTGCCACCTTTTATGTGAAAATATATTAGGATAAAACCATTGATTACAAGAGGTTATACAAAACTAACACTAAGGAATAAAGAAAAGCCAGGCAAGTGATTTTAACAGGGGAGAGAAAAGAATTCAAGACAGACTAAGAAATGGAGTATAAACATTTGGAAAAGAGGCTGGGCTCATACCTATAATCCCAGCACTTTAGGAGTTCGAGGCTACAGTGAGCTATTATTGTCCCCCTGCACTATAGTATGGGTGACAAAAAACTGGAAAAGAATGGAAAACATGAAGAATGGTAGTACAGTTAAACAAATTATACCTGAAAATTTTATGTAGGAGGAAAAAAGCTACTTTAAAATAAACGTGGCCTATAATTTTTTATTTTACCAATTTAAAATATTTTAACATAAAACAAAAGCCTTAAACTGTGTGTGGGGGCCAGGCATGCTGACTCATGACTGTAATCCCGGCACTCTGGGAGGCCGAGGTGGGAGGATTGCTTGAGGCCAGGAGTTTAAGACTAGTCTTGGCAACTACCCTGTCTCTACAAAAACAAAACAAAACAAAACAAAACAAAACAAAACAAAACAAAACAAAACACCGGCTGGGCACGGTGGCTCATGTCTGTAATCCCAGCACTCCGGGAGTCTGAGGCAGGTGGATCATGAGGTCAGGAGTTCAAGACCAGCCTGACCAATATGGTGAAACCCCATCTCTACGAAAAACACAAAAACTAGTCAGGCATGGTGGCACGTGACTGTAGTCCCAGCTACTCGGGAGGCAGAGCCAGAAAAATCGCTTGAACCCAGGAGGCAGACGCCACAGTGAGCTGAGATTGCGCCACTGCACTCCAGCCTGAGTGACAGAGCGAGACTCTGTCTCAAAAAAACAAAAACAAAAACAAAAACAAAACCATGTGTATGTGATTGTTAAAGTAGTTCATTTTTACTGTAAATTCTGAAACATATAGGAAGAAAAAGTCATTTATGAACTCAATATTCAGAGATAACTATGGTTTAACATTTTCATGTATTTCCTTTAGACTATTTTCTATGCTTTCATTTTTATCAGGAAACTATTCTTCCCCCCTTTATTGACTAAACTATGCTTGAGTCCCTGGCAATTTATAAAATTAAAGCTAGTTTTTATATTCATTAATATTTGAAAGATTCTGAGTTTTACTACTAAAGGAATGTTTCTTAATCTCAATGCAACTATGAAAGCAAAAATGGCTTCTTTAGACATAGCTGCATTTCTCTCTTTTTATAAACTATGTACTTGCTACCTAACTCTAGTATTGGATTGTCACTGCAGAGAAGCAGTTTATTGACTGTAGCACATTAGATTTAAATGGATTCCCTGGAAGTGAACCAAGTATTATGAATTCCTTACTTGGCAACCTACTCTATACTGGAAGTAAAAAGTTTTCAGGTAAATATGCATATGATGCATATCTCATAATAATAGGGTTGCCGAGAGATATTTCAAAATAATAGATCCCATTTGCGCTGGTGAAATAAAACAATTTAAGGAAGATGAAGTTGTATTTTACTAGAATAAAATTTCACAGATTTTTCTTTTAGGGATACTCTATTGTGAGGCTGGCACCTCTAATTAATCCTAGTAAAGTATTCAGCCTCTCACTTGCTATCAGGGACCTCTCAAAAATCTGTCCCAGTTCCCATAGCAGGGACTGTAGTTTTGGAAGCAATCTTGGACGTATGTGCTTGACAATAGGCTCCTTAATTGCCACATACTTAAATATTTCAATCTGACTTGAAACAGAAGCCAAACTTGAAAGTAACCTAGTGACTAAGATAACCAATGAAGACAGTGCTCATTCTAAATCTGTATGGAAACTATAATGTGTCTCTACCCTGTCTCTGACATGACATCACCCCACTTAAATCAGGATCCAAAATGGAAATATTATTTTAGTCCTACCAAGACAATCTAAAATTGAAATGTGAAAATACATAGTAAAATAATTTAAGTTGCTTATTTTTTCACTTTTTGTCCTTTTATTATAGTCAAGAAAATTAATTTGTGTAAAGCATAAAAACAACACCTTCAGAATGAATCACTCTTATTACATTCTGGAAATAAGAACAGATTGCTATGGAAAAGGCAAACGAGTTTCTGGAAATATAATTATGATCGTGGAAGCTAAAACTTTAATGAATAGATAACTGATACAAGGGTAATAGTGAAAACTAAATGGGTCATTTGAAGATAAAGCTGAGTAAATCTTGAAAAATGTAGTAAGGGAGGCCAGGTGTGTGGGGAGGGGAGGGGGACGGGAGGAAGAAAAACATAGAGGGAGAAAAAATGGAAAATATAAGAAAAAAATGATTCTTAGAATGTCAGGTGGTACAATATTTGTCTAGTGGGAATTCCAGAAGGAAGAATTGAAAGGTAAGAAATAATTAAAAAAAAATACCAGGCCAGGCATGATGGCTCATGCTTATGATCTCAGTACTTTGAGAAGCTGAGGTAGGAGGACTGCTTGAATTCAGGAGTTTGAGACCAGCCTGGGAAACAAAGCGAGACCCTGTCTCTACCAAAAATTTAAAAAGCCAGGCAAAGTGGTATGCACCTGAAGTCTCAGCTACTCAGGAAGATGAAGAAGGAGAATAGCTTAAGCAGAGGAGTTCAAAGCTGCAGTGAGCCATGATCACACCACTATACTCCAGCCAGAATGACAGAGCAAGATCCTGTCTCAAAAAAAAAAAAAAAAAAAAAGAAAGAAAAAGAAAAAAGAAAATTCCTCTGAATTTAAGAAACTTTTGAATTTTCAAACTGAAAACCTACCCAGTGCCAAGCAAAATGTGTGTAAAGATCCATGCCTACAAACATCAAGGTGAAATTTCACAATTCTAGTGATAAAGTCTTAAAAGCTTATAGAGAAAAAAAATTAAGAGGATAAAACAAAAACATAACGAAACAAAAAGCAATGAAACGATTCAGGATGGCACTGAAATTCTCATTAGACTGGAGACTAGGGCCTAGAGCACATGGAGATTGTAGGCTAGAGAATGATGGAGTAGTAGTTTCAAAGTTGTGAAGAAAATAATTATGATATTGAAACTATTATCCAGCCAGATTATTACTCGAGTGTGAGGGCAAGATAAAAACATTTTTAAACATGCAAGGATTCATAATGTTTACCACCATACACATACTAATACACATTACTTAAGGAGGAACTTCATCAAAAAAACAATCGTTTACAAGAAAGAGAATGACATGAGATTTTTAATGCGCTTCTGAGTATAGCCTAAAAACAAGACAAAGAAAGATGACAAGAAACCAAAAAGAAATCATTTGATGATGACTTTTCAAATTTTTTTTTGTTTTTTTTTGAGATGGGGTCTCACTCTGTCACCCAGGCTGGAGTGCAGTGGCACGATCTCGCCTCGCTGCAACCTCCACCTCTGGGGTTCAAGCAATTCTCCTACCTCAGCCTCCTGGGCAGCTGAGACTTGATGACATTTTTTTTTAAAGAGACAGGGTCTTACTCAGGCTGGAGGGCAGTGGTGTGATCATAGCTCACTGCAGCCTCAAACCCTTGGGCTCAAGTGATGGATGATAACTTGAAACATTCTCCCCAAAGCGCAGGGGAGATTTTAGTAACTAATGTAGAATTTTTATTTCCTATAAATCCAAGCACAATACTTTGTTGTGCAGTGAATGCTTACATAATCATAATACCAAAAATTTCTCGTTATTGTATTTAAATATTAGATGAATTTACAGACAAAACATAAATCATTTAATAATAGAATATTACAAACTGGGAGAAAGTAAACGAGAGATAACTTAAGAATAGATAGAGTATTTGAAGTTATAATGGTAATCTTTGGAAGAGAAAAAACCCAAAAGATTGCTAAAGGGAGTTACTTACGGAGAGTGATAGTAGGGAGAGGTAGTTTTTTCCTTTTTAATACAATAATTATCATATATCATCCAATAGAATCATTATATGATTTTATCAATAGAATACTGACCAAATGGAGAGAAATAGATACATCTAGAGGTACTGACATTAAAAAAATGTGTTTAAGTAAAAAAATAAACTTCAGAAATGATAGTAGATAATTAGATTATCCTATTTATACTAAAAGATTATATGAGTGTATATTTGTTAATTTGTAAGATGTTTTCAGTGTTGTAACAACAACTTACTCAAATGGCAGGGGACTTGAGATATTTCATTGTTGTGAATTTTACATATATATAAATATATGTATATAAATATATATGTATATAAATATATATATAAATATATATGTATATAAATATATATATATATGCTTTTTTTTTTTTTGAGACAGAGTCTCGCTCTGTCACCCAGGCTGGAGTGCAGTGGTGTGATCTCGGCTCATTGCAATCTCTGCCTCCCAGGTTCAAGCAATTCTCCTGCCTCAGCCTCCCAACTAGCTGGGACTACAGACACACGCCACCACGCCCGGCTAATTTTTTGTATTTTAGTAGAGGTGGGGTTTCACCATGTTGCCCAGGCTGGTCGCGAACTCCTGAGCTCAGGCAATCTGCCCGCCTCGGCCTCCCAAAGTGCTGGGATTACAGGTGTGAGCCACCGCACCCAGCCGAATTATATTTTTAATAATTAGCAGAATTCATAGGCTGCGCCTTGGTTTTTTTCAGGTCTAGCCTAAATTTTCATTAGCCATTGGTTATGTAAGCCTGCACTACTTAACAGTTTTGGTACTATTCTCAAGAGAGTAAGATAGAATTTCAATAATATTTAAAATATTAATATGTTAATTTATCCAGCTGTTACCTAATCTGGCAAACTTATGACACATTAGTTATTCTCTCTAAATAGTATTTTAAGCTTGGAAAAAAACAAAATGGAACTAAAACTGACTTTTTTTCATATTGAAAAATTTGAAAACATCATAAAAATCAAGTTTGATTTGTGGCATTAGGCAACTCCAAAAACTATTAACGTTATTAACAGTCTATTTTTGTTTCAAACAACATTAAAACATATTCAGTCATAAGTCCTCTCTTTAATAACTTAGTTTTTTCTTACCAGGCTATTTTCTTTCCAGGCTTCTGGGAACTTGGGTCTCTGTTTTTCCCTAGACACGAGAACCTGCATATCCTCAAAAGTGGGATGGTTTCCAACCTCTGTCTGAAAAGCCATCTGGTACTCTGGTACGGATTCCCCTGTGGATTTGTAGAAAAGAATGACAGAATAAAATTTCTAACTATCATAAATGATAGAATAACAGGGGTATTTCTGATACCAAGTAAGCAAAAAAAATTGTGTCACAATCTTTTTATTTTTTCATCCCCTTCAGGCACATTTGGAAATCCTAAAGAGACCTTGCTGTAGGTTTAATGATTTTTTTTTCTTTTTTTTTTTTTAGACGGAGTCTTACTCTGTTGCCCAGGCTGGAGTGCAGTGGCATGATCTCGGCTCACTGCAACCTCTGCCTCCCGGGTTCAAGTGATTCTCTCGCCTCAGCCTCCCGAGTAGCTTGGATTACAGGCGCACACCACCACGTCCAGCTAATTTTCATATTTTAGTAGAGATAGGGTTTCACCATGTTGGCCAGGCTGGTCTTGAACTCCTGACCTCAGGTGATCCACCAGCCTCGGCCTCCTAAAGTGCTGGGATTACAGGCGTGAGCCACCATGCCCAGTCTAATGCATTATTAATGAATGTTTTGCTTAGAATAGTCTCAAATATTTGTTGATAAGTCAAATGGTAGTTTCAATGATGGATAGGTATTTTTAAATGGTTTCTGGTATTACTAAATTCAGGGAAAAAAGACTATTATGTTTATAAGGCATACTTAATACTTGAAAACATGCCTGAACACTGATCCCATGGAGGCGGGTAAAGATGAGGAAAAACTCCAGGACCTAGTACAACAAATATGCCTACAGAACCAAATGTAAGTGGGTGGGTTGAACAGTCACTATGTCTCATTACATCATTGGTTCTATTATAGTCCAGCCAGACTGTATCAAATGTTACAAAAATATTTATGATAATGGTCATTTGAAAGAAAAATCAATATACTTTAAAAAAATTTTTTTTCAAAGAAACGCTCTCACTTTGTTGCCCAGGATGGAGTACGGTGGCATTATCATAGCTCACTGTAACTTGAACTCCTGCACTCAAGTGGCCTCCCTAATAGCTAAGACTACAAGAGTGTGGCACCATGCCCAGCTAATTTTTAAAAATATTTTTGTAGAGATAAGGTCTTGCCGTGTTGCCCAGGCTGGTCTCATACTTCTGCCCTCAAATGATTTTCCTGCCTCAGCCTCCCAAGGTGCTGAGATTACAGGTGTGAACCACTGTGCCCAGCTCTAAAAATTCCTTTTAACTAACAGGTAGTATTTAGATCATGGACTTAAATATTATTAACTATTTTATCACTATTTAATAACCCTATTCATTGCCAATAAGCACAATCAACTCTGATGTTAGGCTTTTGATTTTTACAAAATATGATAATAAAATTAAGTTTATGTATATAATATATTGAACCACATAGAAGACCCCTGGGACCAACACTCAATGATCTAGTAGAAACCATGGCAAAGAACACAGAGACTGTTCCTGTCTCTTTACCCGTCCTCCCACCCTATTAAAATGACAAGATAAATTAGAAGGAAGAACGCCAAGACAGAGGATAAGGCATTTAGGTTCTAATCTTCACTTCATCTTGACCTTGGAAAAGTCATTTAACTATTCTGTGTTTCAGACTTCCTGTAAGCAAAATGGCAATGTCTGCAGCCTTCCTTATATCACTTACATGGAGATAATACAAAGTTATAATGACCCAGATGGAAACCACATTACAAATAAGTTTATGTTTCATTTAAGTTTTGTTTCTATTTGAATACTCAAAACAACTAATAAATACTTGCCCTCCACCAATATTAAAAAAGATTTACAAAGATTAATTCTATTATCTGTGCAGCATCGCCCAAGTTTGTTGTAATACTGCCTTATGTATAAATACAAGTGAGTTTCACATACTGTAAACATTTAAGCAGATACTTAGTGTTGATCAATAACATCAACATTGAACTTGAGAGATAAAATTAAAGGATTTAATAATCATGGCAGTTAGTATATCACTTTCTTCCTTGAAACCCCATGTGATAAAACCTTATCCTATACCATCTGTGAATTGCAAGGTATTTACTAATGTATCTGATCTGTCTCTGAGACATACACACAACACATACACATACCTTCCAAGTGTTATTTATTATTTTTTTTTCAAATGCTGGTTTAGTAGAATAACTAAAAATTCACAATTTCACTCTTTTAAAAAATTAGGTCCAAATTATAATTTTAAAAGTTGCTAAAGGAAATTGAAGCACAATCTTTTATGAATGCAATGGTTAAGAATTACCAAATAAATTTCCACTAAATCTTCACAGTTCAAAATCTAATTGTTCAATAGAAACTTGTTTAGTGCTAACTTAGTGTTAGGTATTAGAGATACAAAGGTGAATGTTAATGACAAAAATCATCATCATGGAAGATAATAACCTTATTGGATTTCCTTAAAACCTTACTGAATTTCCTTACTATCGCTGGATTGCTCAAGGAAAGTTTTATAATCTCATTTTCTTTAGAACTGCCCAAAATATCTTATAGTAATATCTAGCACTATCAGATACCATTACCTGCTTCTCACCCCATGTGCCACTTGTTAACTATGTCTCTACCAGTTACAGACCTTTTTTTAGCTCCCTTCTCAAATTACACTTATTCTTTCTTCCTTTTTCTATCTCTTCTTTTTTTCTTCCTTCTCCCCCTTCTATTTAAACTTTGTAGCATTTCACTCTTCCTCTGTAATACAGATAAATCATTTATTTTACTAACATTTTATAGAGAAGTAACCTTCATTACATAGTGTTTCCATTTAATAATACAGCACATACTGCATTTTGAGGTATATCATAAAAGTTTAAAAAATGTTTTATAAGAATTTTATAGTTAGTATACACTATTCTCTAGGTTTATTAATATATTTATATGATCCTTTTTTCTTTTCTACTTCCACCTCATTTAATTGTTAAAATTTTCAAGAGTGCCCTGTATCCCTTGACTGTGCTTTTTAAATACTTTCCCCTCCTATATACACTCTGTAACATGATTTCTGTGTTCTGTATTCCACAGAAACTCTTCTAAAAATACCAATGACCTCCTCCTACTCAAATTCAAAAATCATTCCTCAGTTCTGTTTCCTCTTTTCAATTACATCTATTGCCATCAATCTTGGTGTGGTTTTTTATTTTTATTTTTTAATCAGCTTCCTCAGGCTGAAATCTTAGTTCTTAAAGTTTTCTAATACTGACTTACAAGGCATTAGGATTTTTCAGTTTTCTCACTACTTTTCTGATCATTTGTCTTCTTAATTAACCTACTTCATGGGGGTAGTACCCCAATATTCAGTCATTATTCACCTATTTTTCTTTCTTTTTATGTTCCAGTTAAAGGAGTGCATCGACTCATAACTTCTCAGTTACCATCTCTATGTAGACAACTCCCAAATAACCATTTTAATCTTAAATTTCCATCTTATTTATTATTTTTAATTGTCTTTAAAAATTTATTTAGTTGTCTGTCAATACCCCATCGAACAGTCTCCAGGATTAACTCATCTTTCTGGTTGCCACTCTGACCCTCACTTTTTTTTTTTTTTTTTTTTTTGAGACAGAGTCTCGCTTTGTCACCCAGGCTGGAGTGCGGTGGCGCGATCTCTGCTCACTGCAACCTCTGCGTCCCGGGTTCAAGCAATTCTCTTGCCTCAGCCTCCCGAGTAGCTGGGATTACAGGTGCCCACAACCAAGCCCGGCTAATTTTTTTGTACTTTTAGTACAGTTGGGGTTTCACCACGTTGGTCAGGCTGGTCTCAAACTCCTGACCTCAGGTGATCCACTAGCCTTGGCCTCCCAAAGTGCTGGGATTACAGGTGTGAGCCACTGTGCCTGGCCCACCCTCACTGTGTTTTAAGACCTCTGAATAGTTCCTTCTTTTTTTTCTTTAAGAGATGGAGTCTCGCTCTGTTGCCCAGGATGGAGGGCAATGGAGGCAATCTCGGCTCACTGCAACCTCCGCCTCCCTAGTTCAAGCAGTTCTCCTGCCTCAGACTCCCAAGTAGCTAGAATTACAGGTGACTGCCACCACGACCAGCTGATTTTTAAATATTTTTAGTAGAGATAGGCTTTCACCATGTTGGCCCGGCTGGTTTCGAACTCCTGACCTCAAATGATCCACCCACCTCAGCCTCCCAAAGTGCTAGGATTACAGGCCTGAGCCACCGTGCCCGGCCAACCTCTGAATATTTCTCAATTCCTTTGAATCCCATTCTTTTTAGTTTTTGACATGGAGTCTCGTTCTGTCACCCAGGCTGGAGTGCAGTGGCGCGATCTCGGCTCACTGCAACCTCTGCCTCCCAGGTTCAGGTGATTCTCCTGCCTCAGCCTCCTGAGTAGCTGGGATTACAGGCGTGTGCCACTGCACCTGTCTAATTTTTGTATTTGTAGTAGAGCGGGGTTTCACCATGCTGGCCAGGCTGGTCTCGAACTCCTGACCTGGAGATCCACCCCCACCCCTCTCAGCCTCCTAAAGTGCTGGGTTTGCAGGCGTGAGCCACACCTGGCCTGACATCTCATTCTTTTAACAGATAACCACAAGTACAGATTTCTTCTCTGCATTTTCTCCCAGATTTGCCTCTCCCCATTTCCATATCCAAGATTACGGGGTATTTTAAAGCAACTCTCTTCTTATTCCTTTATTTTTTTTTTATCGTGGTAGAATATACATAACATAAAACTGATCATTTTAACCATTTTTAAGTGCACCATTCTGTGGTATTAAGTACATTCACACTATTGTACAACCATTACTACTAACCATTTCTAGAACTGTTTCTATCTTCCCAAACTGAAACTCTGTACCCATTAAACAGTAACTCTCCATTTCTTTTTCCTTTTTAAGCCCCTTCTAGTTCTATTTCTATTTTAATTAATCCTACATATTTGCTAAAATAATCTTCTGAAAACAAGATTTAATTGCCTTTCCCTATTCAAACATTTAATATCATTCTTTATTATTTATCAGATCAAAAGCGATAGTCATTCTTTGAACACAGTAGTTTTTCAAAATATATTGTTTGTAGCAGTGTACTAATCTGATGAAAAAATCATTTCAGTCAGACATGCTTCTAAAACAAAAATCCTACATGAGACTATTAACAAAGAAATTACCAAACTGTGGTCAAAGTTCTGATAATACAATACTTGTGGGTTTGGGTGTGGTGGCTCATGCCTGCAATCACAGCATTTTGGGAGGCTGAGGCAGGAGGATCACTTGAGCCCAGGAGTTCGAGGCCAGCCTGGGCAATACAGCAAAACACTGTCTCGACAAAAAATAAAATACTAGCCGGGCGTGGTGGCATGCACCTGTAGTCCTAGCTACTCAGGAGGCTGAGCAGGAGGACTGCTTGAGCCCAAGAGTTCAGTGCTGCAGTGAGCTATGATTGCACTACTGCACTCCGGCCTGGGCAGGAGTGAGACCCTGTCTCTTAAAAACAAAACAAAAAAAGTACTTCTTTTTTTTTTTTTTTTTTTTGAGACCGAGTTTCACTCTTGTTGCCCAGGCTGGAGTGCAATGGTGCAATCTCAGCCTTGCAACCTCTGCCTCCCGGGTTCAAGCGATTCTCCTGCCTCAGCCTCCCAAGTAGCTGGGATTACAGGCATGTGCCACCACATCCAGCTAATTTTGTATTTTTAGTAGAGACAGGGTTTCACCATGTTGGTCAGGCTGGTCTTGAACTCCCGACCTCAGGTGATACACTTGCCTCGGCCTCCTAAGGTGCTGGGATTACAGGCGTGAGCCACCGCACCCGGCCAAAAAAAGTACTTGTTGATACTACTGCAATTACTGCTATTTTCAGAAAAATGCCTCAATTGAATCTCTGTACTTTTAATTAACTAGAAAATATACTTCTAGATAACTGATTAACCTGTACTTAATCTACTAATCACTGATTTATTTCATTATATTTTTGAATTACAAACTAATGTTTGGCCTGGTGCGGTGGCTCACTCCTGTAATCCAGGCACTTTTGGAGGCTGAAGTGGGTGGATCACTTGAGCCCAGGAGTTTGAGACCAGCCTGAGCAACATGGTGAAACCTTGTCTCTACAAAAAAATACAAAAATGAACCAGGCTTGGTGGTGCATGCCTGTAGTCCCAGCTACTCAGAGGCTGAGGTGGGAGAATCACCTGAGCCTGGGGAGGTCAAGGCTGCAGTGAGCTGTGATCACACCACTGCACTCCAGCCTAGGTGACAGAGTGAGGCTCTGTCTCTTAAAAAAATTTTATTTAGCTCCCTCTCCCTCTCCCTCTCCCCACGGTCTCCCTCTCCCTCTCTTTCCACGGTCTCCCTCTCATGCCGAGCCGAAGCTGGACTGTACTGCTGCCATCTCAGCTCACTGCAACCTCCCTGCCTGATTCTCCTGCCTCAGCCTGCCGAGTGCCTGCGATTGCAGGCACGCGCCGCCACGCCTGACTGGTTTTGGTGGAGACGGGGTTTCGCTGTGTTGGCCAGGCCGGTCTCCAGCCCCTAACCGCGAGTGATCCGCCAGCCTCGGCCTCCCGAGGTGCCGGGATTGCAGACGGAGTCTCGTTCACTCAGTGCTCAATGGTGCCCAGGCTGGAGTGCAGTGGCGTGATCTCGGCTCGCTACAACCTCCACCTCCCAGCCGCCTGCCTTGGCCTCCCAAAGTGCTGAGATTGCAGCCTCTGCCCGGCCGCCACCCCGTCTGGGAAGTGAGGAGCGTCTCTGCCTGGCCGCCCATCATCTGGGATGTGAGGAGCCCCTCTGCCCGGCTGCCCAGTCTGGAAAGTGGGGAGCGTCTCCGCCCGGCCGCCATCCCATCTAGGAAGTGAGGAGCACCTCTTCCTGGCCGCCATCACATCTAGGAAGTGAGGAGCGTCTCTGCCCGGCCGCCCATCGTCTGAGATGTGGGGAGCGCCTCTGCCCCGCCGCCCCGTCTGGGATGTGAGGAGCGCCTCTGCCCAGCCGAGACCCCGTCTGGGAGGTGAGGAGCGTCTCTGCCCGGCCGCCCCGTCTGAGAAGTGAGGAGACCCTCTGCCTGGCAACCGCCCCGTCTGAGAAGTGAGGAGCCCCTCCGCCCGGCAGCCGCCCCGTCTGAGAAGTGAGGAGCCTCTCCGCCCAGCAGCCGCTCCGTCTGGGAAGTGAGGAGTGTCTCCGCCCGGCAGCCACCCCGTCCGGGAGGGAGGTGGGGGGGGTCAGCCCCCCGCCAGGCCAGCCGCCCCATCCGGGAGGGAGGTGGGGGGGTCAGCCCCCCGCCCGGCCAGCCGCCCCGTCCGGGAGGGAGGTGGGGGGGTCAGCCCCCAGCCAGGCCAGCCGACCTGTCCGGGAGGGAGGTGGGGGGGTCAGCCACCCGCCCGGCCAGCCGACCCGTCCGGGAGGGAGGTGGCAGGGGGTCAGCCACCCGCCCGGCCAGGAGGTGGGGGGGGTCAGCCCCCCGCCCGGCCAGCCGCCCCGTCCGGGAGGGAGGTGGGGGGGTCAGCCCCCCGCCCGGCCAGCCGCCCCGTCCGGGAGGGAGGTGGGGGGGTCAGCCCCCCGCCTGGCCAGCCGCCCCGTCCGGGAGGTGAGGAGCCTCTCTGCCCGGCCACCACCCCGTCTGGGAGGTGTGCCCAACAGCTCATTGAGAACGGGCCAGGATGACAATGGCGGCTTTGTGGAATAGAAAGGCGGGAAAGGTGGGGAAAAGATTGAGAAATCAGATGGTTGCCGTGTCTGTGTAGAAAGAAGTAGACATGGGAGACTTTCCATTTTGTTCTGTACTAAGAAAACTTCTTCTGCCTTGGGATCCTGTTGATCTGTGACCTTGCCCCCAACCCTGTGCTCTCTGAAACATGTGCTGTGTCCCACTCAGGGTTAAATGGATTAAGGGCGGTGCAAGATGTGCTTTGTTAAACAGATGCTTGAAGGCAGCATGCTCGTTAAGAGTCATCACCACTCCCTAATCTCAAGTACCCAGGGACACAAACACTGCGGAAGGCCGCAGGGTCCTCTGCCTAGGAAAACCAGAGACCTTTGTTCACTTGTTTATCTGCTGACCTTCCCTCCACTATTGTCCTATGACCCAGCCAAATCCCCCTCTGTGAGAAACACCCAAGAATTATCAATAAAAAATAAATAAATAAATAAATAAATAAATAAAAATTTTATTTATATATATATATACACACACACACGATACATATATATGTGTGTGTGTGTGTATATATATATACACACACTTGATATATATAAACTAATGTGTAATGCCTAATGTCTTTAAAGCCAAACAATTCAACTCCATTATTAATCTTTTTAAATTAAATAGCTCTATTTCATAAATTTGTCCAATGCTAGTTCCTTTTTCTATGCTTTTAATGGTGTTACTCCTAAAAGACAGTGGCCACACAGATCAAATCATCTGTATAGCACCTAGAAGAATGCAATGCCAGATTTATAGTTAAAGTTTTTAGATGATACTACAACGATGTAATCCCTAAGAAGGGAAAACTATAAATTCATTTGGCTATTTCAAGTAAGCCTCAAACAAACATTCACTTAAATGAGTATTCTTTCCCTTTTTTTGAGACGGAGTCTTGCTCTGTTACCCAGGCTGGAGAGCCATGGCGTGATCTCAGCTCACTGCAACCTCCGCCTACTGGGTTCAAGCAATTCCTCTGCCCCAGCCTCCCGAGTAGCTGGGACTACAGGTGCTCGCCACCACGCCTGGCTAATTTTTGTATTATTAGTAGACATGGGGTTTCACCATATTGGCCAGGCTGGTCTCGAACTTCTGACCTCATGATCCGCCTGCCTTGGCCTCCCAAAGTGCTGGGATTACAGGTGTAAGCCACCGCGCCAGGCCTTTTTTTATTTTTTTGAGACAGAGTTTTGCTCTTGTTGCCCAGGCTGGGGTGCAACGGCAAGATCTTGGCTCACTGCAACCTCTGCCTCCCGGGTTCAAGCAATTCTCCTATCTCAGCCTCCTGAGCAGCTGGGATTACAGGTGCATATTATTAGTAGAAACGGGGTTTCACCATATTGGTCAGGTTGGTCTCGAACTCCTGACCTCAGGTGATCCGCAAGCCTCGGCCTCACAAAGTGCTGGGATTATAGGCATGAGCCACCGCACCTGGCCAATGAGTATTCTTTCATTGAAAGGAAGGAAGAAGAGAAAAGAGGAGGAAGGGAAGGAGATAAGGTGAGAGAAGAGGAAGGAAGGAAGAAAGAAGGAAAGAAGGAAGGAGGGAGAAAGGGAGCATGAAAAAAAAAGAAAAGGAAAAAGTGTTTACAAATAATTCATTGCTTCTAATTCCTTCTGGGTTCAACTCAGTAAACATCGTAAGTGTACCTTGTCTCAAACACTCAGATGGTGCATAAGGAAAATGTTTACTGCTAAAGCAATCAGAGACCAAACAAAATACAGTTAGATAAGCTATTACTGGCAATTAATTAAATTTCACTCAGATGAAAACCTGGAGTACTCTAAAAAAAAAAATTCCTAATTTGCATCCTGCTGCTAATAATGTTTCTAAACACTAGATAGCAATGAACTAAAGGTTTAAATGAAAGTAAAAAGATTCTTACATAAAAGTTGAGTTAGGTACTATAGGTAGAGAAAGAAGATATAACTGCTTCACTTCAAAAAATATCAACTTTTGACAGTAGTTTTTACCTGGGAAGAGGTCTGTACATCTCATAAATATCTCCCAATAGATTAGTCCAAGAGCATACATGTCTACTTGTTTCAAAGCTGATTCACAGTCCCTCAAGTTCACAGCTCCTTCTAGCACTTCTGGTGCCATATATCTGATAGTGCCAACCTGATAAATTAGAGTGATATTTTTTAGAGAGAGAACGTAGCATATTCTGAAGAACAGACATTAGACCAGAAGTTATATATAAATCTTAGTCATGTCAATGTTATTTGACCCTAACCATGTCATTAAACCTTTCTATAACTTATTTTTTACCTATAAAATGCCCTTCCTGAATAAGTAAACTGTGGTAAATCCATTTTAGTGAATACTATTAATCAATCAAAAAGAATGAGCTAGACTTTCCTATGTATATCAATATAAATAATCTGTAAGATACAGTGAGAAAATTGCAAAACAATATGTATACAACTTAATATTTTTTAAAATTCACAAAAATACAGCTGGGTGGCCGGGTGCAGTGGCTCATGCCTGTAATCCTAGCACTTTGGGAGGCCAAGGCGGGTGGATCTCAAGGTCAGGAGATCGAGACCATCCTGGCTAACACAGTGAAACCCCGTCTCTACTAAAAAAAAATAAAAAATTAACCAGGCATGGTGGTGGGTGCCTGTAGTCCCAGCTACTCAGGAGGCCGAGGCAGGAAAATAGCGTGAACCCGGGAGATGGAGCTTGCAGTGAGCCATGATCGCGCCACTGCACTCCAGCCTGGGTGACAGAGAGAGACTCCGTCTCAAAAAAAAAAAAAAAAAAAAAAAAAAATACAGCTGGGCGTGGTGGCTCACACTTGTAATTGCAGCACTTTGGGAGGCCAAGGTGGGTGGATCACCTAAGGTCAGGACTTCAAGACCACCCTAACATGGAGAAACCTCGTATCTACTAAAATTACAAAAATTAGCCAGACATGGTGGTACATGCCTATAATGCCAGCTACTCAGGAGGCTGAGGCAGGAGAATTGCTTCAACCTGGGAGGCAGAGGTTGCGGTGGGCTGAGATTGCACCATTGCACTCCAGCCTGGGCAACAAAAGTGAAACTCCATCTCAAAATAAACAAATAAATAAATTTTTAAAATCACAAAAATACATATATGTTGTGCACAGACAAGTATATATGAATGCAGAGAACAAAGTTGGGAAGGATACGTTCCACACTGTAATGGTGATTATCAGAAGGTGGACTGTGTTATCTTAAACTTGGTAACTTTACCCTTGCCTCAAAAATCAGTTCCTACAAATTTGTTCCTAATGCTTGTAAAAATGACTTGGAATGGCAGTGAGTTCCAAAATAAACTGATGAACTTTACAAAGGCCTTTATGAGATGTCTTTTATATTTCCTAATTTTGTAATTCCTAGTATTCTATAATTGGCAGTATATGAGGATAATTGTCCTGAGTCTCACTCACTCTGTCACCCAGGATGGAGTGCAGTGGCACAATCTCAGCTCACTGCAACTTCCTCCTCCTGGGTTCAAGCGATTCTCTTGCCTCAGACTCCCGAGTAGCTGGGATTACAGGTGCGTGCCACTGTGCCCGGCTAATTTTTGTATTTTTAGTAGAGACGGGGTTTCGCCATGTTGGCCAAGCTGGTCTCGAACTCTTTACCTTAGGTGATCCACCCACCTGGGCCTACCAAAGTGCTGGGATTACAGGCGTGAGCCACCACACCTGGCCAGTAGATGTTTTAATTAAATTATCATTTCAAAGTACATCAGTGTGATACCTTTTGTATACACTCACCTCGCTTATGGCTGCATTATCTTCCTCCCCTGGGCGCACCAGTCTATTTCCAGTCAGCCTCATGGACAGTCCAAAGTCACTAATAACACAGGTTCCATCATTTTTCACTAGGACATTTCTGCTGTTTAAATCTCGATGGGAAATTGCAGGTTTATAATGATCTGTTTGGATAATTTCAAATATTTATCAATGAATAAAAGGGACTATTGAACATGAAATGAACATACATAAATATAGAAGTAGTATTATTTTTCTGCCCATTAATTTTCTAATAACAAAAAAAGAGAAATCGGAATTTCAACTCACACTCATCACTATTTTCTAATATATTTTATAATATAACTCCTGTTGCATGTATAGTTAAACATTAACTAAAACTAACAAACATGCTGCCACTTCAGATTCTAACACGCACTTGTTTTTTCTCTTCATTTATAGTATAGGGCTGTAAAAGGAGGCAATACAGAAAGGAATATTTGGTATAAACATCAAAAAAAAAAAGTCTGCTTGTCTAAAATAAGTATCAGTGAAAAACTAATGGAGCTCCAAAATTTTAACGTAAATCTTAAACTGCTCTCCTATGGCTTAACAGATCAAATCTGTGACAGCACATTCCAGTTCTGCCCTGAGGTTTAGCCATATCTCTAAGCCCACCTCAGCTTTTCAAATCTAACCACAAATAGTTTTACAATGGTTTGGAAAAACAAGTGGAGGAAGTGGTATCTCTCACCAAGATATGAAAACTTGTTTTTCTGATTTTACAGAAGCAAAGTAGTATTATGCTCCTTCTATTACTTTTTTATCCTTATCATAGGACTACAGGCTCCATGAAGGCAGAAAGAGAACATCTTTCACCTGACTTTAAAAGGCTTGGCACAGAGTAGACACACAGTAAATGATTGCTGACTGAAAGAATGAATCTAACCTAAGCCTCTCACCAAATATAAGTACATTATATTTTTCTTCTCTATAAGGAAATCTTATATAAACCTTGTATTAAATAAAACCATAGCTCTGGAACTGAAAAAAAATTCTATAGCACAATTTCTGAAATTTAAAATATCTGCTTAGGTATAGAGAAAAACAAAGCAATCAGAACAAAGTCAATACATTTACTGAGGATTTGTATTTTGGCACAAATAGACTCAGTATTCAGATGTATTACGCTCATTAATGAGCATTCAAATGCAATTTCACCAATAATGAAACTATAGATAATTATAATAATCATTGATTTAAAAAAATTAAGCAACAGTACAATTTGAAGAAAAAATAGGAGTTACCAATTTCTTCACCTAAGAGTTGATTTCTTTCTCATTTCCTCCCTTACCCACTTCCTGTTCTCCAGTCTTCCAAAGCTTGTATTAACTTGGCTCCTACTCAATTCCTGCAAGAGCTGCATTTCTTACTCTGGATAAAGCCACAACATAAATATATGTCGTACAATCTTGAGCTAATATTTATATAGGAAAACTCATGGAAACATTGGAATATATTTATATAATAATACCAAATCAATGGGCAGAACTATAGACTGCCCTTTTGAGAAAAGTTTTCCCTTTTAAACTCCCCTCTGTACTCATTTTAATTTTCTTTATTTGGGTATGGAGGGAGGGTGGAACATACAATAATTTTGCCCTGGGCAGAACACTGCAGTAGGCAAATATCTCAAAGGAAAGCACAACAAGATATTAGTTATATGTATTTTTAAAACCTGACCAAAAATAGTCAATCTATGGATATTTATACATATTATCACCAGTGCTATCCCCCTGCCCTCCCAAGGACATGAAAGACTATATACAAACTACTTAACAGTAATTTTCTGGTGAAGTCTGAGTTGTCTATATCTATTTTTTTGGTCAGATATTTCTTTGGTAATAAGCATGCGTTGCTATTATAATATGGAAAAAATTCATAGGGAGATCTTATTACAAATAAATAAATAGGTTCAATTCTTCCTTATTCGGAAGCAACAAACAGCTGAATAAGTAATAACAGTATAATTCCTTACTACCAAATTTCTACTCCAAATAACAAAGTTATATCTGAAGATGCTGGGAAGGATAGAATTCAGTGAAAGAGCACTTCAAGTAAAAATAGTATAGTATAGGCATACAGATGATCTTTCACTTACAGATGGTTTGATTTATGATTTCTCAACTTTACAGTGGTGGGAAAGCAGTAAACAATCAGTAGAAACCATACTTCATTCCTTTTTATCACTTTCAGAACAGTGTTCAATAAATCACATGAGATATTCAATCCTTTATTATAAAGTAGACTTTGTATTGGATGATTTGGCCAACTGTAGGCTAATGTAAGTGTTCTGAGCATATTTAAGATAGTTTAGGCTAAGCTATGATGTTCAGTAGGTTAAATGTATTAAATGCATTTTCAACTTACAATATTTCTAACTTATGATCTTTTTTCTTTTCTTTCTTTCATTTTTTTAAAACAGGGTCTCTGGCCAGGCGTGCTGGCTCACGCCTGTAATCCCAGCACTTGGGGAGGCTGAGGCGGGTGGATCACGAGGTCAGGAGATCGAGACCATCCTGGCCAACACAGTGAAACCCTGTCTCTACTAAAAATACAAAAAATCAGCTCGGCGTGGTGGCGGGTGCCTGTAGTCCCAGCTACTCTGGAGGCTGAGGCAGGAGAATGGCATGAAGCCGGGAGGCAGAGCTTGCAGTGAGCCGAGATCACGCCATTGTACTACAGCCTGGGCGACAGAGCGAGACTCCATCTCAAAAGTAAATAAATAAATAAAAACAGGGTCTCGTTCTGTTGCTCAGGCTGGAGTGCAGTGGCATGATCTTGGCTCACTGCAGTCTTGACCTCCTGGGCTCAGGCAATCCTCCCACCTCAGCCTCCTAAATAGCTGGGACTACAGGTGCATGCCACCACAGCCAGCTAATTTTTTTATTTTTGTAGAGACGGGGTCTCACTATGTTGCCGAGGCTAGTCTCAAACTTCTGAGCTCAGGAGTTTGATTCTCCTGCCTCAGCCTCCTAAAGTGCTGGGATTACAGGGATGAACTACCATGCCCAGCCAATTTATAATCAGTTCATTGGGATGTAATCCCATTGTAAGTCAAGAAACATCTGTACTTGGGAATATTTTTTATTTATTTATTTATTTTTTTATTATTATTTTTTTTTGAGATGGAGTCTCGCTCTGTCGCCCAGGCCGGACTGCCGACTGCAGTGGCGCAATGTCGGCTCACTGCAAGCTCCGCTTCCCGGGTTCACGCCATTCTCCTGCCTCAGCCTCCCGAGTAGCTGGGACTACAGGCGCCCGCCACCGCGCCCGGCTAATTTTTTTTGTATTTTTAGTAGAGACGGGGTTTCACCTTGTTAGCCAGGATGGTCTCGATCTCCTGACCTCATGATCCACCCGCCTCGGCCTCCCAAAGTGCTGGGATTACAGGCGTGAGCCACCGCGCCCGGCCTATTTATTTATTTTTGAGATGGAGTCTTGCTCCGTCGCCCAGGCTGGAGTGCAGTGGCGGCAATCTCAGCTCACTGCAACCTCTGCCTCCCAGGTTCAAGCGATTCTTCTGCCTCAGCCTACCGAGTAGCTGGGACTACAGGCGCACGCCACCACGCCCAGCTAATTTTTTTTGTATTTTTAGTAGAGACAGGGTTTCACATGTTGGCCAGAATGGTTTCGATTTCTTGACCTCACGATCCACCCACCTCGGCCTCCCAAAGTGCTGGGATTACAGCCTTGAGCCACTGCATTTGGCCAGGGAATATTTTTTAAATAATCAGGTAAAAAACATAAATTCTGGGCAGGCACAGTGGCTCATGCCTGTAATCCCAGCTCTTTTGGAGGTCGAGGCAGGTGGATCACCTGAGGTCAGGAGTTTGAGACCACCCTGGCCAATATGGTGAAACCTTGTCTCTACTAAAATACAAAAAATTAGCCCAGCATGGTGGTGGACGTCTGTAATCCCAGCTACTTGGGAGGCTGAGGCAGGAGAATCGCTTGAATCCAGGAGGCGGAGGTTGCAGTGAGCCAACATTATGCCATTGCCCTCCACCCTGGGCAACAGAGTGAGACTCCAAAAAAAAGAAAAATCCCATAAATTCAAATAGCTACTATATTTATATGCAATAGCAGCATCTATGTACTTAGTTTTTAAAAAGGTATTACCCTTATTTAGTGGTAACATTAGCTAATGTTTCAGAGTAACAGCTCTGTTTAAATAAAACTTATATCTGATGGCAATCATTCTTTTCAGCCTACATTTGACTTGAAACCTTGCTAAATTATGCAAGTCTTGAAAAGGGAGATTAGGATGGTATTTTAAGTTCTGTGCTAAGCCAACTTTTTAAAGGCAGTATAATATTGAAGAGCTAAGTGGACACAGTCCAATGGTTAATGTGCTAAAGCACTACAGCAAGTGCATCAAGTTGCTGACACAGGCAATACTTTGGACAATTCTGTATTTAGGAGAAGCAAGATGTCAAGATAAATGAACGGATAAATTATTCAGGAGAAATTATTTATACATGAAGCATCAGCTAGAAAAGATGATCCATGCTAATATACAATGAAACAAAGATCTAAGAAAACTGATATATTAAAGTTCTCTTCACTAAAGATGTCAGAGAGACTGAAAAAATAATGTCAGGGCTATAATATGACAAGGAAATGTAGCAAGGGATGAGGGTAGAAGAAAGCACAAAGACACAATTATAGCAAAGGTAACTTTGGGGTATCTATGAGGTGAGGTGTATATTGAAACAAAGTGAGAAAGCAAACGTATTAAAGAGATGCTCCAGGCTGGGTGCTGTGGCTCACACCTGTAATCCTAGCACTTTGGGAGGCTGAGGTGGGCAGATCACCTGAGGTCAGGAGTTCAAGACCAGCCTGAGTCAACATGGAGAAACCCCATCTCTACTAAAAATACAAAATTAGCTGGGCGTGGTGGTGCATGCCTGTAATCCCAGCTACTCGGGAGGCTGAGGCAGGAGAATTGCTTGAACCCGGGAGGCGGAGGTTGCAGTGAGCTGAGATCGCACCATTGCACTCCAGCCTGAGCAGCAAGAGCTAAACTCCGTCTCAAAAAAAAAAAAAAAAAAAAAAAAAGATGCTCTGAACAACTAGCAAAAATATGCATGAAAGGTGAGGAAGACCACAGTTACAACAGGGAATATAACTACATAGCTCTGAAACACGAGCAAAGGCTGATCCCCACAATGTATTCTTCTCTTCCTACCTAGTAACAGAACCCAATATTATTTGAGGCAGCAATACAAGCAGGAAACAACAACATCAACAACAACTATATTACCAGCCTCTTTTGGAGCTAAGTGTGCACTAGGTTCTGGGAAACAAACAAGCATAGGAGTGGGACTTATGGAGACAGAAAGGGACAATTCCTTTTACCTTCCCTTACTTTTCCCTGACTGGCATGATGGACAATGAGGTGACTTTGAAAATGAAAGCCAGCCAGGTGCGCTGGCTCATGCCTGTAATCCCAGCACTTTGGGAGGCAGAGGTGGGCGGCTCACCTGAGGTCAGGAGATCGAGACCATCTTGGCCAACATGGTGAAACCCCACCTCTACTAAAAATACAAAAATTAGCTGGGTGCATGCCTGTAATGCTTGGGAGACTGAGGCAGGAGAATTGCTTGAACCAGGGAGGCAGAGGTTGCAGTGAACTGAGATTGCGCCATTGCACTCCAGCCTGGGGAACAGAGCGAGACTCATCTCAAAAAAAACAAAAAACAACAACAACAAAACTCACGTACCTCATAAATATATACACTACTATGTACCCACAAAAATTAAAAATTAAAAAAATTAATGATGCATTGTAGTTCACTTAAACAAAATTAATACAAGGAAAATATAATATAGCCTAGCTAAGAGGTTCTTAACCTAAGATCCAAAAATGGGCTTTAAAAAGTCTGAAAATGCCCTAGAATCAAAAGAACATTTTTTTCTTTTATTTATTTACTTTTCTGAGATGGAGTTTCGCTCTTGTTGATTCTCCTGCCTCAGCCTCCCAAGCACCTGGGATTACAGGCACCTGCCACCATGCCTGGCTAATTTTTTTTTTTTGATATTTTTAGTAGAGATGGGGTTTCACCATGTTGGCCAGGCTGGTCTCGTACTCCTGACCTCAGGTGATCCACCTGCCTTGGCCTCCCAAAGTGTTGCGATTACAGGCGTGAGCCACCGCACCTAGCCTTATTTTTCAGACACAGTCTTGGTCTGCTGCCCAGGCTGGAGTGCAGTGGCGAGATCTTGGCTCACTGTAACCTCCGCCTCCCGGGCTCAAACAATCTTCTCACCTTACCCTCCTGAGATGCATGCTACTATGCCTGGCTATTGCAGAGACAGGGTTTCACCATGTTGGTCTTGAACTCTTGGGCTCTCTGCCCGTCTCAGCCTCCCAAAGTGTTGGGATTTCAGGTGTGAGCCATGGTACCTGGCCTCTTTTATTTTAAACTCAGGGGTACATGTGCAAGTTTGTTATCTGGGTTTATAGTATGATGCTGAGGTTTGAGGTACAAATGATCCTGTTATTCGTGTAATGAGCATAGTACCCAACAGGTAGTTGTTTTTTTTTTTTTTTTGAGACAGACTCTCGATCTGTCGCCCAGGCTGGAGTGCAGTGGCGCGATCTCGGCTCACTGCAAGCCCCGCGTACCGGGTTCATGGCATTCTCCTGCCTCAGCCTCGCGAGTAGCTGGGACTACAGGCGCCCACCACCACACCCGACTAATTTTTTGCATTTTTAGTAGAGACAGGGTTTCACTGTGTTAGCCAGGATGGTCTTGATCTCCTGACCTCGTGATCCGCCTGCCTCAGCCCCCCAAAGTGCTGGGATTACAGGCGTGAGCCACCGCGTCCGGCCCCAACAGTTAGTTTTTAGCCCTTGCCCCTCTCCCTCTCTCCCCACTCTAGTAGTCCCTAGTTTCTACTGCTGTCATCTTCATGTCCATGAGTACCCGATGTTTACGTCCCACTTATAAAGTGAGAAAATGTGGTATTTGGTTTTCTATTCCTACTTAGCATAACCTACTCCAGCTCCATCCATGTTGCTGCAAAGGATATGATTTCATTCATTTTTATGGCTGTGTAGTACTCGATGGTGTATGTGTAACACATTTTCTTTTTCTTTTTTCTTTTTGAGATGGAGTTTCACTCTTGCTGCCCAGGCTGGAGTGCAATGGCACGATCTTGGCTCACCGCAACTTCTGCCTCCCACGTTCAAGAGATTCTCCTGCCTCAGCCTCCCGAGTAGCTGGGATTACAGGCATGCACCACCACCCCCGGCTAATTTTGTATTTTTAGTAGAGATGGGGTTTCTCCATGTTGACTCAGGCTGGTCTTGAACTCCCGACCTCAGGTGATCCGCCCACCTCAGCCTCCCAAAGTGCTGGGATTACAGGCGTAATCCACCACGTCCGGCCATTTAACACATTTTTTATATCCAGTCCACCACTGACAGACAAGTAGGTTGATTCCGTATCTTTGCTATTGTGGATAGTGCTGTGAAAAACAGAAGACCTGTGTCTCTCTGGTAGAATTATTTGCTTTCTTTTGGATATATACCCAGTAATAGGATTGCTGGGTCAAATGGTATTTCTGTTTAAAGTTCTTTGAGGAATCTCCAAACTACTTTCCACAGTGGCTGAACTAATTTATACTCCCACCAATAATGTATAAGTGTTCCGCTTTCTCCAGTCTCAACAGCATCCGTTGTTTTTTGACTTTTCATTAACAGCCATTCTGACTGTTGTAAGATAGTATATCATTGTGGTTTTGATTTGCATTTCTCTGATGATTAGTGATATGGAGCATTTTTTCATATATTTGTTGGCTGCTTGTATGTCATCTTTTGGGAAGTGTCTATTCATGTCATTTGTCCACTTTTCAATGTGGCTATTTGTTTTTTGCTTGTTCAATTGTTTAAGTTCCTTATACATTCTGGATATTAGACCTTTGTTGGACGTGAAGTTTGCAAATATTTTCTCTCATTTGTAGGTTGTTTACTCCGTGGATAGTTTCTTTTGAAAAGAACATTTTCTAAGTATGCTCGCATGTATATCTTAGAGGAAGAATGTTCAGAGTATGAAAAGGAATTCATTTTTCTTTTTTTTTTTAGACGATGTCTCACTCTGTCACCCAGGCTGAAGTGCAGTGGCATGATCATAGCTCATTGCAATTAGAATTCCTAGGCTCAAGCTATCCTCCCACCTCAGCCTCCTGAGTAGGTGGGACCACAGGTGTGTGCCACCACCTCCAGCTGATTAAAACTTTTTTTGTAGAGATGGGGGTCTGACTATGTTGTCTAGGCTGGTTTTGAACCCTTGGGCTCAAGCAGTCCACCTGCCTCGGCCTCCCAAATTGTTCGGATTATAGATGTGAGTCACTGCACCCAACTCAGAAATTATTAATGGACAAGAATTTCTTTTTTTTTTTTTTGAGAGGGAGTCTCGCTCTGTCACCCAGGCTGGAGTGCAGTGGCGTGATCTCGGCTCATTGCAACCTCTGCCTCCCAGGTTCAAACGATTCTCCTGCCTCAGCCTCCTCAGTAGCTGGGAATACAGAAGCGTGCCACCATGCCTGGCTAATTTTTTGTATTTTTAGTAGAGACGGGGTTTCACCATGTTGGTCAGGCTGGTCTCAAACTCCTGACCTTGTGATCCGCCCACCTCGGCCTCCCAAAGTGCTGGGATTATAGGCGTGAGCCACCGTGCCCGGCCAAGAATTAAATTCTTAATGGTCCCTGTAAGTCTTGAAGTTCTTTTTCTTTCGTTTTTTTGTTTTTTTGAGACAGGGTCTCACTCTGTCACTCAGGCTGGAGTGCAGTGGGGTGAACACAGCTCACTACAGCCTAGACCTCCTGGACTCAAGCAATCCTCCCACCTCAGCCATCCAAGTAGCTCAGATTATGTGCGCGTGTCACCACATCTGGCTAACTTTTTTATATTTTGTAGAGAAAGGGTCCCACTTTGTTGCCCATGCTGGTCTCAAACTCCTGTGCTCAAGTGATCCTTGAGATCCACTTGGCCTTTCAAAGTGTTGGGATTACAGCCATGAGTCACCATGCCAGCCAAAGTTCTTTCTCTTATTCTTCCTGTTATATTTTTTTCTTTAAAATTAATTTATTTGTTTCTCATCACAAAGTACAGGGAAGAGAATGCAATGGCTGTAATCCCTTGGTTGCATATCTTCCTAGCCTACACATCCATAAATACCCTGTACAACACCAGGCTCATACTGTCCCCACAGGCATTTTCTCACATCCTAACAGCTGCAGAGTACAGTATATGACAAGGTAGGAAATACAAACAGATTCCCCATTCACAAGGTAGGGAAACTCTTCAATTAGTGTTCCAGTTCACATTTGCTTTTTTTTTTTTTCTGAGACAGTCTAGCTGTCAGCCAGGCTGGAATACAGTGGTGTGATTTCAGCTAACTAGAACCTTCACCTCCCAGGCTCAAACAATCCTCCCAGCTCAGCCTCCCAAGTAGCTGCGACTACAGGTGCATGCCACCACGTCCAGCTAATGTTTATATTTTTTGTAGAGACAGGGTTTCACCATGTTACCCAGGCTGGTCTCAAACTCCCGAGCTCAAGCAATCCACCTGCCTTGGTCTCCCAAAGTGTCAGAGTTACAGGCATGAGCCATCAATCACGCCCGGGCTGCCAATATTCCAACTGAAGTAGCAGGTTGTTTTTACTAATGATTTTATGAAACTCTCTTGCAAACAAGTACATCATAGACAAATTATGTCTGCACAACTTTTAGAGTTGTTTAAAGTAACCTAATAGAAAGACAGTGACTAAGATTCATTCCTTATCTCCAGCTTTGTAAGTCCCAGGCTGCCTAGAGCACCTGGACTGCTGCCCCTGGGTCCCCTACATCCCCATGGCAACAATGGAGGAAGAGCAGGCCAGGACAAGCATGAGGAATAAACAGTCTTTATTGGACTCAGACTAGGAGTCTGTGGGCCTTGAGGACCTTCGTGTATTTGTCAATGTTCTTCTCTATGTTCTTTTCAGCCTTTTCCTATAGCCTCATGAGCTGTTTTTCTTCTGGTAACAGATCTTCTGATAATAGACCTTCCTCTTCTCCCCCATGGTGGCTGTCATTGCCTGGTATTTCCAGTCAACCTTCTGAGCCCAGTGCCCCAGGTAGGCAAACTTTCTTCAAGGCTTCGGACGTACAACCTCGAGGGTGGCAGAAACCGCCATCTGCTTTTTCTTGTCATATGGCAGGGGGATTCTATCAAACACCTTGAGGTGATCTAGGGCAGCCTAGCCTTGCTTGGTCTTGTGGGGCAGCCTACCGCAGGTGGTCTGCCAAAAGATGTGGCTGGGGACCCATAAATGGTAGGGTCCTTGGGAAGGGTTGGTGCTTGTCCGCTTGCAGAGGAAGGCTAGATACTTTAACTTGTTTCTGTAGAAACTGCCAGAAATGTTGATGTCCTCACAGGACATGACCACTACTTTCTCTGCTGGGTCATGATAGCCTCCAGGTAGCCCAGGAGTTTTACTCAGCTATCAAGCACCAGGACTGCCCCTCTGCCATCTTGGCAGCTGCGTGGGAAAGCTCTTTCTGTTACATTTCAAATGCATTTCATGCTGAATCTTTCAAACAACTGACTAATAATAAATCTCCAATAATATAAATTATACTTTTACTTTGAAGATATAATTAAAATTTCCTGTTGTGAATTTTGAACCCACATGAGTGTCAATTTCATCTATTGACTATCTTACCTCCTCGTGGTAATTCTGTGTGAAGATAAGCCAGTCCTCTAGTAACAGAATGAGCAAGACGGCAAGAGCTTACCCAGTCACTTGTGTGGAGACTTAAATACTTGCATAAAGATCCCTATATAGAGGAAAAAATGCGAAAAAAAAAAAAGGTAGAATTAACTCACTTTAACATGAAGAGTAAATTAGCATCCTTATAAAGAATTTGCAAATAGGCTAGGATTCCATGAAGATCTAATGAACTACTACATTTCAGAATCTTGAAAGAGTTAGTATGACATTTCTGTGTGTAGAGAGGAGAGGAAGGGATGGAAAGGGGAATTTAAACATTATAAATTTTTATGTCTCTAATATTAAAAATTATGAATGATTATTTCCTTTTAAACAATTCTTTGATCAAATTAAGATAGAAAAGTGTATCATTCACCAGTATGAATACAAATTATATTGTTATGGTTAATAAGTAGAAAACAAAAGGATTTTGTAAATATATTCATTTATGTATTGGTGCCACTCAAAGTGCTTATCTACAAACTATTACCAGTTGCTGATGAGAAAAGAATGTTGCATCAGAATGAATGTCAATCAAAGTACTGCTTCTTTCATCAAAAAACTTGTTATCAAAAAATTAAATAAAGAAGAGAAAAACAGAAAGAAGGAGGAGACAGCGAAACAAACAGTATAATTAGTTGATTCACATTCTGGTGTGAGATCCTTATTTCATTGCAGACCATTAATAATCCAGTTTGTGAGTCAGCAATGCTCTATCTGTAATACAGTGGTCCTCTCTGAAGTCTGATTAACAACTAATATAAATGTCAGTTTATTTTTTTTTATTTTTTGAGATTGCGTCTTGCTCTGTCGCCCAGGCTGGAGTACGGCTGTACAATCTCGGCTCCCTGCAACCTCCGCCTACCGGGTTCAAGCAATTCTCATGCCTCAGCCTCCCAAGTAGCTGGAATTACAGATGTGTGCCATCATACCCGGCTAATTTTTGTATTTTTAGTAGAGACGGGAGTTTTGCCATGTTGGCGAGGCTGGTCCTGAACTCTTGGCCTCAAGTGATCCACCTGCCTTAGCCTCCAAAAGTGCTGGGATTACAGGCATAAGCCACCACACCTGGCCTCAGTTTATTTTCTATGAAGAACTTACATTGGGATAGTACTCCATCACAAGCAAATATTCCATGCGTCCATCTGCAGTGACTCTCTCATCTCCAACTATAAAGCGGGCAATGTTGTCATGTTCCATCAAAGGCACTCTGTAAATGTTCTTTTCGTTGATAAAATTCTGACGGTTTGCAAAGGAAAACACTTTTACAGCAACTGGACGCTCATCCAAGGAGCCTTTATATACTGCTCCATATCGACCTCGGCCAATCAGCTGCAAGTGTTTTAAAGAAAGCAAGGTATTAATATCACAATTGAACAATCAAATTTACTAAATAATAAAGTACAAATTTAAACAGAATGCTACAGCTCTCTGTTGCTTACAGTTTATTCCATTATCAAGAAATTAATAAATTCTGTTCTAGTATGGCTGATGAAGCTCCTACCAGACCCAGCCTGCCCATAGAGAACATTTATAAATGCTGGACAAAATTTAAAAAAAAGAAAGATCTAAAGGCAGATAGATCTTGAGAGGCATTAAAGCTTTGAGAAAAAAGTGGTATGGGGCAAGCTACCCATTTTTATGACTTTTATCCTGAGGGCAGGCTGAAATCAGCACTGTGCAGTGGAACTAAAATTGCTAAAGAAAACCATTCTAGGCTGGGTGTGGTGGCTCATGCCTGTAATCTCAGCACTTTGGGAGGCTGAGGTGGGCAGATCACTTGAGGTCAGGAGTTCGAGACCAGCCTGGCCAAAGTGGTGAAACCCTGTCTCTACTAAAAATACAAAAATTAGCCGGGTATCATGGCACACGCCTGTAATCCTAGCTACTCAGGAGGCTGAGGCAGGAGAATCACTTGAACCCAGGAAACGGAGGTTGCAGTGAGCTGAGACCGCGCCACTGCACTCCAGCCTGGGCGAAAGAGCAAGACTGTCTCAATTAAAAAAAAAAAAAAAAAAAAAAAAAAGAGGCCAGGCGCGGTGGCTCACGCCTGTAATCCCAGCCCTTTGGGAGGCTGAGGTGGGTGGATCATGAGGTCAGGAGATCGAGACCATCCTGGCTAACACGGTAAAACCCCATCTCTACTAAAAAAATACAAAAAAAAAAAAAAAAAAAAAGTCAGGCGTGGTGGTGGGCGCCTGTAGTCCCACTTACTCAGGAGGCTGAGGCAGGAGAATGGCGTGAACCTGGGAGGCAGAGCTTGCAGTGAGCCGAGGTCGCGCCACTGCACTCCAGACTGGGTGACCGAGTGAGACTCCGTCTCAAAAAAAAAAAAAAGAAAAAAGAAGAACAGAAAATTGTTCTGGCCTTGGGAAACTCAGGACATATTTTGGACAGCCACAGTTGCTAGAAAATGAGGGGAGAACCCTAGAAAGGAGAAATTCAGAGAGAGGAAAGCCCAGTGAATATACAAGAGAGTTTCCAGCTAAAGATAAAATAACTGAGGCCGGGCGTGGTGGCTCACGCCTGTAATCCCAGCACTTTGGGAGGCTGAGGCGGGTGGATCACGAGGTCAGGAGTTTGAGACCAGCCTGGCCAACACAGTAAAACCCCATCTCTACTAGAAATACAAAAATTAGCTGGGCGTGGTGGCATGCGCCTGTAGTCACTTTTGTGGAGACTTAAATACTTGCATAAAGATCCCTACATAGAGGCTGAGGCTGGAGAATCACTTGAAACCGGGAGGCAGAGGTTGCGGTGACCCCAGACCATGCCTTGCACTCCAGCCTGGATGACAGAGTAAAAAAAAAAAAAAAAAGATAAAATAACTGAACTGAGATTTGAGCTTCTGCCCCAAACAGATTTGTGGTATGTGTTCAACCAAGTTTATTGCTTACTAAAACAACAAAAAAAAATCTTTTTTTTTTTTTTTAATTGAGATAGTCTTGCTCTTTCACTCAGGCTGGAGTGCAGTGGCACGGTCTCAGCTCACTGCAACCTCCGTTTCCCGGGTTCAAGTGATTCTCCTGCCTCAGCCTCCTGAGTAGCTAGGATTACAGGCGCGTGCCATGATACCCAGCTAATTTTTGAGTTCAGTGTTCCACAATACAATATTCACAATATCCAGAATACAAAAAAATTACTCAACACCCAAAGAACCAGCAAAATGTAACCCATTCTCGTTATTTTTGGCTTCTGGGGATTGCTTTTACTTTTTATTAAAACAGGTTGGGGATTTACCATCATTTATTTAAGGATATATGTTGTGTTTCATACACTGTTTCCAGATCAAAATTATACAAAGTGTCCTTTAAAAAGGTTATATCAATATATAGTTAATTCAGCAATGTTTGGAAGTGTTTCTATCACTTAATCATGGCTAAAATTCCATGGGTTAACTAGTATTTCTTTCAGCCTTGTAAATTGGACATCTTACTGTACATTTCTTAGCCACACTTACTTCTTTTGTGAATTGGCAGTTAATACCTTTTGTCCTTTTTTTTTTGAGACAGGGTCTCTGTCACCTAGGCTAACCACAACCTCTACCTCTTGGGCTCAAGTGATCCTTCAACCTCAGCCTCCCGAGTAGCTGGGACTACAGGCATGTGCCACCACACCCAGCTAATTTTTGTATTTTTTACAAAATAAATGGGGTTTCACCATGTTGCCCATGACTTGTCTTGAACTCCTGGGCTCAAGCAATCCACCCACTTTGGCCTCCCAAAAGAGCTGGGATTACAGGTGTGAGTCACAGCACTCAGCCTTTTTGTCCATTTGCTATAGAATGTTTCTTTCATCTTGATTTATATCAGTTCTTTATCAAGTTTTCCCTTATATGTTGAAATGTTGAAATTTATTTTTCAAATTTGGCTTTTATCTTTGTTTATGGTATGTCTCTCCCAAAACAGAAAGTTCTTACAATTTTTTATATAGTCAAATCTATCACATCTATTATTTAATAGTCTCTGGTTTGGGGACCATAGTTTTCAAGTCATTCTTAATAAATATAAAAACACTCATCATGGTAACACTTTTAATGTAGCTTCTGAGATATCACCAAATGAAACTTAAATTCTATATAAAAGAGCCTTATGTATCTATAAAAATATGTAATATATGCAGACAAGGAGTATTTATTTGTTGTCTATTATGGATCCCTTGTGGCACACTCTTCTCAAACTTTCATGTCTTTATTCTCATACCCTGTACAAATCTCTAATCAAAGGTCAACCTCTTTCTAAATATATTTTCTTTTTCTTTTTTATTTTTTGAGACGGATTCCTGCTCTGTCACCTAGAGTGCAGTGGCGTGATCTTGGCTCATTGCAACCTCCACCTTCTGGGTTCAAGCAATTCGCTAGCCTCAGCCTCCCAAGCAGCTGGGACTACAGGCGGGCGCCACCACTCCCAGTTAATTTTTGTATTTTAGTAGAGATAGGGTTTCACCATGTTGGCCAGGCTGGTCTTGAACTCCTGACCTCAAGTGATCCCCCTGCCTCAGCCTCCCAAAGTGATAGGATTACAGGCGTGAGCCACTGCACCTGGCCATATTTTCTTTTTCTTTCTTTCTTTTTTTTTTTTTTGTGGCAGAGTTTCGCTCTTGTTGCCCAGGCTAGAGTGCAATGGTGCGATCTCGGCTCACCGCAACCTCTGCCTCCCGGGTTCAAGCAATTCTCCTGCCTCAGCCTCCTGAGTAGCTGGGATTACAGGCATGAACCACCATGCCTGGCTAATTTTGTATTTTTAGCAGAGACAGGGTTTCTTCATGTTGGTCAGGCTGGTCTTGAACTCCTGATCTCAGGTGATCCACCAGCTTCAACCTCCCAAAGTACTGGGATTACAGGCATGAGCCACTGCGCCTGGCCCATATTTTCTTTAATAACCCCCTTTTCATCACTTTCTTATCCACTGTACTTTTCTTCATAGCACTTACTACTACTTGCAATTATATTATACATTCCTGTACCTGTCTGTAGACTCCCCAATTCAAATAGAAGCCCCAGGAGACATTGTTCACCTATGTTCCTAGTGCCTAGAATAGGCCTTGACAAAAAATTGTAATTTAGTAAATAGGGTTAAATAAATGAATGAATGTCTTAATGATTGAATGAAGTCACTGTTCCAGGTCTAGTATCACAGTAGAAACAACAGTCCATAATCTAACGGCAAACTTACCTCCAACAGTTTCAGATTATCTAGATCAAGAGAGGGTTCGGATGCTGCTGCCTCCATCATGTTCATACTGTGAAGACCTTGTTTACGGTCTCCTATAAGAACAGGAAACAGGTTACTAATATATGGTTTTCTTAAAATGAATATCTTTTTACACTTTTTATAATATTACACTTAAAAAGAAGAGCTGCAGAAAGATTAGCAGCAAGATTTATGCCTAATGTCAATAGGAGTAAAGCTATTTACTAAACTAGGTAATACCTATAAATTAAGATGAATGCAGAATAGCATGAAAGCCAAATTCTGGGAGACACTCCCATGATGACTTACTTTAAAAGTTTAAAACCCTAAGCAATATTATAAAAACTTTAAAGAAGATTGTATAGAAGTTATTCAAATGAATCAATGAACGCTGATTTCCTAAACAGTCCATCAAACCTAAAGTATATTAGAACCAACTTGACATTTGATGATACTGAGGAATTACTGTTATTTTTTCAGATGTGAAAATGGTATTATGGATATGTATTCTTAAAGCTCTTGTATTGGCCGGACGCAGTGGCTCACGCCTGTAATCCCAGCACTTTGGGAGGCCAAGGCGGGCGGATCACGAGGTCAGGAGATCGAGACCATCCTGGCTAACACGGTGAAACCCCGTCTCTACTAAAAATACAAAAAATTAGCCGGGCGAGGAGGTGGGCACCTGTAGTCCCAGCTACTCAGGAGGCTGAGGCAGGAGAATGGCGTGAACCCTGGGGGGCGGAGCCTGCAGTGAGCCGAGATCGCGCCACTGCACTCCAACCTGGGCGACAGCGAGACTCCGTCTCAAAAATAAAATAAAATAAAATAAAATAAATTTTAAAAAAAGCTCTTGTATTGTAGAGATAATATTTATAGATATATAATATCTAATTAAATATTTACAGATATATGATATCTGTGATTTGCTTCAAAATAATCCAGTGGCATGGAAAGGGGTAGTGACTGATAATTTAAATGAAACAATACTGTCCATACGTGATACTATTGAGGCTGGGTGTATTTTGCATAACTTTGAGACTATTTTTTTTAACATACGGAATTTAAAAGGAGCAAATAAATTGATTAAATTGCATGTTTAATAAACAATAGGACAAAAAATGGTAATTTTTACCTGTCAACATTCTGTATCCAAAGCATAAGGCAACTATCAAAACAGCTAATACAGAGACTGATGCCAAAGCAATGATTATTGTCTCATCTCGGTTAAATGAATGAGGTGGACCTAAAAGAAAACAAATTTTGAAATGTCATTTTTTTTTAAAAAAGTATTTTGTTAAATACTGACAGACTGCCCTTTAGAAAGGCTGTACCCATGTATAATCAAATTAGTAATGTTTTTGCATCAAAGGAAATGAAAGAAAAAATTAGTAATAAATGTGATAATTACAAATTATATTTTTTAATCATACAGACTATTCTGTATAGATTTGGAACACTAAAACACCAAGTAGATGTGCTCCTAATTATTAAAACATCAACAATACCATGAAACAGATTAGACAGGATAGTATAATATCAAGAGTCTTAGAATCTAACAGTTTTAGAATCACATTTGGTTTTAAATCCTCAATTTCCTCATTTATAAAAATAGTACTCTGTATTTCCCAAGTTAGCTGTAAGATTTAGATGGTAGTCTAAGTACTTAACACAACGTCAAGAATATATTATCTGGCTGGGCACAGTGGCTCATGCCTATAATCCCAACACTTTGGGAGGCTGCTGCAGGAGGATCACTTGAGGCCACAAGGTCAAGGCCAGCCTGGACAACATAGCAAAATGCCAGACATTAAAACAAATTAAAAAAAAAAATTAGTCAGGCATGGTGGCATGCACCTGTAGTCCCAGCTACTCAGGGGGCTATGGCAGGAGGATTGCTTGGGCCCAGGAGTTTGAGGCTGCAGTGAGCCATGATTGTATCACTGTACTCCAGCTTGGGTGATGAAGTGAGACTCTGTTTCTTTAAAAAAAAAAAAAAAATTAAAGTTTTTTTTTAAAAAAGCATATATTATCTACGCAATAAATGGTAGTTACACTTATCAATATTGGTATTTTTATTAATGAAAATAGCATGGCTTTGGAGGCAGTTAAATCTGAATAGGACTTGAAGCTCACTTCTTCCACTTAACATATGACCTTAGGAAAGTTTCTTCTCCTATCTGAGCCCAAGTTTACTCACTTGCAGAATGGAATGGGAACACACATAGGTAAATCACAGGGCTATCACAAACATGTAAACATTTTATGTGTTAAGTTCCATTCTGTGGGTCAGATCGCATCTAGAGCAAATACCCTTTAGGATGGATGGCCACAAACTAGAGCATATCCAAAAGAGAGCAAGTACAACTATGAAGGTTTGAGACCTCTGAACTGTGATGGGTAGAAAGAACTGAAAGCATCTGATGAGGAAAAAAAAGAAAACTTGGGAGGATATGATAGCTGTCTTCACATCAAATAACCAGTTCCAATCAGTGTATCTTCAAGGATAAGAGCCTTTAGTTGAGCATACAGAAAAGCATGGCTTATAAACAGACCTGTCTAAAACAGAATGAGTTGCCCTATGAAAGAGCTGTTCATTGTTTAACTAGATGTAGTTATGCAATGTTTGGTAATACTGATCAGAAGCTGCGCTTGATGACTGCCAGCATCTTTATTCATTCTTTATATTCAATCAAAATCAAGCATATTATACTCAAATTAGAAGCTTCTATGGCAAAGTAGGATGCCTCTACGGCAAAGAGTTCCTCTAATGGGCATTCCTGTTTTAATGAATTTATTTGTCTCAATCAAATTAAGTAGAAGTTGCTTATTAAAATGTCTAAACTATATTTCTATAGAAGGATATGTTGAAACAACACTGAAATACTCTTAATTTGCAGACCATTTATTATATTTTCTTTTTTCTTTCTTTCTTTTTTTTTTTTTAAGAGAGTCTTGCTCTGTCGCCCAGGCTGGAGCTCAGTGGTGCAATCTCAGCTCACTGCAAACTCCACATCCCAGACTCAAGCAATTCTTGTGCCTCAGCCTCCTGAGTTGCTGGGATTATAGGTTTGTAGCACCACACCTGGATAATTTTTTGTATTTTTAGTAGAGATGGGGTTTCACCATGTTAACCAGATCGGTCTTGAACTCCTGGCCTCAAGTTGATGTGCCCACTTTGGCCTCCCAAAGTGCTGGGATTACAGGTGTGAGTCACTGTGCCCAGCCCATTTTTCAGATATTAATAGATTTTAACACATTGATCATTGTGCCTCCTTTTAACATACAGAGTAAGTTACAGGCAGAAAAGCTACATATAAAACTCATTTTACCACAGTGAGATATTATTTCACATACATTGGCATGGCTACAATTAAAAAAAAAGAAAATAAAAAGCGCTGGCAAGGATGTGGATAAATTATAACTCTTGTACATTGCAAGTGGGATATGAAATGGTAAGTATACAGTAGAAAACAGTTTGTGAGTTCCTCAAAAAGTTAAACATGGAATTACCATAAGACCCAGCAATTCCAATCCTAGGCATATATCAGAAAGAACCAAAAACAAGTGTTCAAACAAAAACTTCTACATGCATGTTCACAGCATCACTATTTACAACACCCGAAAGTGGAAACAACACAAATGTTCATGAACTGATGAATGGATAAACAAAATGTGGTATATTCCTACAAAGGATTTACAAAAGGTTGAATATTCTATGATTCCATTGAAATGAAATACTCAGAATAGGCCAAATTCATAGACAGAAAGCAGGTTAGTAGTTGCCAGGGACTGGGAGAGGAAGAAATAGGGAGTGACTGCTTATTAGATACAGGGTTTCCCTTGTGGGGTGATGAAAATGTTTTGGAACTAGACAGAGGTAATAGTTGCACAACACTATGAATGTGTTGAGTGGTACATTTTAATATGACTAATTCTAAGTTATGTGAATTTTACTTCAATCAAAAAAAAAAAAAAAAAACTAAAGCCAGGTGCGGTGGCTCACTCCTGTCATCCCAACACGTTGGGAGGCTGAGGCAGACGGATCACAAGGTCAGGGGTTTGAGACCAGCCTGACCAACATGGTGAAACCACAGCTCTACTAAAAAGACAAAAATTAGCTGGGCATGGTGGCGCTTGCCTGTAATCCCAGCTACTCAGGAGGCTCAGGCAGGAGAATCACTTGAACCCAGGAGGCAGAGATTGTAGTGAGCCAAGATCATGCCATTGCACTCCAGCCTGGGTGAGAAAGCAAGACTCCGTCTCAAAAGCAAACAAACAAATAAACAAAAAAAAACAAAAAAAACCTCATTTTAGAATTTGCTAAACCTAAAAGATAAACTATTTTCAATACATACACATACACACACACAAAACTAAATAATTTATAGATTCATGACTATACAAGGATATTTTATGTGCCTATAGTTTTTCCTTTCCAGAAAGTCATATAGTTGGAATGATACAATATACAGACTTTTCAGACTGCCTTCTTTCACTTAGCAATATGTACTTTAGGTTCCTCCATGTCTTTTTGTGGCTTAGCAGTTCATTTCCTTTTATCACTGAATATTATCCATGTCACAGATGTACGATCTCAGCTCACTGCAACCTCCGCCACCTGGGTTCAAGTGATTTTTCTGCCTCAGACTCCTAAGTAGCGGGATTACAGGCACGCGCCACCACACCCAGCTAATTTTTGTATTTTTTAGTACAGACAGGGTTTCACCATGTTGGTCAGGCTGGTCTCGAACTCCTGACCTCGTGATCTGCCCACCTTGGCCTCCCAAAGTGCTGGGATTATAGGCATAAGCCACCGCGCCCAGCCAAAAACTGGTATTTCTTTAAATATTTGTTACAATAAAAAAATTCGTAGTCTAACGTGAAACAAAGTTTTGCCACATCCAAATGAGAAACACTGAATATTTAAATGTGTTCTTACATTCTTGTGTAATTCAAGTAAATATGAGTTAATAAAGATTATCTTGTCTTCTGTATAAAAAATAAAATTAAATATTAAATGTAATATTAATATGGCATTACAGATAAAACTGTCTCTGGAAATGAGTTAAGATATCCAATGTTATAATTCCCAAAAGAACTGAACCATATTACTTATTTGAAAAATGTATTTTGAATTCAACTAGGAATGAGAAGTGATAAGGAATCTAATTTTATTTTTTAAAAATCTAATTTTTAATTCTTAAATATGTGGACATGTTTAAATTTCAGTATTGAAAATTTAGATTAATGTTATTTAAAGGACATTACCAATTAAATAAAATATTAAAATTTTAATGTAACAAAGGTTAGATTTTGGAAAAACCTGAAAAACCAAAAGTTGTACATAAAAAGCACAGAATTAGTACATTTGAAAATTTAATAATAAAGATTTTTCCACTAAGATTTAGCTTTCTAGGCTTTTTTTTGCTTTTACTAAATTATGAGAACATTGCATATAGCTAACTAATGTGTATTTTATCAAGCTTTTATTACAAAATAGAAATGACAATTTTCCTAGTCTTAGTTGTTGGAAAGTGATTTTAGCATTACCCAAATTTCTGGAAATTGGATAAATTTATATAATACTAATATAAATAGTAAGGTTTCTAGAAATGTTTCCATTTGCAAAATTGTTTTTGTTACTAATATAAGCAACAAAAGCTTTTTATAGCCTATGAAGAAAAGCAGTATCTTGGAAACACTAAAAATGATTAACTATATACATGGTACTTAATTTTTTTTTATTCAAAATAAGAGATACTAAAAAGTATGCTGCTTAAACTACGACCAACTATGACTTATCCCCTAGAATGTTATGCTTTACTTCTTGATAAGCTCCTTTAGACTTATTTGGACAGAGATTATTAAAATCACTCTCATACAGCCTGTAAAAAGAAAAACAGATGCAAAATAAATTGGTGTAGGTATTCCTAAAACTTTTTCATATTTAGAGTTAGATTCTTCTGAATATCTTTTCAAATTTGTCAACTGTGTCCTATTTTTCCATACATTTCTACCTTATGTGTCATTAAAAACATCACTGAGATCATAACCCAACATTTCTTTAAAACATTCTTTTGACTTTTGTCTCTGGAATTTTCTTTCCATCCACTAACACGACACTGAAAATTTTAATGCAGATGCTTTCTTGATCATGCCAGAAAGTGCCAATGGAAGGTTGCTTGTTCTAGTTTTAATCTTTTTATTATAAAAAACTTACTACTATATACAGAAGTGGAGTGTACATACAAATTCCAAATGCCCATCACTAAGCGTTAGCAACCATCAACATTTTGTTATCCAATGAAACATTTTCAAACAATACAACTCATCTGACTTCTCATATGGTTTGTTGACAGAAACACTGAAGGGTTGCTGCTGAGTGGACATTCTGCCAGAGTTAACAATCAAGTTCACATTTACATAGGTGACAACTCCCATATTTCATCAATTTTAATACATACATTGATCACACCTTAAAATCTCCTACAGTGGGATATATCATATTTGTGGCATTGTAAAATTACTTGATGGTATTTCTTTTTCTTGGTGATAAGGAAATAATAGACTCAGCTGGGTGCAGTGGCTCACGCCTGTAATCCCAGCACTTTGGGAGACCCAGGCGGGTGGATCACGAGGTCAGGAGTTTGAGACTAGCCTGACCAACATGGTGAAACCCCATCTCTACTAAAAATACAAAAATTAGCCAGGTGTGGTGGTGCGTGCCTGTAATCCCAGCTATTCAGGAGGCTGAGGCAGAAGAATCGCTTGAACCTAGGAGGCGAAGGTTGCAGTAAGCCAAGATCACACCACTGCACTCCAGCCTGGGTGACAGACTGAGACTCAAAAATAATAATAATAATAATAATAATAATAATAATAATAATAATAGCCTCAAATGACAGCTTTTTAGATAAGATAAAATGACTTATCATATCACATATGTTAAAATGTGTAAAAGGGGACAGGCACAGTGGCTCACACCTATAATCCCAGCACTTTGGGAGGCTGAGGCGGGTGGATCACCTGAGGTCAGGAGCTCGAGACCAGCCTAGCCAACATGGTAAAACCCTGTCTCTACTAAAAATACAAAAATTAGCCGGGCATGGTGGCACATGCCTGTAATCCCAGCTACTCATGAGGCTGAGGCAGGAGAATCGCTTGAACCCGGGAGGCAGAGGCTGCAGTGAGCCGAGATGGCGCCATTGCACTCCAGCATGGGCAACAAGAGTGAAACTCCATCTCAGGAAAAAAAAAAAAAAGATGAAAAAAGGCCAGGCAACAGTAGTTCATGCCTGTGATCTCAGCATTTTGGGAGGCTAAGCTGGGAGAACCGCTTTAGGCCAGGAGCTTGAGATCAGCCTGGGTGATAGAGCAAGACTTTGTCTCTACAAAAAATAAAAAATTAGCTGGGTGTGGTAGTGCATGCCTATAGTCCCAGTTACTTGGGAGGCTGAGGCAGGAGGACTGCTCATGCCCAGCAGTTCGAGGATGCAGTGAGCCATAATTGTGTTACCACACTCCAGTCTGGGTGACAGAGCAAGATGCTGTCTCGACCAATGTGAAAAAAAGTGACTCCCACTTCTGCTTAGAGTATACAAAGATGCAAAGAATTTTATTCCCATCTTAGTAACAAGCCAAAACACTTCCCTGATAACAAGTCAGAAAACCTAAAAATCATAACCTTTTCTTTAAAAATAAGATCTAAGGACAAAAGGAAACTAAATGGATTTAAAAGTAGAATATGAAAAGACTCTTCCAAGAGTGAAGAGACCCAAGGCTGCTCTTATCCTAGGTAAAGCAGTGAGTGGAGGAGGACACCACTGTACATGTGAGGAGGAAGAAACAGCTGAACATTTAATGAATTCCTTTTTTTTTTTTTTTTTTTTAAGGCAGAGTCTCACTCTCTTGCACACACTGGAGTCCAATGGCACGATCTCGGGTCACTACAACCTTCGCCTCCCAGGCTCTAGCAATTCTCCTGCCTCAGCCTCCCGAGTAGCTGGGATTACAGGTGCACGCCACTATGCCCGGCTAATTTTTTTGCTGTTATTGTTTTTTGAGACAGAGTTTCGCTCTTGTCACCCAGGCTGGAGAGCAGTGGCGCGATCTCAGCTCACTGCAACCTCTGCCTTCTGGGTTCAAGCGATTCTCCTGCCTCAGCCTCCCAAGTAGCTGGGATTACAGGCACATGCCACCACGCCCAACTAATTTTTTGTATTTTTAGTAGAGACAGGGTTTCACCATGTTGGTCAGGCTGGTCTCAAACTCCTGACCTCGTAATCCACCCGCCTCGGCCTCCCAAACTGCTGGGATTACAGGTGTGAGCCACCGCACCCGGCCTATGGACAGAATATGTGCCCTGCAAATTCGTATGTTGAAGCCTAAATCCCCAACGTGACAGTATATGGAGGTAGAACCTTTGGAAGGTAATTATATAATGAGGGTAGAGCCCTCATGAATGGGTTTGGGCCCTTATAAAAAAACAAAACAAAACAAAACAAAAGGCCAGGCATGGTGGCTCATGTCTGTAAAGTGGAGGCCAAGGTGGGTGGATCACTTGAGGATTTGAGGTAAGGAGTTTGAGACCAGGCTGGCCAACATGGCGAAACCCTGTCTCTACTAAAAATACAAAAAATTAGCTGGGCTTGGTGGTGTGTGCCTGTAATCCCAGCTACTTGGGAGGCTGAGGCAGGAGAATCACTTGAACCCAAGAAGCGGAGGTTGCAGTGAGCTGATATCACACCACTGCACTCCAGCCTGGGTGAGTGAGACTCTGTCTCAAAAAAAAAATTAATTAATTAAAAATTAAAAAAGAGGAGACACAGGATCTATCTTTCTGTTCTCTGCCATGTGAGAACATTGGCATGTGAGTTACACATAACATGTAAGTTACAATGAGAAGACAACCATCTGCAGGCACTATTAAGGACACGGACTTCCCAGACTCTAGAACTAAGTACCCAGTCCACACTACTTTGACTAAGACACCTAGGTAGGAAAATTTGTCCTAAGGCATTACATCAAATATTAGCAACCATGACGAACAGTGATTTAACTTCAAAATTTAACTATAATTTAACATTATCATTAACAACCAGTTGTTAGGAAATAAGTAGTCTATTATTGATAATATTACACTCCCAAAATATTTCAGGTAACAGTGGTAAAGTAGTTTAGTGAAAAGAGCTCATAAGTTTTAGTCCCACTTTAGCCACTGTGGACAAATTATATAATTTTTCTAGGCTCTTACTTCTTTATCCATAAAATAAAGTGGTTATAGAGTGCCAGCACCACCTCTAGCTTGCCAAGCTCCAGCCAAAGGAGGAGAGTAAGTAAGGAGGTCTCTATACCATGGCTCATAAAAGGCACAACAATGTCCATAAATCAACTGGAAGTAAAGCATCCAGTAAGCAAGTGGTTACAAAAGTTGCTCATAAGAGACCAAGCACAGTGCTCACACCTGTAATCCCAGCTACTCAGGAGGCTGAGTTGGGAGGGTTGCTTGAGCTCAGGAGTTGCAGGCTGCAGTGAACTATGATTGCGCCACTACACTGCGGCCTAGAAGACAGAGTAAAATCCTGTTTCCAAAATTTATTAAAAAAAAAAAAAAAAAAAAAGCTGCTCCTAAGAGAGTGTCCTCTACAGGATAGGTGAAGAAACCTCAGAATTACAGACCTATTTGCGAGGCACTCTGTAATAAGTCCTAATCAGAAGTCCCCTGAACTTCTGATTGGCAAATTTTCTTCCAGTGTCTGAGGTGAGAAATTGTTTGGGACTTCAAAATAGATTGGCACATCTAGAGTACAGCTATTGGTGTTTTGAAAATAGCTATCTCTTTGGTTCAGTAGGCCTATCTGGTTGGCCTTTTTGAAGACATTAACCTGTATGTTATCCATGCCAAACGTGTAACAATCATGCCAAAAGATATCCAACTAGCACAATGCATTTGTAGAAAGCATCCTTAAGAATCTACTATGATGGGTCAGGCATGGTGGCTCACGCCTGTAATCCCAGCACTTTGGGAGGCCAAGGCGGGTGGATCATGATGTCAGGAGTGCAAGACCAGCCTGGCCAAGATGGTGAAACTCCGTCTCTACTAAAAATACAAAAAATTAGCCAGGCACGGGGGCAGGCACCTGTAATCCCAGCTACTCGGGAGGCTGAGGCAGGAGAATCGCTTGAACTCGAAGGGTGGAGGTTGCAGTGAGCAGAGATTGCGCCACTGCACTCCAGCCTGAGTGACAGAGTGCGACTCTCTCAAAAAAAAAAAAAAAAAAAAAGAATCTACTATGATGGAAAACTCCTGTTAAAAAAATATTATCTTCTTCCTTTTATTGGTAGTGTGTCCGGAATTGGTGGGTTCTTGGTCTCACTGACTTCAGGAATGAAGCCACGGACCCTCGCAGTGAGTGTTACAGCTCTTCAGGTGGTGCGTCTGGAGTTTGTTCCTTCTGATGTTCGGATGTGTTCAGAGTTTCTTCCTTCTGGTGGGTTTGTGGTCTCGCTGGCTCAGGAGTGAAGCTGCAGACCTTCGCGGTGAGTGTTACAGCTCTTGAGGCGGCGTGTCTGGAGTTGTTCATTCCTCCTGGTGGGCTCCTGGTCTCGCTGGCTTCAGGAGTGAAGCTGCAGACCTTTGCGGGGAGTGTTACAGCTCATAAAAACAGTATGGACCCAAAGAGTGAGCAGTAGCAAGATTTATTGCAAAGAGCTAAAGAACAAAGCTTCCACAGTGTGGAAGGGGACCCAAGCGGGTTACCACTGCTAGCTCGGGCAGCCCGCTTTTATTCTCTTATCTGGCCCCACCCACGTCCTGCTGATTGGTAGAGCCGAGTGGTCTGTTTTGACAGGGCGCTGATTGGTGCGTTTACAATCCCTGAGCTAGACACAAAGGTTCTCCACGTCCCCACCAGATTAGCTAGATACAGAGTGTCGACACAAAGGTTCTATAAGGCCCCACCAGAGTAGCTAGATACAGAGTGTCTACTGGTGCATTCACAAACCCTGAGCTAGACACAGGGTGCTGATTGGTGTATTTACAAACCTTGAGCTAGATACAGAGTGCCTATTGGTGTATTTACAATCCCTGAGCTAGACATAAAGGTTCTCCATGTCCCCACCAGACTCAGGAGCCCAGCTGGCTTCACCCAGTGGATCCCACACCTGGGCTGCAGGTGGAGCTGCCTGCCAGTCCCACACCGTGCGCTCACACTCCTCAGCCCTTGGGTGGTTGATGGGACTGGGCGCCGTGGAGCAGGGGGCGGCACTCATCAGGGAGGCTCGGGCCGCACAGGGGCCCATGGAGGGGGTGGGAGGCTCAGGCATGGCGGGCTGCAGGTCCCGAGCCCTGCCCTGTGGGAAGGCAGCTAAGACCCAGTGAGAAACTGAGAGCAGCGCCGGTGGGCTGGCACTGCTGGGGGACCCAGTACACCCTCCGCAGCTGCTGGCCTGGGTGCTAAGCCCCTCATTGCCCGGGGCTGGCTGCTCCGAGTGCGGGGCCCGCCAAGCCCATGCCCAACCGGAACTCCGGCTGGCCCGCAAGCGCGGCACGCCGCCCCGGTTCCTGCTTGCGCCTCTCCCTCCACACCTCCCTGCAAGCTGAGGGAGTGGGCTCCGGCCTTGGCCAGCCCAGAAAGGGGCTCCCACAATGCAGTGGTGGGCTGAAGGGCTCCTCAAGTGCCGCCAAAGTGGGAGCCCAGGCAGAGGCGCTGAGAGTGAGCGAGGGCTGTGAGGACTGCCAGCACGCTGTTACCTCTCAATCCCCCCTCTAAACAGGACACCCCAAATGCTGTTGGGAATTTGGCCAATGACCGCTCTAGCTATTTCCTGCTGGATAGGGGCAAAGAAGGGGCTCTGCAGTTGTAGTGTCCTTCAGAGGGGAACTCTCTAGGCCAGGGGAAGTGCCAGAGGGTCGGTCCAGGAGTCCTCAGTAGAAGTTGTTAGTTGAACTCATTTGGGGTTCCATTTGTAAGACCATCTGTAGCTTGATGGCCTCGATTCTAGAGGAAACGAATTTGACAAGGTTAAAAATACAGGGCCCAAAGGCGAGTAACAGCAAGATGGCTGCCACAGGACCTAGAAAGGGGAGAAGCCATGTTGCCCAACTCCAGAGGCTGGTATAAGAATTTGAAAGGCGTTGTCTGATTTCAGAAGCCTTTTCCTGTAAACGCTGGGTGGCATCTTGTGCTACCCCCGACTGGTTAGTGTAAAAACAACACTCTTCCCCTAAGAAGGTGCAGAGTCCTCCTTTCTCAGCAGTGAGGAGGTCTAGGCCTCGGCGGTTTTGGAGAGTCACTGCTGCCAAAGAGTCTATTTGGGATTATACAGTAAGGATAGATTTTGTTATTTCTTGCAAACTGTTTGAGAGGTAGATACGGGTTGAAGATCCACATAAGTAGAATATGCCTTGGCTGGGTAGATAGAAATTTACCCTGGCTTTTAAAGGAATAGGGTATACTGTTTTTTCTTTACTACTTCCATCTCTCTTTCTTTCTCTTCAACTTCTTCTTTGTCTCTTCCTCTCTTTTTAACTCTCTTTCTGTGTCTGTTCCTCTTTCTGACTTCTTTGTCTCTTCTCTGTCTCTTTCTTTGACTTCCTGTCCCTTTCTTTCCTTTCTGCTGCCTCTGCCAGCTGCTTATGCTGCTGTTCTCCCCTCTCCTTCCCATTTTGATGGCTTTGTCAGTGTAAGATTCCCACCTCTTTGTGTTTTTGCATTGTGTGCAATAACTCTATAATTTCCTTGTGGTATTTAATAGGGGTTCCCCCAGAGGTTAGGAACTCCCTCTCTTTCCATATTGTAGCATGGGCATGTAGGATTAGATAAGCATACTTGCTATCTGTATACACATTTATTCTTTTTCCCTTTCCCAGTTCTAAGGCTCAGGTAAGTGCCACTAGTTCCACTAACTGGGCACTGGTCCCTGGGGGAAGAGGCTTGCTTTCAAGTATGGTTACATCACTAACTATGGTGTAACCTACCCTTCGTATCCCATTCTCCACAAATGAACTTCCATCGTTATATAGGTTAAGGTCAGGATTAGTTAAGGGGACTTCTAAGAGATCATCTCGGGCGGCCTAAGTCTGGACTATAATTTGTTGGCAGTCATGCTCGATTGGTTCCCCATCCTCTGGGAGAAAAGTGGCAGGGTTGAGGGCCACGCATATGCGCATTTGAAGCACCAGTCCCTCAAGGAGTAGTGCCTGGTATCTAAGTAGGTGGCTGTCTGATAGCCATAAACTTCCTTTGGCACCTAGTATGCCATTTACATCATGAGTAATCCAGACAGTGAGATCCTTTCCTTGTATTATTTTGATAGCCTCTGATGCTAAGATGGCCACTGCTGCAACTACCCTTAAACAGTGAGGCCAGCCTTTTGCTACTACATCAATTTCCTTACTTAGGTATGCCACTGGTTGTGGGATTGTCCCACGAGTCTGAGTAAGGACTCCGAGAGTTATCCCAGCTCTCTCTGTGACATATAAAGAGAAGTTCTGTCCTGTGGGAAGCCTTAAAGCTGGAGCTTGTACTAGAGCCTGCTTTAAGGTTTTAAAGGCTGTTTCTGCTTCTGGTTCCCATTCGACTAGATGAGTATTTGCCTTCTGGGTTTCCTTGATTAGAGTATAGAGGAGCCTGGCTATCTCGCTGTATCCAGGGATCCATAGTCGGCAAAAGCCGGTAATTCCAAGGAACCCCCTCAAATGTTTTAATGTCTTAGGGCGAGGATAAGCCAGTATAGGCTGTATTCGTTCCTTGCTGAGGGCCCTGGTCCCTTTGGCTAAGATTAGGCCTAGATATTTAACCTGCTGTAGGCAAAGCTGGGCCTTCGACCTAGACACCTTGTACCCTTGATTAGCTAGAAAGTTCAAGAGATCTAGAGTAGCCTGCTGGCACGAGGCTTCCGAACTGGTAGCCAAAAGTAAATCATCCACATATTGAAGAACCAGAGTGCCTGGACTTGAGAAGTGGCTTAGATCTTGGGCCAGTGCCTGACCAAACAGATGAAGGCTATCCCTAAACCCCTGGGGCAAGACCATCCATGTAAGTTGGGACGTGTGGTCTGTGGGATCCTCAAAAGCAAAGAGAAACTGGGAGTCAGAGTGCAGGGGAATACAGAAGAAGGCATCCTTGAGGTCCAGAACCGTGAACCATTCTGCTTCCTCTGGTATTTGAGAGAGCAGGGTATAGGGGTTGGGTACAACTGGATATAGTGGAATTACTGCCTCATTAATGAGTCTAAGATCTTGCACTAGACTCCACTGACCGTTTGGTTTTTGTACTCCCAGAATTGGGGTGTTTCAGGGACTCCTGCATTTCCTTACTAAGCCTTGAGCTTTCAAATGTTTAACAATATTCTGTAATCCTGTATGAGCTTCAGGCCTTAAGGGATATTGCCTTTGATAAGGAAAACTGGTGGGATCTTTTAACCTGATTTGGACTGGGCGGGCATTTTTTGCCCTTCCAAATTGTCCTTCCAATGCCCAGACTTCAGGGTTGATTCCCTCCTCAAGTAGGGGACAACAAATGGCTAACTTGTTCCCCATATTCATGTAGATAATAGCTCCAGCCTTGGCTAATATATCCCTCCCTAATAACGGTGTGGGACTTTCAGGCATAACAAGAAAGGCATGTGAAAAGAGCAAAGTCTCCCAATTACAACTGAGGAGGTGGGAGAAATACCTGGTTACAGGCTGTCCCAGGATTCCTCGGATGGTAACGGACCTTGAGGACAGTCGTCCAGGACAGGAGAGTAACACTGAGAAGGCTGCGCCAGTGTCCAGGAGGAAGTCAATTTCCTGGCCCTCAATAGTTAAACATACCCGGGGCTCAGTGAGGGTGATGACATGAGCTGGCACTTGCCCCGGGCACCCTCAGTCCTGTTGTTGGATCATCTGGTTGGGCCTTCTGACCCAGGGAACCTTCGTCCTCTGGGGCAGTGCACCTTCTAGCGATTGCCTCGGCATAGTGGACATGGATGAGGGGGCAGCTTCTTTCTCATTGGACAATCTTTTTTAAAGTGTCCTAGTAAACCATACTGATAACAAGACCTACCAGGTGATTGGCCTACTCCATTTTCTGTCCTCTCTGAACCACCAAGGTTTGTTTGTCTGAGGGCCATGACTAAGGCTGCGGCCTTTCTCTGATCTCGCTTTTCCTTTTGGGCCTGTTCCTCTTGGTCCCTATTATAGAACACCGAGGTTGCCAGGTTTAATAATGCCTCTAGATTTTTGTTCAGGGCTCAGGGCTTGCTTTTGGAGCTTTCTCCTGGTATCTGTGGCTGATTGGGTAATAAACTTATCTTTTAGAATCAATTGACTCTCAAGTGATTCAGGTGACAGGGGAGTATATTTTCTTAAGGCCTCTCGTAGCCGCTCGAGGAAGGCAGAAGGATTTTCTTCCTTTCCCTGATTTATGGTGGACATCATTGAATAATTCATGGGCTTTTTTGTAATTCTCCTTAGTCCTTCTAGAACACAGGTCAACAGATGTTTACGACTCCAGTCCCCATGATCTGAGTCAAGGTCCCAGTGGGGATCCATAATGGGGATGGCTTGCTGACCAGTAGGGAATTTGTCCCTTTCTTCAGCTGTCATTCTATCATTTACTTTACTAAGATACCAGGTATCTCCAAACTCTCGGGCTGCAGCTAAAGCCGCATTCTTTTCATTAAAGGCCAGGGTTTGATCTAACAGTAGCATGACATCTCTCCAAGGGAGGTCAAAGGTTTGCCCTAGACCCTGTAGGACATCTATGTACCTATCAGGATCATCTGAAAACTTCCCCAGGTGTGCCTTGATCTGCTTTAAATCAGAGAGGGAGAAGGGGACACGTACCCAGGTTGGGCCAAATTCCCCTCCCCCTACAGCTTGAAGGGGACATAACCGATAGCCCGGGGGTTTTTGTGGTCCTTTGGAGATTTCTTTGCTTATTTCCTTCTGGGCAGGGGAGATTAGAGGAGGATTATCATTAATAGGAAGGGGAGCTATAGGGAGGCTAGGATATGGTGGTAAGCTGAGAGGTCCTCCTGTGGGATGTAAATTGCAAGCTTTGCATAGTTGTATATTCTCCCTCAATGAAAAGAAAGCTCGAACATAAGGTAAGACACTCCATTTGCCTTCCCTCTTAGAGAAAAGGTCAAGCTGCAGGATAGTATTGTAATTTGTACTGCCCTCAGGTGGCCATTTTTCCCCATCAGAAAGAGAATATTGGGGCCAAGCCGTAGTGCAGAAAAAAATGAGCCGCCTCTTTTTCAGGGTTTGTGGGTCAAATTGGTCCCAATGGCTTAGGATGCATTTCAAGGGTGAGCCTGTTGATGCCTGAGTGTTTCCCATCTGAAAGACAAAACCGCCCGTGGTTTTGGTTTGTTTTGTTTCTCCCCCTGCCCAAGAACTCGCAACGGTCCCTGGACCCTGCTGATCGGAATAGTTGTGCTCACCGACGCAGCAGCAGAAACAACCCCTGCCCAAGAACATGCAACTGTCCCTGGACCCTGCTGATCGGAATAGTTGCGCTCACCAATGCAGCAGCAGAAACAACCCCTGCCCAAGAACCTGCAACGGTCCCTGGACCCTGCTGATCGGAATAGTTGCGCTCACTGACGCAGCAGCAGAAACACTAGTTTTCCTCCCAGACCACATGGAGGACGGAGGAAGGTCGGATTTAGTGGTCCTTACCGACGCATTCTTGAAAACCTGCACCCTTGCCTGTCCTCCTAGACCACAAGGAGGACCGACTGAGAAAAATCAGATTTAGTGGCCCTTACCAACGCATCCTCAAAAACCTGTTAAGAGTCCTAAGCATTCTCCTGTTAGTCTTGGGACTTTACCCCTGTCCTATAAAGATGTTATGCCCCAAAAATGAAGTGGAGGGCCACACCCTGAGGGAGGGAAGGGATCTCCAGGGTTGGAAGAGTGACACCTTTTGTCCTCACTTATATGAATAGGAAGGATACAATTTCTAAGGCTCCCCATATCCTAGCTTCAGGAATAGCTTTTGTTAGGCCTGTTAGTCTGAGGAGGGATCCTAAAATTCCAGGTAGTCCCCACTGTGACAGGGCTTTGGGCAAAAATTATGTCTTTCTGATTGGTGAGCCCAGGTGCCTAAAGAAGGTAACAGAGTCCTGGAGTTTATACTAGAAATCATTCTTATAGGAGAAACTAGAAAAGCACCAGAGACAGGTAGCAATTTTTAGAAGTGGGTCTAATTAGCCTCAGAGAAAAGAGGTGAGAGGAAGTTTGTCTGGCAGGCATTAGGACCCAGGGGGCAAGGGTCAGGATAGATACGATAGATGGGCAAGTCTCACTTGGGTGACATGCCTTTGAGAGTTCTGCCCATGGCCGCAGGGTCAACCAACTTGTTGTTGGGACCCCGGAGCTGCATGGCTTTCCTCTTTGTCGACCCTTGACTCAGTCCAGAAGTACAGGAAAAGCGGAAGCTGGTTCTAGGCAAACCAATGGTCCCAACTCCGAAGAGTCGGGGGTTGTTAGAGAGCCCTTTCCCAGAAAGCCTGACACCCGTGTCTTTACTCTGGCAGCTGCGCTAGTCACTTTTAACTGGCCAATAAGGTGCCCGGTATTTAGCCCCCGAATTCTAAGGAAAGACAGGACAGAATAGCAAGCGAAAGGGGTCCGATGGTACTCACTGCTTGCGGATAGGTGATGCTCTCACCGCTCAGCGATTGTCTCACCGCTTGGCAATGGGACTGGGCGCCGTGGAGCAGGGGGCGGCACTCATCGGGGAGGCTCGGGCCGCACAGGGGCCCATGGAGGGGGTGGGAGGCTCAGGCATGGCGGGCTGCAGGCCCGAGCCCTGCCCCGCGGGAAGGCAGCTAAGACCCGGTGAGAAATCAAGAGCAGTGCCGGTTGGCTGGCACTGCTGGGGGACCCAGTGCACCCCCCGCAGCCGCTGGCCCGGGTGCTAAGCCCCTCATTGCCTGGGGCCGGCAGGGCTGGCCGGCTGCTCCGAGTGCGGGGCCCGCCAAGCCCATGCCCACCCGGAACTCCAGCTGGCCCGCAAGCGTGGCACGCAGCCCTGGTTCCTGCTCGCGCCTCTCCCTCCACACCTCCCTGCAAGCTGAAGGAGTGGGCTCCGGCCTCGGCCAGCCCAGAAAGTGGCTCCCACAGTGCAGTGGTGGGCTGAAGGGCTCCTCAAGTGCTGCCAAAGTGGGAGCCCAGGCAGAGGAGGCGCTGAGAGCGAGCGAGGGCGGTAAGGACTGCCAGCACGCTGTCACCTCTCAGTAGTTCTGAACATTATTTTTTCCCCATAGGGTCAAAAGGCACCTAAGTATAAGATTGTAAGTGAAAAAATAAGGAACAGAAATGAGGTATTGGTGGTTTTTCCATTTTTATTTGCATGTGGATTTTCAATATAAATGTGGGACATAAAGCATTAATGCGGGTCAAAACATTTCAGTGAACAAGTTTTAGAAGTTCAACTTCATAACAATTATTTAATTTGTTCTTTTGATTTTTTTTTGTTTTTGTTTTTGAGACAGGGTCTCACTTTGTCGCTCAGGCTGGAGTGCAATGGTATGACCATGGCTCACTACAGCCTCAGCCTCCCAGGCTCAAGCGATCCTATCACCTCAGCCTCCCAAGCATCTGGTCTCATGCCACCATGTCTGGCTAATTTTTATTTTTTGTAGAGACAGGGTTTTGCCATGTTGCTCAGGATGGTCTCAAACTCCCGGGCTCAAGCAATCTGCCTGTCCTGGCCTCCCAAAGTGCTGGAATTACAAGCATAAACCACCATGCCTGGCCATAACAATTATAAATAAACCTGTTAAATTTTTCTGGATAATGCCTGCATTTGGATTTTTGGAAAATAAGTAAATTTCTTATTGACAGCAACTAAATGATGTTTGCAGCATTTTAATCATAGAGTAGGTTCCATCTGTTCACTCTACTTTTTTGAGTTGTCCTACATTCAAGCACGTTTTTAACGCTGTCTTTTTGCTGTTCCTGTTTGTTACTAAAATACATTAAACTATAAAATAAAAATAAGTGATCTTGTAAGTGACTTTTAAGGTCCTCCTACTTCCAAAACTCTGTATAATGAGTCTTCTCATACAGTTTTTTGAAGGCTCAGCATTCTTTGCTTTTATTCTCAAATTTATAAAAGAAAATTTAACAAAACTTTTACATTAAACATTCATTAATTCAAAATCTGAAATGGATTATTAATTCATATATTGGAGAGAATGAAAAAAGTTTTAAAACATTTTAAACATGTTATAGTGCTGGGAAGGGAACAGTGTGCCCTCCTTAAATGACACGGAAGTGGGGAGGTAAGTAATGGGTAGAGAAAGGTGCGTCCCTGACTAGGGCTCCACCCCAACAGACCTAGGTGAGGACAGGCACTCCTGCTTTCCCGTCCAAATGTTGCATTTCCAAGACCACCCGGACCCGCCATGTCCCCATCCTGGGCCTATAAAAACCCGAGACCCTAGCAGGCAGACACACAGGCGGCCAGACGTAAAGAGGAGCACATCGGCGGAAGAAAGTGGCTGGTCGTCGAGAGGAGCACGCCAGCAGAAGAGCACAACGATAGGCACCCGCACGCCGGCAGGCCGTCGACAGAACGACAACGACGCGGAGTTTGGCTGGGGCAGACGGAGGAGAGCCCTGGCCACCAAGCGGCCCAACTCCAGGAGAAAACCATCTCCCTTCTGGTTCCCCCATCTGCTGAGAGCTACTTCTACTAATAAACCTTGCACTCATTCTCCAAGCCCAGGTGTGAGCCGACTCTTCCCGTACACCAAGGCAGGAAACCCTGGGATACAGAAATCCCTCTGTCCTTGTGATAAGGAAGGGGGTCTAATTGAGCTAACACAAGCCGCCTATAGATGGCAAACTAAAAGAGCACCCTGTAACACACGCCCACTGCGGATTCAGGAGCTGTAAACATTCACTCCTAGACACTGTTGTGAGGTCGGAGCCCCACAGCCTACCTGTCTGTATGGTCCCCTAGAGGTCTGAGCAGCGGGGCACTTAAGAAGTGAGCCACACCCCGCATCACGCACCCTGTCAGGACAAGGGAACTTTTCCCATTTCATTATAAACCATATGATTGGTTAAATTTCAAATAAAAACTTTCCAAGCCTCTGTCACATGGTCTAAAAATATGAGATCCCTGAAAAACTGCCAGGAAAAATATTTCAATATGTGTATTCACGTGTACGTGCAAAAGAGGCCTTTAACTAGAAAACTCCTATTTTTTGTTGTCTATTTCTTCAAAATAAAAAAACCTTTTTACATAACATATGCTACATCTATGTTATACCTGAATTGTCTTGTTCTCCTACCTCTAATAAACCCTCTTTTTCTTCCCTATTAAGTTTTCTCAGTTAAATACTCAGCCAAATGTAAACACTACTATGTATGCCTGTGCAATAGTTGGGCTTATACAAGCAAACACTTCCTGAATGCAGAACAGACAGGGAACCTCTGTCTGTCTCATTGGAGCCTGGGATGTTTCTGTTTACAAATCCTGGAGCCAGGCGGGGGCCACTACTGGAGGCGTTCTGTCTGTTTCCTTGCTACACTCAGCTTTTGTCTGGGTCTGTGTCAAAGAAAGAACAACATTGTAACATGTGCAGCAAGCAGCAAAGGGAAGCTTAAATATAACACACTAGTGGTTATGTCAGCTCCTTAATCTTTTACCACTGTGTAGAAAGGCAAATTGGGGATTAGTTTTTGTAGTTTTCAAGCAATGTAGCTTTCATACAAGTAGAGAAAAACATTTAAATCCAAAACGATGTGATCAGTTAAGTGAATTCATTAGCAAAATAATCCAAATTGTTATGATATTGTTTCTGTACTATGATTTATTGTGGAGCTCAATGTTTTGAACAAATGTTTTTATAGGAAATAAACGTTGCTTTTAATTAATATGTTTGGAATGGCAGTAATCATAATCAGACTAATGTTTACATTTAATGCCCTAAAAAATTGAGAGGGGGCAGATTTCTTGTTTTTTCAAACAAGTAGTTAATACTGAATATGAAAGACTGGTTTAAATTTAACTTGTTAATCATTTTGAATAGATCTAGCTTGGAAGAAAAAGCAAAAAATAACAACAAAAAAAATAGCCCATACTTGGCTAATTGAATCAAGGCATTCGATGAGTGAATTATGAAAGAAACAGTGAAAAACTGAAGAAGAGAGAGAAATAACAGTCTAAAGTTAAATTCCACCCCCGCCAAAAGGTTAGAAAAGACATGAAAAAATGGGAAAAACATTCAGTGCCCCTCCTCCTTAACTTTTAGCTCCATAAGTATTTACAATTTTAATTTCTTTAGAGTGTATTTTAAATAGCTATTTTATGATTAGGAGAGACAATTTCAGCAATTTGTTTATTTTATTAAAGAATGAATTAAAACAGTTAATTATATTTGATTGGAATAAAATCATTAAATAAAAAATGGAAAGATCACATTTAAGTAAACAGACTAGGAATTTTAAAAATACAAGAAAAATAGAAGAATTAATTTGCAGACCATTGTACATCAAAACATTTCATCGAAGAATAAAGAAAACACCATTAAATATGCTCTCAAAGTATTTTTGGTATAATTCTACTTTAATTACCTCTATTGTACTAAGATTGTACTTTTTAGATATGATAGAACAGAGTCTGTTACTCTATACAACTTTAAAAAAAAAGTATTTAATGATTCTTAGAAAACACCAATAACCTAATTGAGTAAGAAATGTCCATTTAAGCCTAAAGTTACCACTAGAAAAATGGAAACCTAGTCACTATAATAGTCATTATTTAAAACAAAACAAATTAAAAATAAAATTCACAATACAGAAAATTCACGAGACTCACAATATAGAACTAAACCAAAGACTATGTCACTCAAAGATCCCTCGTCAATTTTCCTAACTGCTCTACAAAATGACAGTTCTAAATTCAGAATCCATACTCAAGAACTGTTTTCAGAAAATGACCATGAACTAATTTGACTATCAAAGTGAAAGCTGTATCTTCCAGTTATTTACTGATTGAACAACAAAATATGAATCACATCAGCAGGCAACTCCCTCAATTCATTTTATGTTATTTTAATTATCATAGTAACCTTTGCTCTCTTATAAGGAAAACAAGATAGATATTTGGAGAAAAACAAATAACTTTTTTTCCCCATTAAATTTCTCCTGGTCTGTTTCCTAGTTGTTTCCCTTGCTCTAGCTTTCCCACTTCGCACACTGATTTCCTTTTTGTTTTTTTTTTTGGTTTTTTTTTTTTTTTTTTTTTTTGAGACAGAGCTTCGCTATTGTCGCCCAGGCTAGAGTGCAATGGCGGGATCTCTGTTTACTGCAACCTCTGCCTCCTGGGTTCAAGTGATTCTCCTGCCTCAGCCTCCCAAGTAGCTGGGATTAGAGGTGCCTGCCACCACACCTGGCTAATTTTTGTACTTTTAGTAGAGAAGGGGTTTTGCTATGTTGGCCAGGCTGGTCTCGAACTCCTGGTCTCAAGTGATCTGCCTGCGTAGGCCTACCAAAGTGCTGGGATTACAAGCGTGAGTCACCACTTGTAACCGCCCATCCTGACTTCCATTTTTTAAACCTTACAAAATATAACCCACAAAATTATATACATTTTCGTGTATAATGTATAAGCATTATACACGAAAATGTTTATAATACAAAATGCAGAGCTTGGTGAATCATGATGAAGCAAACACTTATGTAACTAGCACCAAGGCCACAAAATACAACACCAAGGGTCCCAAAAGTCTCCTACCTGCTCCTACCTGTTCCTAACATCCTTCCTCTGCCCCAGAAATAGTCACTATTCTGACTTCTGTGGTAATCATTTCCTTGCTTTTCTTAATAGTATTACTATCACTGAATGCTGAGTTTTTTTGCCTATTTCTGAATTTTATATAAATGGAATTTTTGTGCCTTGCTTCTTCAGTTCAGTAATATGTTTTGAAGATTTAACCATGGTGTTTGTATGTAGCTGAAAATAATTCAGGGCTGTTTTTCTATGTAACAAATGTAGCTACTTTTCCTTGTAAGGAGCCTGGGGACTATAATGACAATAAAAAGAACATTGTGTGTAATTCCTTTTACATTCCACAAATGTATACATTTGATTTTTTAGTTATATTTAGGACTTTAATTTTGTTGCTAAGAGAAGAATTTTAAATGAAGCAGACAAATAGGCTGTACATCCTCTAGTTGTTTCTCTTTTGGCACTAGAGGCAGTAGTCAGCAATAAGGCAGGCCAGAGTTAGTAAAAGATGCACCTGGCCAGGCGTGGTGCCTCATGCCTGTAATTCCAGCACTTTGAGAGGCTGAGGCGGGTGGATCTCCTGACCTGACCAATATCATGAAACCTGGTCTCCGCTAAAAATACAAAAATTAGCTGGGTGTAGTGGTGGGTGCCTGTAATCCCAGCTACTCTGGAGGCTGAGACAAGAGAATTGCTTGAACCCGGGAGGCGGAGGTTGCAGTGAGCCGAGATCGTGCCACTGTACTTCAGCCTGGGGGACAGAGTGAAACTCCATCTCAAAAAAAAATAAAAAATAAAAAAAGAGACGTACTTAGGGAAGGAACAGAATAGACAGAAAAGCTTGGGAATAAAGAGGTAGGGTGGGCTCGGAGCAGTGGCTCATGACCGCAATCTCAGTACTTTGGGAGCCCAAGGCGGGAGGATCACTTAAGCCCAGCAGTTCAAGACCAGCCTAGACAACCTGCCAAGACCCCATCTCTACAAACAATTAAAAGATTAGCCGGGTGTAGTGGCGCATCTGTGTAGTCCCAGCTACTCAGCAGGCTGAGGTGGGAGGACTGCTTGAGCCCAGGAGTTCCAGACCAGCCTGGGCAACATGGCGAGACCCCATCTCTACCAAAAATACAAAAATTAGCCGGGCATAGTGGTGCATGCCTGTAATCCCAGCTACTCGGGTAGGAGAATCAATTGAACCTGGGAAGCTGAGGTTGCAGTGAGTCAAAATTGTGCCACTGCACTCCAGCCTGGGCAAGAAGAAGACTCTGTCTCCAAAAACAAAAAACAAAAAACAAAACAAAAAACAAAAACAAAAAAACATTGCTCAGATCCTACAAACCATACTCCTTATATAGTGAGAGTAAGGAAGTAACAATATCAAGGGCACTGATGACCCTAAGGGGAGTTTAGATTAATTGTTGCTGGTACTTGATCTCTAAAACAGACACTTCTTTTCCCTAATCCTACTCTTTACCCTTCCTATTCTTTTATGTTCTCTTCTTTCTCCCTGTACATATTTCTGTCTGCAAACCTGTCTCAGAGGCATTCACATGTCCTGCTTAGAAGCACTGGAGAAATTCTGGCATATGCAGGAAGTTCTATTTTTAATCCAACTCTATCTTGGTTTTAAAACAAAATAAAACAAAAACAGACAAAAGTAAAAGCTAGCAGAGTGAGAAAAGTATTTTTTATTTATATCATTGTGGGTACATTTTGGATGTCCATTCTTACATGCAAAGAACTTATTTTCATTTTCAAGGAAATGAATGTATACCATACACAAAAAATAAGTGGTACTAAATGTATAGGTTCCAATACATACTTGTGTGTGTGCATTTGTGTATATATACATATCTTTGAGTAGCTATATATTTAGTACAACCTCGTGTGTGTGTGTGTGTGTACATACCTTTTGACTTTAGAAGGTAACTCTCTTTACTTCCTAAAATTGTCACTTCCCTATAATGAAAATATATCCACCTTCTGCCACGGCCTCGTGATAGATGGAGTGTACCTCCTTGCCCCTTGACTTTGAATCTGGCCACATAACTTGATCAGACCAATGAGAAGCTGACAAATATAAGGCGAGCAGAAATCTAAAATATGCTTGGGTAGCTGCGTTTGCACTTCTTATGAGCAGGCAATCCACTATTGATAGAAGCTTGAGTAAATGTTGCCCCTTGATCGTGGGTCCCAGACAAAAAGATATGAATTGATCCTGAAGCCTGAAGCTGAGTCCTGCCTAGATCAGCCAAAATCCAGCTGTTCTACAAACCTATGATTATGAGAATAAATGCTTGTTGTTAAAGCCACTGAGCTTAGGGGTGGCTTGCTGATGAAGTATTATCAGCAACAGCTGACTGATATATTAGTATGCCTACTACTGCCCATGTAACATCTTACGTAGGTGTGTGTCAACATATAAAACTTTCAATTTTCTAAAAATTCTGTCCATGTTTTTCTCACAATTGTAGACAAAATTTTATCCAAACAAAGGAGTCTGTAAGTAATGCCCAGAATCCCACTACTAACTATAAAATGAATTTTTAACACTGTTAAAATTAATCATGTTTGTTTATTTAAAACACAGCACTTCAGTTGTTTTGTGGGGTAAGATATGTAATATTCCTAAAGATCAACATTTATTTACCACTTGTGAGATGTATAAACCTTAAACTACAACTTTAAATCTACTTCTATCTTCAGCACCTTCTTCTTAGTCCAATTATATTCTAACTTTCTCTCTAGGTTATATAGGAATTCCATCTATTGTGACTTAAATTAATCACCACTGTCTTTACTTTTATAATTGTCTTATTCCTTGCTTTTCGTTCCCTTAACTTTGTTTTTCTTTTTTCATATCTCCATTTACTTTAAAATCTGAAAAACAGTACACAAAATGGTACAAAAGAACAACAAAGGCCGGGCGTGGTGGCTCACGCCTGTAATCCCAGCACTTTGGGAAGCCAAGGAGGGTGGATCGCCTGATGTCAGGAGTTTGAGACCAGCCTGGTCAATATGGTGAAACCCCATCTCTACTTAAAATACAAAAAATTAGCTGGGTGTAATGGCAGCCACCTGTAATACCAGCTACTCGGGAGGCTGAGGCAGGAGAATCACTTGAACCCAGGAGGCAGAGGTTGCAGTGAGCTGAGATTGTGCCGTTGCATTCCAGCCTGGGCGACAAGAGCAAAACTCCACCTCAAAAAAAAAAAAAAAAAGTAACAAAAAGACAGATACCTTATGATTCCACTTATATGAGGTATCTCAAGTAGTAAAATTCATCAGACACAAAGTGGAATGGTAATTGCCAAGGGTTGGGAGCAGGGGAGATTGGTGAGTTGTTTAATGGGTATAGAGTTTCAGTTTTGCAAGACAAAAAGAGTTCTGGAGGTTGGTTACACAATAATGTGAATGTGCTTAATGCTACTAAACTGTGCACTTAAAAATTACTATGAGAGTAAATTTTATATTTTTAAAAATGGTTAAACTCTGTGCATGCTGGCTCACACCTGTAATTCTAGCACTTTGGGAGGCCGAGGCAGGAGGATTGCTTGAAGCCAGGAGCTTGAGACCATCCTGAGGAACACAGCAAGACCCTGTCTCTACAAAACATTAAAAAAAAGATTCTAGCTACTAGGGAGGCTGAAGTGGGAGGATCACTTGAGCCCAGGAGTTTGAGGCTGCTGTGAGCTATGATCATGCCACCGCACTCCAGCCTGGGAGACAGAGTGAGAACCTGACTCTGTTTTTTTGTTTTTTTGTTTAAAAAGGTTAAGACAGTAAATTTCACATTTTAAAAAACAGTCTAAGGGTGGTTCTCACCTTTTTCAAAAGATGTTTTATTTTTAAAATATTAAGAATATACATATAAACACCTGAACTCACACAATTTTCAGTATTTATAAAATGCTTTATAATACTGTCAGCACTTATGTCATAATATTGTAATTATTGGCATAATTACAATATTCCAATCTACCCATATTCCTTCCTGACATATTCACCTTTATACCCTCAACAGGAGTTCACGGATAGGGATAATAAAGAGAATGAGAAACAAAATCGTATTCACCTCTTTATTGCCAATATTTGAAAGTGGCTTGCATGCATAGTGTGTATTCAATACCTGTTGAATGAATGAATGGATACATGAATAAATACATGATGGGGAGCACTAATGACAAGATTATACTGGAAATAGGCTGGGCGCAGTGGCATGCGGAGGCTCACGCCTGCAATCCCAGCACTTTGGAAGGGTGAGGCATGCTAATCACCTGAGGTCAAAAGTTCAAGACCAGCCTGGCCAAAATAGCGAAACCCAATCTCTCCTAAAATTACAAAAATTGGCCGGGTGTTGGTGGTGCACCCCTATAGTAAAAAAATCTTGAGGGTGGGGCCAACAATCTGTTTTCAAGGGCCTCCAAACTGATACTGATTAATGCTAAAGTTTGAGGATCATTATTCAAGTGCTCTCAACAATTCTGCAATCATTTTAATAATTTGCTGTCCTTTCTTACATAAACTAGCTAGGTGGTATTTTCTTCGAGGAAACTGAACCCAGACCAGTTCAGAAAAATACAAAAAGTATAACTTGATTGTGGTGCAATACAGGCAAAGTAAACCCTTCAGAATAGAACACTTGACTTTATAGCAGTGTTCTGGCGTTTGCATTGATTTGTGATAGAGAAGCAGCCTCAAATATTATCCTCTACGTTTTTATCTTATTGATTTTTTAACTGTAATTCAAGTTTCATGGAAATCTGATCATTATTTATTAGTGATATAAAGACAAACTACTTACTATTCCAGGAAAATTATTATGTTCAAATTCTTGTTAGTATTAACTCTGATGTATGAATCTGATTCATTATACAGAATTCTCAATTTTCAGTCTACAAATTCATTAGAAGTGCCCAACCTGGGGTCTTCTTTAGCCATTAAGTTCCTAGATGACTATTATAAAACAGACTAAGTTACTTTCAGTGTTAGAAAAAAAAACCTCTTGAAAATCAAACTTATTTATGCATAATAAAGCTTCATAGGCTTACATATGCCAGGTGTCTTTGCTTAAGTAAAATTTTATTTTCAGAACATAATTAAAAAATAGTTTGCTATCATGCGGATAAAAAGCTCTATTAGGCAGGCATTTTTTTATTAATAAAAATGGGGAAATCAATTATAATAAGTATAATTTGTACAGCATAATTTCTTTCAAAATATAAGACCCATGAGAATACACAGCTCACTGTAGCCTCCATCTCCCTGGGGCTCAGGTGATCCTCCCACCTCAGACTCCTGAGTGGCTGGCACTACAGGCGTGCACCACCACACCCAGCTAATTTTTTTAAAAATTTCTTGTAGAGGCAGGGTCTCACTATATTGCCTAGGCTGATCCTGAACTCCTGGACTCAAGCAATTCTCCTGCCTTGGCTTGCCAAAGTGCTGGGATTATAGGTGTAAACCACCATGCCCAGTCTTAAAGTTCTTTATTCTAAGTAGAATGGTCCATATAATTCATTCTGAAGATGAATAAAAATTGAAATAAGACTACGAACATGTGCAATAAGCCTTTAATGTGTCTTTTTTTTTTTTTTTGGAGACAGTCTTGCTCTATTGCCCAGGTGCAGTGATGCGATCTCGGCTCACTGCCAACTCCACCTCCCAAGTTCAAGCAATTCTTGTGCTGTAGCCGCCTGAGTAGCTGGGACTACAGGCGTGCACCACCAGGCAGGCTAAGTTTTTTTGTATTTTTTAGTAGGGATGGGGTTTCGCCATGTTGGCCAGGCTGGTCTCAAACTCCTGGCCTCAAGTGATCCGCTTGCCTTGCCCCACCAAAGTGCTGGGATTACAAGCGTGAGCCACCCTGCCCGGCCTGTCTCATTATTTTGCTATTTCAAAATAATACAAATATTTCAGAACTCATGTTGATAGGTAAGTAGACAATTTCAAAAGAGAGACACTAATTCTGTGTCTGTTTTCTACTTTTCTGTATGACATTATGCCTTCCATTAGCATGGAGAAGTAAGGCAATATATGTTCTAAATATCCTTTCTTTCTTAAGACAAGCATTCCTCCTCCTGCTGGGAAAGGGATGTGAAAGTGTATGGGGGCATTTTTTTTAATTGTCATATTAGGGTTAGAGGGCTATTGGCATTAATGAGTGTAGACCAGGAACTTTAAAATCCTTCAATGCTTGGGATGGTCTGGTACAACTGATGTTTTATCCTAAAGGCCAATGGCAGTTCTTTAGAGAACTGCCCTTGCCCTCACCCTAGGCACTAAGCCCTCACTTAGCAATTAAGGATCTTGAGATCATCCTGCATATGGTGGTTCCTGAATTCAAGGACAGATGTCCTTATAAGATAAAGGCAAAGGGGCTGGGTGCCCTGGCTCATGCCCGTAATCTCAGCACTTTGGGAGGCCCAGGCGGGCGAATCACTTGAGGTCAGGAGTTTGAGACCAGCCTGGTCAACATGGTGAAAGCCCAACTCTACCAAAAATACAAAATAAGCAGGCATGGTCGTGTGCAACTGTAGTCCCAGCTACTCAGGAGGCTGAGGCAGAAGAATCCGTTGAACCCGGGAGGCAGAGGCTGTAGTGAGCTGAGATCACACCACTACACTCCAGCCTGGGTGACAGAGTGAGACTCTGTCTCAAAAAAAAAAAAAAAAAAAGATAAAGGCAAAGGGAGATTTGAGACACATAGAGATGAAGGCCATGTGAAGGCAGAAGCAGAGATTAGAATTACGCAGCTACAAACCGAGGAACACCAATGATTTACTGAAACCTGTCAAAGCTAGGAGATCTCAAGGCATGTAACAGATTCTCCTTTACAGCCTCCAGAAGGAACCAACTCAGCCAATACCTTGGCTTTAGACTGCTGGCCTCCAAAGCTGTCCAAGAACAAATTTCTGTTATTTTTAGTCACCCTATTTGTGATAATTTATTATGGCAACCCTACAAAAAAAAGTTTCAGGTAAAAACCAGTCATACTTAGGATCACTAAACACATCTTAAAGTTCTATAATTAAAAAACAGAGGCATTAATTACCATTTATATTATTCAAAAATAATTAGAAACTATTAGGGCATTGGCTGGGCGCAGTGGCTCATGTCTGTAATCCCAGCACTTTGGGAGGCCGAGTCGGGAGGATTGCTTGAGCCCAGGAGTTCGAAACAAGCCTGGGTGAAAGAGTGAGACCTCATCTCTATTTTTTTTCTTCTTTCTTTCTTTTTTTTTTTTTTTTTTTTGAGACGGAGTCTCACTCTGTCGCCCAGGCTGGAGTGCAGTGGCACGATTTCGGCTCACTGCAAGCTCCACCTCCCAGGTTCATGCCGTTCTTCTGCCTCAGCCTCCCGAGTAGCTGGGACTACAGGCAACCGCCACCACGCCTGGCTAATTTTTTGCATTTTTTTTAGTAGAGACGGGGTTTCACCGTGTTAGCCAGGACGGTCTCGATCTCCAGACCTCGTGATCCACCTGCCTCGGCCTCCCAAAGTGCTGGGATTACAGGCGTGAGCCACCGCGCCCAGCCTTTTTCTTTTTTGAGACAGAGTCTCGCTGTGTCGCCCAGGCTGGAGTGCAGTGGCGCGATCTCGGCTCACTGCAACCTCCGCCTCCCAGGTTCACGCCATTCTCCTGCCTCAGCCTCCCCAGCAGCTGGGACTACAGGCGCCTGCCACCAAGCCCGCTAATTTTTTGTATTTTTAGTAGAGACAGCGTTTCACTGTGTTAGCCAGGATGGTCTCGATCTCCTGACCTCATGATCCACCCGCCTCGGCCTCCCAAAGTGCTGGGATTACAGGCGTAAGCCACCGCGCCCGGCCTTATTTTTTTTCGGAAGGAAGGAAAGAAGGAAGGGAGGGAGGGAGGGAAGGAAGGAAGGAAATATTAGACACTGACACTGAACAGCATATTATAACACAAAGCCTTGATTTTTAAACAACAGACAAGTATTGGGGGAACAACCAAAGTGATGTGTTTAGAATATCTGTGCTGTTTAAAGTAGTTCCTGTAACAGTTGAAAATGAGAAATACAGATGCTTCCCGACTTAAAATTTTTTGACTTTACCATAGCTTAAAAGCAATGTATAGAAATCTTACTTCAAATTTTTATCATCTTCTGGGTTAGTTATATAGAGTAAGATACTCTCTCATGATGCCTGAGTGCAGTCACACCTCACTGCAGCCTCAAACTCCTAGGCTTAAGTGATCCAACTGCCTCAGCTTCTGGAGTAGCTAGGACTATAGGTGTGCACCACTATGCCCAGCTAACTTTTCTTTTTATTTTTCAGAGACAAGGTCTCACTATATTACCCAGGCTGGTCTCAAGTTCCTGGCATCAAATGATTTTCCCACCTCAGCCTCCTGAAGTATTGGGATTACAGGCATGAGCCACTGTACCCGGTCAAAAGAACACATTCCTGAGTAACAAGTTCCAATACCAAATAAAGAATTACCTCTTGCAGGCAGCAAAAGAATAGATAAATTGAACTACATCCAAAGTAAAAACTTTGGGCTGGGCGTGGTGGCTCATGCCTATAATAGATCCCAGCACTTTGGGAGGCCTAGGTGGGCGGATCACTGAGGTCAGGGAGTTCCATACCAGCCTAGCCAACATGGCAAAACCCCATCGCTACCAAAAATACAAAAATTAGCCAGATGTGGTAGCACACACCTGTAATCCCAGCTACTTGGGAGGCTGAGGCAGGAGAATGGCTTGAACCTGGGCGGGTAGGCGGGGTGGGGGGCGGAGATTGCAGTGAGCTGAGATGACACCATTGCACTCCAGCCTGGGCAACAGAGTGAGACTCCATCTCAAAAAAAAAACAAAAACAAAAAAACAAAAACCAACCAACAAACAAAAACAAAAATAAAAACTTGCACATTATGGATACAATCAAAAGAGTGAAACGGCAAGCTATGGGAGAAAATATTTGCAAATCATATATCTGATAAGTGGTTAATATCCAAAATATATAAAGAACTCCTACAACTTAACAACATAAAACAAATGACCCAATTAAAAAATGGGCAAAGGACCTGAATAGGTATTTTTCCAAATGGCCAACAAGCACATAAAAAGATGCTCAATATCTCCAATCATTAGGGAAATATAAAACAAAACCACAATGACATTCCACCTCACACCCATTAGGACAGCGACTATTTAAAAAAAATAACAAGTGACGGCAAGAAGGTGAAGAAACTGGAACCCTTGTAGGTTCTCAAAAAATTAAAACTAGGCCAGGCGTAGTGGTTCACGCCGCACTTTGGGAGGCTGAGGTGGGAGGATTACTTGAAGCTGAATGTTCACGACCAGCCTGACAACATAGTAAGATCCTATCTCTAAAATAAAATTTAAAAATTAGCCAGGTAGCAGCCGGGTGTGGTGGCTCATGCCTGTAATCCCAGCACTTTGAGAGGCCGAGGCAGGTGAATCACAAGGTCAGGAGTTTGCAACCAGCCTGGCTAACATGGTGATACCCTGTCTCTACTAAAAATACAAAAAAATTAGCTGGACATAGTGGCGGGTGCCTGTAATCCTAGCTACTCAGTAGGCTGAGGCAGGAGAATCGCTTGAACCTGGGAGGCGGAGGTTGCAGTGAGCCGAGATCGTGCCACTGTACTCCAGCCTGGGCGACACAGTGAGACTCCGTCTCAAAAAAAAAAAAAAAATTAGACAGGCATGGGGTCATGTGCCTGTAATCCTAGCTACCCGGGAGGCTGAGGCAGGAGGATCATTTGAGCCCAGGAGTTCAAGGTTACAGTGAGCTATGATCGTGCCACTGCACTCCAGTCTAGGCAACAAAGCAAGACCCTGTCTCTTAAAAAAAATTAAAAATAGCATTTTTATCACATGATTCTGCAATTCTATTTCTTGGTATACATCCAAAAGAATTGAAAGCAGGGTCTCAAAGAGATATTTGTATACCTACATTCATTGGAGCTTTATTCATAATAGCCAAGAGGTAGAAGTAACTCAAGTGTCCACGATGGATGAATGGATGAATAAATGTAGTATTTACGTAAAATGGAATATTATTCAGCCTTCAAAAAAATTCTAACACATGCTACAAGATGGATGAACCTTCATGACACTATGCTAAGTGAAATGAGCTAGTTGCAAAAAGACAAATATGATATGATTCTACTTATATGATATACTTAGAGTAGTCAAATTCATAGAGACAGAAAGTAGAGGGTGGCTGGAGGGCCTGAGAAGAAGGGGTAATAGTGAGTTGTTATTTAATGGGTATAGAGTTTCAGTACTTGAAGGTGAAGAGTTCTGGAGATTGGTCGTACGACAATAGGAACTATACTGAACTGTACACTTAAAAATGGTAAGACGATAAATTTCACATTTTGTGTATTTTACCACAGCTAAAATTTTTACAAAATAATTTATTGTAACGTACATACACTACATGCAGCTGTCTTGACTAAGACAGAAAACACTGCTCTGAAAAATAATTAGGAATAAATTTAACAAAAGAACTGTAAGGCTTGTACACTGAGTAAACTATAAAACATTGTTGAAATAAATGAAATAAGGTCTAAATAAATGGAAAGATATCGTGTTCATGAATTAAGAGACTTTCTATTGTTAATATAGCAATACTCCCCAAACTGCCTATCAAAATCCCAGTTGTCTTTTTTCAGATATGGAAAACTGATCACAATTCATATGGAAATGCAAGGAACCCAAAACAGCCATAATAATCTTGAAAAAGAAAAACAGGCCAGGCACGGTGTCTCTCGCCTGTAATCCCAGCACTTTGGGAGGCTGAGGCAGGCGGATCAGCTGAGTCAGGAGTTCGAGACCAGCCATGGCCAACATGGTGAAACCCTGTCTCTACTAAAAATACAAAAATTAGCTGGGCATGGTAGTGCAAGCCTGTAATCCCAGCTACTCGGGAGGCTGAGGCAGGAGAATTGCTTGAACCTGGGAGGCGGAGGTTGCAGTGAGCTGAGATCACACCATTGGACTCCAGTGTGGGCAACAAGAGTGAAACTCCATCTCAAGAGAAGAGAAGAGAAGAGAAGAGAAAAGAGAAGAGAAAGAAAAAGAAGAACAAAGTTGGAGAACTCAGCTTTCTCTATTTTAAAACTAATTACAAAGCAATAGTTATCAAGACAGTGTGGTCCTGGCATAAGGATCAATGGATCCTTGACATATTGATGAATGGAATAGAATTAAGAGTTCAGAAATACACCTTTGCACTTACGGTCAATTGATTTTTTTTTTTTTTTTTTTTTTTTTTTAGACGGAGTCTCGGTCTGTCGCCCAGGCTGGAGTGCAGTGGCACGATCTCGGCTCACTGCAACCTCCACCTCCCAGATTCATGCCATTCTCCTGCCTCAGCCTCCTGAGTAGCTAGGACTATAGGCACATGCCACCACGCCTGGCTAATTTTTTTGTATCTTTTAGTAGAGATGGGGTTTCACCGTGTCAGCCAGGATGGTCTTGATCTCCTGACCTCATGATCCACCCGCCTCGGCCTCCCAAAGTGCTGGGATTACAGGCATGAGCCACCGTGCCCGGCCTGTCAATTGATTTTTGACAAGGATACCAAGACTTTTCAATTGGGAAAAATAATATTTTCCACAAAAGATACTGGAAAACTGGATATCAAACAAAAGAATGAAGTTGGACTCCCTACCTCATGCCATATACAAAAATTAACTCAAAATGGATCACAGACCTAAATGTAAGAGCTAAAACTATAAAACCCCAAGAAAAAAACACAACAGCAAACCTTTGTGACTGTGTATTAGAAAATGGTTTCAGGTTGGGCGTGGTGGCTCACACCTGTATTCCCAGGACTTTGGGAGGCCGAGGCAGGCAGATCACCTGAGGTCAGGAGTTTGAGACCAGCCTGCCCAACATGGCAAAACCCCATCTCTACTAAAAATACAAATGCTAGGCATGGTGGCAAACACCTGTAATCCCAGCTACTCGGGAGGCTGAGACAGGAGAATAGCGTGAACCCAAGAGGTGGAGGTTGCAGTGAGCTGACATCGCACCACTGCACTCCAGCCTGGGCGACAGAGTGAGGCTCCATTTAAAAGAAAAAAAAGAAAAAGAAAAAGAAAATGGTTTCAGAGTGACAAAATAAAAAAAGATAAATTAGACTTCATTAAAAATGTCAAAACTATGTACCTCAAAGAATACCACCAACTAAGTAAAATGACAAGCCAAAGAATGAGACTTGTATCTACTATGTAAAAAGAACTTTTACAACTCAACAATAAAAAGACAAATATGCACAATTTTTATATGGGCAATGGGTTTGAATTAACATTTTACCAAATAAAATATACAATGTTTAAGAAGCACAGGAAAAGATGCTCATCACCATTATTCATTACGGAAATGAAAACCAAAACCATAATGAGATATTACATCATACACATTAGGATGACTATAACCAAAAAGAAACTGGTCACTATTTTCAAGTAGAGAAAGGTTAAAAAATTGGAAATGAAAAGAAAATAATTGAAAGTTGGGAGGAAAGAATAAAAGCTGCCAAAGGTTAAAACACAGTAGTGCTTATTACTGCACACCCCATCTCAAGCATGTGTTTGGAGGTTTTAATGTGTAAATACAAATACTTAACTGTATTATGTGCCACTCTGGTGGGAATGTTGATAATGGGGGAGGCTATGCATGTGTGGGAGCAGAGGGGAGATAACGGGAATTCTCTTCTTTCCTCTCAATTTTGCTATCAACCTAAACTGCTCTACTTTTTTTTATTAAAAAAATTTTATTATCTCACAGTTTCTATGGGAATCTACATACTGTTTATATAAGTGCTCTGCCAGGATCTTTTACAAGACTGTAATCAGGGTGTAGGCTGGTGCCATAGTCATCTCAAGACTCAACTAAGACAGTATCTATCGCTGAGCTCACTCAATAGCTGTTGGCAGGGTTCACAAATTGTTGGACTATGGGCCTCAGTTCCTTGCTGGGTATTGGCAAGTTAGCTGACCTCAGTTCTTTGTCAAGTGGCCCTCTTCAACAGAGCAAGCACAAAAGAAGAGCCAGAGAGAACACATCAGCAAAATAACAGTCATGGTCTTTTAAAACCTAATTACAGAAGTGATATACCATCACTTTTGTCTAATTTGTTAAAATCAAGTTATTAAGTCTAGCTCACATTCAGAAGGACAGGATTACACAAGGGTGAGAATACCAGGAGGCAGGGATCATTGGGAACCATGTCAGAAGCTGCCTACCACAATATATACACTTTTGATTTTTTTCTTCTTTTTTATTTTTATTTATGGTTTGAGACAGGGTCTCGGTCTGTCACCCAGGCTGGAGTGCAGTGGTGTAATCATGGCTCACTGCAGCCTCGACTTCCTGGGCTCAGGTAATTCTCCCATCTCAGCCTCTCAAATAGCTGAGACTACAACATGCACCACCACAACTGGCTAATCTTTTTGTTCTTTCATTTCGTTTTGTTTTTGTAGAGACGGGGTTTTGCTATGTTGCCCAAGTTACTATTGAAACTGCTGGGCTCAAGTGATCCACCAACTTCAGGCTCTCAAAATGCTGGGATTACAGGTGTGAGCTGCCATGCCTGGCCCTTCTTAGAGCGGTCTTGCTTTGTTGCCCCACCTGGAGTGCAGTAGAGTGATCATAGCTCAGTGTAGCCTTAAACTCCTGGGCTCAAATGATCCTCCCACCTCAGCCTTCCAAACAGTTGGGACTACTTTGGAAGTACGGGCACATGCCACCATGCCCTGTTAACTTAAAAAGAGCCTCAAGTCACAACGTTCTGTCAACCCATTCCAAATACATAGCCTTCTTTTATGTTTTTCTGTTTAAAGACAACTTATTTAACATACTGTATATGGTTGTATATGGTTGACTCATTGACACTTAACTCATGGCCAACAGCACTATAACTCATGCCTGAATGAATTTTACCTCACACACGTATTTCTCCTGAAGGTGTATCACAGCCTTCTTGTTCTTTGGAATACTAGACAGCACTTTGGCACCACTCTTGCAGGCCATTTCAAACCACAAAAGCAACAAAAAGCATAAAAATGCAAAAGAATACCACTAAATAGACTGAAAAAGATACTTGTTTACAGTATGACAACTGAAACAAGAAGGCAGAGCATAGCCTTCTTCAACCTAAGCTAGGAACGTGCACCTTGGGTGACTTGAATTTTTTGCCACTCTGTGCATGTCTAGGAATAACCATGAAAGCACTGTGAATATTGGTTTTGGGGTTACAAATACATTTTAGCAAGTAAAAGGGGGGCAAAACGGAATTCAGGAACAATGAGGATCCACTGCCTCTTACTTATTGCTAAACACTTTTACAAATATACAATTGGAGGAAAAAAGGCAGAATATCTGGTTTTTCAGGAACAACTTCCTATAGCTTTTATTATTTATTTATTTATTTATTTTGGAGATGGAGTCTCACTCTGTCGCCCAGGCTGGAGTGCAGTGGGGTGAATTCAGCTCACTGCAACCTCCGCCTCTTAGGTTCAAGCTATTCTCTTGCCTCAGTCTCCCAAGTAGCTGGGACTACAGTCACCTGCCACCATGCCCAGCTAATTTTTGTATTTTCAGTAGAGGTGGGTTTCATCATATTGGCCAGGCTGGTCTCAAACTCCTGACCTTGTGATCCGCCCGCCTTGGCCTCCCAAAGTGCTGGGATTACAGGTGTGAGCCACCGCTCCCGGCTTAGCTTTTATTTTTTTTCTGTGTATGAAAGATGCAGGAAATAGTATGTGTTCTGTTTCTCAAGTATAAGGACATAGGAAACAACAAATATCATAGGAAACTCAATAACAATCCTTCAAATTAAAAAAAAAATCACAGAATATAGGCTTTCATACATAATAAATAAAAATTAGCAGAAAAGTATCCTTTATGGTAAAAGGAAAATGATATGGGGGAGGATGTTTGTAATAGTTTCTAAAATGACTTAAAGACAGTTATTTCCTAAGAAAGTAACTGTTATTTATTGAATGTCTTCTCTATGTGGGCACTTTAGTGTATTATCTTGTTTAATCTAAACACCCACATAAATTGGATACTATTATTTTGCATATGAAGTAATTGATGCACAGAGGCTAAATAATCTGCTCAAGGTTATGTTTAGCAAGTTTAACAGCAAGGTTTTTAACCCAGGCACTACGACTGATGACCTATGCTCTTAATCATTACACTATATAACATTCCAAACAATCAAGTGAAACCTTATGCTTCTCTCCCTCAAATTATCCTTTTTTTTTTTTTTTTGGCAGTTGATTAAGCTAATTTCATATTACAGCTAATACAAAATGTGTTGTTTTTAATGAGACATTTTGAGAAGTGCTCAAAACAGTATATTGAAGTTGTCCGTGTATTCTTAGTCAAAGTTGTGTCTGTTCAACTATTATTTAACTTATTTTATTTATTTTTTTTGAGTCTCGCTCTGCATCCCAGGCTGGAGTGCAATGGCGCAATCTCAGCTCACTGCAACTTCCGCCTCCCGGGTTCCAGCAATTCTCCTGCCTCAGCCTCCCAAGTAACCGGGATTACAGGCGCATGCCACCACACCCAGCTAATTATTTTGTATTTTAGTAGAGACGGGTTTCATTGTGTTACCAAGGCTGGTCTCCAACTCCTGAACTCAGGCAATCCACCCGCCTCGGCCTCCCCAAGTGCTAGGATTACAGGCATGAGCCACCGCACCCAGCCTATTTAACATTATTTTAAAGATGCTTGTTACTCAAATCATGGCTAGTCTCATCTTGGTTTTGAATGTATTTTAAATGTTTCCATGTATCTATGACTCTATTATAGTACGTCTGTATCTGAAACCACTAAATAATTATTAGATGGGTAATTAGTTTTTGCATATGAAAATACGCAGAAAATGCTCAGTAATCAGAGAGCACATTATAAGGAAATGAGACACAGTTAAGGCAGGAAGAGAGGGACACATGGAATTGGAAATCCTAAAAAGACAATAAAAATTGCAGTTGTTGAAATAAAGACATGGAAATTATTTCATAGTCTGCAACCAATTCTGTCTAGTATTTCAGAAGATATTTATTAAACACTGGTCAATTCCACCATACATGCTTGGGACTTAGATTTTTTTTTTTTTTTTTTTTTTTTTTTAACCTTGAGACAGAGTTTCACTCTTGTTGCCCAGGCTGGAGTGCAATGCTGCAATCTTGGCTCACTGCAACCTCCGCCTCCCAGGTTCAAGCGATTCTCCTGCCTTGGCCTCCCAAGTGGCTGAGATTACAGGCATGTGCCACCACGCCCGGCTAATTTTGCATTTTTTTTTAGTAGAGACGGGGTTTCTCCATGTTGATCAGTCTGGTCTCAAACTCCTGACCTTAGGTGATCTGCCCACTTTGGCCTCCCAAAGGGCTGGGATTACAGGCGTGAGCCACTGCACCCGGCCGGGACTTAGATTTTACAGACGAAAAGCTTCCACTGAGTTTATCAGTAAAAGCCAGGTCAGTTAACAGGTTTTGCTTTGTTCATCAGGCAAATAAGTAATGTAAAATTTTAAAAACCCCAACATGAAAAAGGATTACTTTTTGAGAGAAGAGGAGCAAGGTAGGTAGGTAGGGTAGATACGGGATAGAGGCTGGCATTCAGAAGTGCAGAGCTAGCAAAACTTCAGAATGAAAACTGTCTGATGAACAATAAATAATGTGTAAATGGAATTTTGTTACTACTGCATTAAAGAATTAATATTTTCCTAAAGGATGCAACCTTATATTTCTCTTATCCTGTGCCTTCTACATTAATATATATTTTTTAATTTTTTATTTTTGTGGGTACATAGTAGGTATATATATTTATGGGGTACGTGAGATGTTACACTAGTATTTTGAAAAAGTATAAAAATGTGGCCGGGCGTGGTGACTCACGCCTGTAATTCCAACACTTTGGGAAGCCGAGGCAGGTGGATCACCTGAGGTCAGGAGTTCGAGACCAGCTTGGCCAAACTACTAAAAATACAAATACAAAAAACCTGCACTCCCACCTGGGCAACAGAACGAGACCGAATCAAAAAACAACAACACAAAACAAAAACCTGACAACTATGAAACATATATAGTAACCTGGAAAATATTTATGTTAAACAAAAAGGCAGGATCTAAAATGGATGTATATTACAAATACAGCTACGCAAAAATAAAAGAGAAAAGACTGGAAAGAAACATTCTAAATATTAACAATGGTTGTATATGGGTGTAGAGACTATTGGAGATTATTTTTTTCCTTGCTACTTATGTCATTTTTCTCTTTTTCCAAATAAACAAGCAGGTTATTGGTTACACAAATAATACATGAATATATTCTCATTTTAAATTAAAGATTCAAACAATACAAAACTATAGGAATAATAAGTGACCTTTCCAGCAGGCGCGGTGGCTCACGCCTGTAATCCCAGCACTTTGGGAGGCCGAGGCGGGCGGATCATGAGGTCAGGAGATCGAGACCATCCTGGCTAACACGGTGAAACCCCGTCTCTATTAAAAATACAAAAACAAATTAGCCAGGCGTGGTGGCAGGCGCCTGTAGTCCCAGCTACTCAGGAGGCTGAGGCAGGAGAATGGCGTGAACCCGGGAGGCGGAGCTTGCAGTGAGCCGAGTGAGCCACCGTACTCCAGCCTGGGCGACAGAGCGAGACTCCGCCTCAAAAAAATAAAAAATAACCTTTCCACAGTCTTCCCACACTACCCACTTTTTTGTTTTGTTTTGTTTTTGGTTTTTTTTGAGACGGAATCTCTTTCTGTTGCCCAGGCTGGAGTGCAGTGGCACGATCTCAGCTTACTGCAACCTCCGCTTCACTTCCCAGGTTCAAGAGATTATTCTGCCTCAGCCTCCTGAGTAGCTGGGACTGCAGGCACATGCCACCACACCTGGCTATACTTTTTGTATTTTTAGTAGAGATGGGGTTTCGTCATATAGGCCAGGCTGGTCTCGAACTCCTGACCTCATGATCCACCTGCCTCGGCCTTCCAAAGTGCTGGAATTATAGATGTGAGCCACCGTGCCCGGCGATCCACTTATTTCTTTGCTAAGTTTGCACAGTTTTTAGTAATTTTATTTTTTATTTTATTATTTTTGGTGAGACAGAGTCTCGCTCTGTCGCCCAGGCTGGAGTGCAGTGGCATGATCTCGGCTCACTGCAACCTCTGCCTCCTGGGTTCAAGGAATTCTTCTGCCTCAGCCTCCCGAACAGCTGGGACTACAGGGGTGTGCCACCATGCCCAGCTAATTTTTGTATTTTTAGTAGAGATGGGGTTTCACCATATTGGCCAAGCTGATCTTGAACTCCTGACCTCATGATCCGCCTGCCTCGGCCTCCCAACGTGCTGGGATTACAGGCATGAGCCACTGCGCCTGGCTATTTTATTTTATTTTATTTTATTTTATTTATTTTGAGACAGTGTCTCACTCTGTCGCCCAGGCTGGAGTGCAATGGCACAATCTCTGCTCACTGCAACCTCCGCCTCCTGGGTTCAAGCGATTCTCGTGCCTCAGCCTCCCGAATAGGTGGGATTACAGGCGCCCACTACCACACCCAGCTAATTTTTTCTATTTTTAGTAGAGACAGGGTTTTTCCATGTTGGCCAGGATGTCTCAAACTCCTGACCTCAAGTGAGCCGCCCGCCTTGGCCTCTCAAACTGCTGAGATTAGTGGCGTAAGCCACCGCGCCTGGCCAGTTTTTTGTAATTTTAAAATGTGTTTTTGTTAAAATTTTTATGTTCATTTTTTTTTAAGACAGGTTCTCACTCTGTAGCCTAGGCTGGAGTGCACTGGCGCAATCTTGGATTACAGCAACTTCCGCCTCCCAAACTCAAGTGATCCTCCCATACTCAAGTGATCCTCCCATCTCAGCCTCCCAAGTAGCAGGGATCACAGGTGTGCGCCACTATGCCCAGCTAATTTTTGTATTTTTGGTACAGATGGGGTTTCTCCATGTTGCCCAGACTGGTCTCAAACTCCTGGGATCAAGCGATCCCAAAGTGCTGGGATTACAGGCATGAGCCACTGTGCCCTGCCATAATGAAAAATTTTAAAGGAGAAAAAACTCACCATCACCAAACTTTCTATTTATTGTTATATGGCCATGAGCAAAAGTTCTGTTTCTGATTTTTATATTTTCTTTCTTTAAACTTCAACAAATAAAATTATTTTTATTTTGGTTAAACACCTAGCAATTGCAGACTAAATGTCTGACATTTGATATTACAGTAGTTATTTTTCTTGAGGTTAGTGCAAAAGCCAAAACTGATCTTGTTTGCCAACTTTAACTTCACTCAATTTTTTTGTCTCAAGAACAAAATATATAAATTGAGTTAATGCTTCCAAATTAGAGCGCTTTACTTAAAACACTTTCCCTTTTTATTGCAATAGCATTACTGATTCCTAGCTGGCAATATTCCTACTTTTGGGTCAAAAGGTTATAGTAAACTAAACTAAGACCTAGGTAACAATCTGAAATGTAAGGCAGCTGTAAAGATCTTTGAGGATATGTATGAACAAATTCACTTTCTCTCTTTCTTTTTCTTTTTGAGACGGAGTCTCTGTTGCCCAGGCTAGAGGGCAGTGGTGCAATCTCGGCTCACTGCAATCTCTGCTTCCTGGGTTCAAGTGATTCTTCTGCCTCAGCCTCCCAAGTAGCTGGGATTACAGGCATGCGCCACCATGCCCGGCTAATTTTTGTATTTTTAGTAGAGATGGGGTTTCACCTTGGTAGCCAGGCTGGCATGGAACTCCGGACCTCAGGTGATCCACCCACCTTGGCCTCCCAAAGTGCTGGGATTACAGGTGTGAGCCACCGCACATGGCCACTTTCTCTCTTTCATCTAGCTAGAAGTACAAGTGAAAATTAGAGACTTTGTTTTGTTTGTGAAAAATAAATGTATCCAATTCAATACAATCTCCTAATAGAAGCTAATGGCCTTCAATAGGTAGAAACTACAGCTATAAAGAAAATTTCCTATTGCTTTCAGTTTAGTGCTTCATCAACAAATCAAAGGAAATAATCCAAAACTGATGATCCTAGAGTATGGTCTGTTATAATTGGTTGACTAAGAAAATTCTTGAGATGTGCTATATTTTAACTTTTTAAACTTTAAAAATTGTTTAAAATTTTTATTTGGAAATAATTTAAACCTTACACAACAGTCACAAGAATAGTACAAAGAATACACCATATACTTTTACCCAGATTTACCTATTCACCTACTGATACCATTTTACTGTTTGCTTTTATTACCTCTTTCTACACACACACACACACACACACACACAATCTTTTTTTGAACCAATACACAGTAGAATCATGGTCCTTTATTCTTAAACACTTCTTAGATTATTTCCTAAGAATATGGTTATTCTCTTATAAAACCACAGTATTATCAGCTTCAGCACATTTAACATTGAAACAACATTTTTCTCTAATCATCATGTCCTTTATCACATTCTTCTCATCCAGTAAAAGACAGGCACTGCCTAGTCGTCCAGTCTTTTTTGCTTCCTTTGACCTAGACCTTTCCCACAGTCTGTTTTATATGACATTCGCATTTTTGAAAAATGCGATCCCCCTTTTTGTAACAGAACATTCCTAATTTGGGGTTTGTGTGATATTACCTCATGATTAAATTCAGGTTATGCATTCTTGACTGGAATATAGTACTATATTAGTTATGTGTCCTTCTCTAGGTATCATGGATTTCCATGTGTCCTTCTTTAATAATGTTAACTTTTATTACCTGGTCAAGGTGTCCATTTTTCCCATTTTATAATTACTAACTTTTCCCTTGAGATATGTGGAAGGCATGCAAATATCCTGGCTCCTCATTGAAACTGCCCCTAGATTTAGGATCCTTTGATGATTCTTGCCTGATCCAATCCTTAACACAATGGTTGCAGAATGATAAGCTGCCAACTCCAGCAATCCTACATTTACCAGTTGGCACTTGACATTCTACTCATGATTCATTTTCCTTCCAGTGGTTCACAGTTCATTAATGTACTTGTTTAGCACTCAAATTGACCCAGATTTAGCCAGTGGGAGTTCCTTCCAGCTGGCTCCTGTGTCCTTATGACAAGTCTCCATGATATTTTTAGGTACTTTTCCTTCCTTTTTTTGCTTTGTTTTGTTTTTGAGACAGGGTCTCACTGTCACCCAGGCTGGAGTACAGGGGCCTGATCACAGCTCAATGCAGCCTTGACTTCCCAAGTTCAAGTGATCCTCCCACCTCAGCCTCTCAAGTAGCTGGGACTACAGGCGTGTGCCACACCTGGCTACTTTTTAATTTTTTTTTGAGATAAGGTCTATGTTGCCCAGGCTGGTTGTGAAATTCTGGGATCAAGCAGTCCTCTTGCCTTGGCCTGCCAAAGTGCTGGGATTACAGGCTCTTTCCTTACTTTCTTTTTTTTTTTTTTTTTTTGAGACGGAGTCTCGCTCTGTCGCCCAGGCCGGACTGCGGACTGCAGTGGCGCAATCTCGGCTCACTGCAAGCTCCGCTTCCCGGGTTCACGCCATTCTCCTGCCTCAGCCTCCCGAGTAGCTGGGACTACAGGCGCCCGCCACCGCGCCCGGCTAATTTTTTTTTGTATTTTTAGTAGAGACGGGGTTTCACCTTGTTAGCCAGGATGGTCTCGATCTCCTGACCTCATGATCCAGCTGCCTCGGCCTCCCAAAGTGCTGGGATTACAGGCGTGAGCCACCGCGCCCGGCCTCTTTCCTTACTTTCTTACAAAAATTATTAAAACATTACAAGATGTCCCAGGCTTATCTTGTATCTATCCTGCTCCAGTCTTGGGATAAATCATTTTTCTAAGAAGGCTTCGTTCCTTTTTTTTATTTTTATCTTTTGAGACAGCGTTTCACTCTTGCTGCCCAGGCTGGAGTGCAATGGCATGATCTCGGCTCACTGCAACCTCCGCCTCCCAGGTTCAAGTGATTCTCCTGTCTCAGCCTCCTGGGTAGATGGGATTACAGGCATGCACCAGCACACCCAGCTAATTTTTGTATTTTTAGTAGAGATGGGGTTTCACCATGTTGGCCAGGATGGTCTTGATCTCTTTACCTCGTGATCTGCCCGCCTCAGTCTCCCAAAGTGCTGGGATTACAGGTATGAGCCCCTGCACCCAGCCTCAACTTATTTTCTTAATCCTATAATGCATCTACGATGGTTTCAGAATTGCTTTGCCCACACTACTAAAAGACAAATCTTCTCAAAAGAGTTCAGTATTTGTTTGCAATTCTCCTCCATCCTTTATATCACGTCTTGCACAAGAGTGTATATAGTCAAATACTGTGCTTATAAATCACTTGAATTAGTTCTTTTTCTCTTCAGGGCTTTTTTTCCCCCCCTTATCTTTCAATAACTTTGGTATCAGGGTAGTTATTATAGTAATATGAAATACAATTGGGGCCGGGCGCGGTGGCTCAGGCCTGTAGTCTCAGCACTTTGGGAGGCCGAGGTGGGCGGATCATCCATCTGAGGTCGGGAATTTGAGACCAGCCTGGCCAACATAGCGAAACCCCATCTCTACTAAATATACAACAATTAGCTGGGTGTGGTGGCAGACACCTGTTATCCTGGCTACTTGGGAGGCTGAGACAGGAGATCACTTGAACCTGGGAGGTGGACGTTGCAGTGAGCCGGGATCGTGCCACTGTACTCTAGCCAGGGTGACAAAAGCAAGATTCTGTCTCAAAAAAATAAATAAATAAAATAAAAATAAAATTGGGTTCATTTATTTCAGTTTGCGTATACTGTGAAGAATTTTTCTCCTTTCCATTGTTAGGTACTTAATTTTGTTTGCTTACGTAGAATAGTGACACGATGCCAACAGTAAAAACTACATACAAAAAGCTACACTCAGGCCGAGTACGGTGGCTCACACCTGTAATCCCAGCACTTTGGGAGGCTGAGGCAGGTGGATCACCTGAGGTCGGGACTTCGAGACCAGCCTGACCAACATGGAGAAACCCCGTCTCTACTAAAAATACAAAATTAGCCGGGCGTGGTGGCACATGCCTGATCCCAGCTACTAGGGAGGCTGAGGCAGGAGAATCGCTTGAACCTGGGAGGCAGAGGTTGTGGTGAGCCGAGATCGTGCCATTGCACTCCAGCCTCGGCAACAAGAGCGAAACTCCATCTCAAAAAAACAAAACAAAACAAAACCAAAAAATAAACAAAAACCAAAAAAAAAGCTACACTCAGAGAACATTCACTCCCTTCCATATTCTTTCTGTCTCATTCCTTGGATCCCTTATAAATAACCAAGTTCATTATTTTCTATTTATTCTTTGTTTCTTTTTTTAAAGGTAAGTCAATAATAGATAGGCTTTTTTATTTTCCTTCCAGTCCTATACAAGACAGCCTACTATATGTACTTTTTGCATCTAATATTACCGGTGAAAATCACTCTGTGCTAGTTCATAGAGATCTTATTTTTTTCTTATAGCTGTATAGTTGGTACTCCATTACATGTATGTACCATAGTATATTTCAACTAATCTCCTATTCTTGGACATTTACTTCCTAATATTGTGCAGTTACAAATAACACTGCAGTAAACAACTCAATGTCTATGTATATTCGTACTATTGAAGATGTATCTTCCAGATAAATTCCAAGAAATATGAAAGCTAGGTGAAAGAGTAAGCACACATGTAGTTGTCTTAACCAAATTTCCCTCCATACAGGTTGTAAAGTACTACATTTTATTTTATTTTGAGACAGAGTCTCGCTGTGTCACCTAGGTTAGAGGGCAGTGGCACAATAGCTGCAGCTTCAACTTCCTAGGCTCAAGCAAATCTCCAACCTCAGCCTCCCAAATAGCTGAACTACACATGCGCACCACCACGCCTGGCTAATTTATTTATTGTTTTGGTAGAGATGGGATCTCACTATGTTGCCCAGGCTGGTCTTCAGTTCCTGGGCTCAAGTGCTCCTCCTGCTCTGGCCTCCTAAAGTGCTGAAATTACAGGCATGAGCCACTGTGCCTGGCCAGTACTATATTTTACCAAAGTTATTTAGTAATATATTGATGCCTTGGAAGTCCTGGTGCATCGCTTTCGGATTTCAGGTGTTTGCCAGATGTAATCTTATGATGCTGGAACTCTACCTCTCACTCCCAACAACTTTGAATTTTTTTTTTCTTTTAGGTTCACTCTTGTTGCCCAGGCTGGAGTGCAATGGTGCAATCTTGGCTCACTGCAACCTCTGCCTCCCGGGTTCAATCAATTCTCCTGTCTCAGCCTCCTGAGTAGCGGGATTACAGGCGCCTACCACTACGCCCGGCTAATTTTTTACTTTTGGCAGAGACGGGATTTCACCAGGCTGGTCTCAAACTCTGACCTCAGGTGATCCATCCACCTCGGCCTCCCAAAGTGCTGGCATTACAGGCATGAGCCATCACGCCTGGCTTCAACCTTGAATGTTTTTTAAGTTTTTTTATATTTTGCAAATCTTTGGAGAAAGGAAATACAAAGAAAAGTTGGTTACTTTACTTACTGAGTGGTGTTGTGTCAGGAGGTGGAAAATTCTCAGTAAAGTTGACATTACATAAATCTGTGCTACAACAGCAGAAACGGTATGTTCCATTCTGAATTGAGGGAGGAGTGGTAGTTACTACACATTCTTCATAGTGACACTCTTGGGGATCTCCAATGTGAGACCAACATCCTATAAATCAATATGAATACAAAAAAGGAGACAATATGATAAAGAAAACTAAGAGAAAAACAACAAACTAAGCAGTAATTTCAATAAATGTGAGAGTACGTGTAAGCTATGAAACAGTTTTGCAAATCAACAGGAAACATATTTTTAAGAAACAGAAAAATGGTAAAGGATACCAAAGACATTTCATGGGGGGGAAAAGGCCACCAAAAAAGGTTTAACTGCATGATTAATCTAAGAATTATTTATTTATTTATTGAGGCGGAGTTTCACTCTTGTTGCCCAGGCTAGAGTGCAATGGCACGATCTCAGCTCACTGCAATCTCCACCTCCCGGGTTCAAGCGATTCTCCTACCTTAGCCTCCCGAGTAGCTGGGATTACAGGCATGTGCCACCACCATGCCCGGCTAATTTTGTATTTTTAGTAGAGATGGGGTTTCTCCATGTTGGTCAGGCCGGTCTCAAACTCCTGAGCTCAGGTGATCTGCCTGCCTCGGCCTCCCAAAGTGCTGGGATTACAGGTGTGAGCCACTGCACCCAGCTAATCGAAGAATTATTAAAGCAAGAGTAAGGTTTCATTTTTGTCTATACCAAATATATTGTTTTAGGTTTAAAAAATAATATGGCTGGGCACGGTGGCTCACGCCTAGAATCCCAGCACGTTGGGAAGCCAAAGCAGGAGGATCACTTGAGCCCAGGAATTTGAGACCTGCCTGGGCAACGCAGCCATACCACATCTCTACAAACACTTAAAAATTAGCTGGGAATGGTGGTGCCTAGTTGTGGTCCTACTGACTTGGGGGGATTGCTTGAGCCCAGGAGGTCAAGGTTGCAGTGAGCCATGAATGTGCCACTGCACTCTATCCTGAGCGACAGAGTGACATTCTGTCTCAAAAATACAATAACAAATAAATAAATAATATATATCAGAAAAATGGCTGGGCACGGTGGCTCACACGTGTAATCCCAGCACTTTGGGAGGCCGAAGTGGGCGGATCATGAGGGTCAGGAGATCGAGACCACCCTGGCCAACATGGCAAAACTCTATCTCCACTAAGAATACAAAAATTAGCTGGGCGTGGTGGTGCGCACCTGTAGTCCCAGCTACTTGGCAGGCTGAGGCAGGAGAATCGCTTGAACCCGGGAGGCGGAGGTTGCAGTGAGCCGAGATCCCACCATTGCACTCCAGCCTGGGTAACAGAGCGAGACTCCATCTCAAAAAATAAAAATAAAAAAAGAAAAATGATTCAGTAACACAGACACGTTCATACAGTGTTGGAGAGAATATAAATGAACAGTACTTTTAGAAAGCCACATGGAAATTTTTATACAGTCTTTAAAATATTGATATATCTTATAACCTAATAATTCTACATCAAGGGATCTATTTCAAGAAACAATCACATACAATCAAAAAATTATGTTTAAAGTTGTTCACTGAACAACTGTGTTTCACTATGCATTACAGTGAAAACATGAAAATAACATAATGTCTACCAATAGAATAATCTGTAAGTAAACTATGATACATATATACAATGATATGTTGTGCAAAAGTTAAAAAGGTTTTCAGAGATTCTTTAAAGACATGGAAAAATGCTTATAATTAAGGTGGAGAAAACTGGATATGAAATTGTTTATACAGTATGTTCCTAATTTTTTTTTTTTTGAGACGGAGTCTCGCTCTGTCGCCCAGGCTGGAGTGCAGTGGTGCGATCTCGGCTCACTGCAAGCTCCGCCTCCCAGCTTCATGCCATTCTCCTGCCTCAGCCTGTAGCTGGGACTACAGGCGCCCGCCACCACGCCCGGCTAATTTTCTGTATTTTTAGTAGAGACGGGGTTTCACTGTGTTAGCCAGGCTGGTCTCCACCTCCTGACCTAGTGATCCACCCGCCTCGGCCTCCCAAAGTGCTGGGATTACAGGCGTGAGCCACCACGCCCGGCCAGTAAAAATATTTTTAAAGAGTATATTATTGTAGACTTTTGTTTTCTTTGTAGTTCTCTATATATTCCAAAATTCATAGAACGGGCATGTATAACATTATAAGAAAGATGTTTTAAAAATAATCTAAAAATAAATAGCCTTTTATAAATTTGGGGCTTGTGGAGATATACACACACTTTTTTTTTCTTTGAGATGGAGTCTTGCTCTGTTGCCCAGACTGGAGTGCACTGGTGACATCTCAGCTCACTACAACCTCTGCCTTCCAGGTTCAGTGATTCTCCTGCCTCAGCCTACTGAGTAGCTGGGACCACAGGCGCACACCACCATACCCGACTAATTTTTGTATTTTTAGTAGAGACGGGGTTTCACCATGTTATTACCCAGGCTGGTCTCAAACTCCTGGCCTCAAGTGATCCGCCCACCTCAGCCTCGAAAAGTGCTGGAATTACAGGCATGAGCCACCACACCTGGCTTTATATATACACTTTTAAATTCACTGTTTTTCTGAACAGGATTTTAACATACTCCCATGTCCTTTTTAGATAAATATCAATTGTATAAAACACAGTCATTTCAGGTAAGGAAAGTATCACTTGCCTTGTTTTACAAGATTTATGTCCCCTTTTGATTTCTCCCAAAGGCCATAGCAGGTGCTACCTTTCGAGCATAATATTGTCCCATTTTCATGAGAGATTCTACTCTCACCTATCCCAAGGTCTTGCTGATACGGATCTTTAAACGCACATAGCCGTTCTTGATTCTGCGAAGCTAAAATAAAGGAAATAAAGGAATGACAAATTATTTAATGTTTTCAAAATATTATATAAAATCTTTGTCTTATCCGAATGACTTCATAAATTTCCCTACTAAATTATTTGAACTGAAATCTTTACATAAATTTCTAATTTTACATTCAATGACGTTCTTCTGTTCATGAATTCATTTGTAAACTCCAAACAAGAAGGAAATTTTAAAATTCTCATTTCCCAAAAGCAATCCCCTCGTACTCAAATTATTCTCACCACTCTTGCTTCTATTAAATAATTTTGGTGTCCAAATAAAAAATATCATCAAAGAAAATGTCCATGTTCAAAATTACCAAGTCTTCAAAACAAACCTAGAAGGCTGAATAATTCTGGAAATTGCATAGTACTTACTTTTATCATATTTTATAGTCAGTTATACAAAGTTACATACATAATTAGGTATGGTAAACTAATGATACAAAGAGTAACTATGAATGGGTACATGGTTTCTTTTTAGGGTATATATATGTTCTAAAATTAAACTGGTAACCATTGCACAAGTGTGTACATTTGCAAAAAAAATAACTGAATTGTTCACTTAAATTGAGTGAACTTCAGGTATAAATTATACTTCAATAAAAAAAAATTCTTTTTTTTTTTTTTTTTTTTTTGAGACAGAGTTTCGCTCTTGATGCCCAGGCTGGAGTGCAATGGCACAATCTCGCCTCACCGCAACCTCTGCCTCCTGGGTTCAAGCGATTCTCTTGCCTCAGCCTCCTGAGTAGCTGGCATTACAGGCATGTGCCACCACGCCCGGCTAATTTTGTATTTTTAGTAGAGATGGGGTTTCTCCATGTTGGTCAGGCTGGTCCCGAACTCTCGACTTCAGATGATCCACCCAACTAGGCCTCCAAAAGTGCTGGGATTACAGGCGTGAGCCACCATGCACGACCAAAAAAATTACTTTCTGTTATTCAAATTATCAATATAATAACCAGAAAAAGAAATGCTCAATAGACTTATCCTAAAAGGACAACCTAATGTACTTTTAATGCCAATCTTTCTCCACACACATAATCCGATTTAACTAATTTTTGTAGAACATTTGCCACATAATTTATCAGCTAATAAATATTTACCAACATTGCTGAGAATACTAAAGTAAAAGGTTATCGAAAGCAATATCTGATCTTTAATTTCATTTCTTACAGTAGGCTTTCCTAATGTGTTTGATTAGCTAAAATAATAGTCTAATACACTTGGCCAATATATTCCTTGGGGGCTTCTGACTTGTTTCTTTATTTTGGATGTGTACCTTTAGTATGGCTTAATTCATACGCACCATAGCACTGAGGCTGATTTATTTAAATAATGTTTCTGAACAAAACTAATAACTAAATTCTGGAGATGAAATTAACCAACAATAATAAGAAAACTTAAAAATTTTGTAGATGCTGGTCTTTTATCAATAGTTTAAATATTCTAGACATGATTCATAGGATTAGAACACTGAAAAGAACTTTAGTGTCAGCCGATCAATCTGTCCATTTTATAAATGATTATATAGTGAAAAGCTTCACTCATACCCTTGTTCCCATTTGTCTATTCCGATGTTGCCCTCCTTCCACCCCAGGAAACCACTGTTCTTGGTTACTCAGGCATCCTTTCAAACTTTACCATTATATATTTTCTAAATACATAATATTTACATATTTATAAATGAAGAGATTGGGTTAAGTAAAGACAATGCATAAAAATAGAACCTCTTAAAGGAGTTTTGAACATAAAACTGGTAATACAACTGAAAAATCCAATGTTGGCCAGGCACAGTGGCTCACACCTGTAATCCCAGGCACTTTGGGAGGCCAAGGCAGGCAGATCAACTGATGTCAGCATTCGAGACCAGCCTGGCTAACATGGTGAAACCCTGTTTCTACTAAAAATACAAAAAATTAGCCGGGCATGGTGGTGTACGCCTGTAATCCCAGCTATTCAGGAGCTGAGGCAAGAGAATCACATGAACCTGGGAGGTGTAGGTTGCAGTGAGCTGAGATCGCACCACTGCACTCCAGTTTGGGCAAAAAGAGCAAAGCTCCATCTCAAAAAACAAAAACAACAACAACAACAACAAAAAACAAAACCATAAGGGCCTGTGGATAGTTCAGCATTTAAAAAAAAAGTATAGTTAAAAAAAAAAAAAGGTACGGGGTGGTTTATCCCAGATATGCAAGCCTGGTTCAATATTCAAAAAATCAATTAACGTGCTCTATTAACACCCTGAGTACAAATTAATAGATAAACAGTGGTTACTAGCCTGGGCACGGTGGCTCACGCCTGTAATCCCAGCACTTTGGGAGGCAGAGGCTGGCAGATCACGAGGTCAGGAGTTTGAGACCAGCCGGGCCAACATGGTGAAACCCCGTCTCCACTAGAAATACAAAAATTAGCTGGGCATGCAGGCGCATGCCTGTAATCCCAGCTACTCAGAAGGCTGAGGCAGGAGAATCAGTTGAATCCGGGAGGCAGTGAGCTGAGACCACGCCACTGCACTCCAGCCTGGGCGACAGAGCAAGACTTCATCTCAAAAAAAAAAAAAAAAAATAGTGGTTCCTAATTTTGGCAGGACTGCATGCAAGGGAGAAGAATTTGGAAATGTGTGGAAGTGGTATTTTACTTTGTTTTGGTTTACCTGTCAAAATGCCTGAAGCATTTTCACTGGCTTTTAGTCCAGTCCCCAGGAGAATTAAATATTCTAATATACAAATAGCTTTGCAGGTGGAAAGACCATCTCTTCAAAATGCTACCCCAACCACATACGGGAAACAACAAAGAAAATGTATACTACACACATATGTAACAAACCTGCACGTTGTGCACAGTACCCTAGAACTTAAGGTATAATAATAATAAAAAAAGAAATTGAATGATAAAAAAAGAAAAAAGTATATTACGATTTCTTACCTTTAAAAAGATAAGAAAAATACAATAAAATATAAATTATGCAGATATGTTTGTGGAATAACTAAGAAAATGTCAAAGGGATGTCATTTTTTCTTTTTTTCTTATCATTAGCTAAACAACTGAATCCAGTCAATTCTTATTCTCAATTGAACTGCTGCTTCTGATTTAAAACTCTCAATTTTCTAGCTTCCCCTTCTTCCTGGAATTATCATTTTTGTTCAAAACTGTTTGCACAGGTCATTATAAGCATTATATTTTTGGAGGTGAAGCTTGATTTTAGTTCCTTTTCAACAACCTAGGAAGGTTAGACTAATTACACATGCTTATTGATGTTCTTTTATTCAACAAACATACTAGCATGTATCTAAGTATTGTTCTTTTTTTTTGAGACGGAGTCTTGCTCTGCTGCCCAGGCTGGAGTGCAGTGGCATGATCTCGACTCACTGCAACCTCCGTCTCCCGGGTTCAAGCCATTCTCCTGCCTCAGCCTCCCAAGTAGCTGGGATTACAGGCATGCATCACCACGCCCGGCTAATTTTGTATTTTTAGTAGAGACGAGGTTTCATGTTGGCCAAGCTGGTCTCAAACTCCTGACCTCAGGTGATCCACCCACCTTGGCCTCCCAAAGTGCTGGGATTACAGGCATGAGCCACTGCACTTGGCCTGTTCTCTTTTTATTATATGTGTTTTTGATAATCAATACTTTCAATATAAAAAGTTTGGTGTGGCCGAGTGCAGCGTCTTGTGCCTGTAATCCCAACACTTTGGGAGGCTGAGGCAGAAGGACTGCTTGAGGCCAGGAGTTTGCACCAGCCCGGGCAACACAGTAAGGTAACCACAAGGAATTAAAAAATTTTTAAATATGGTAGTGCATGCCTGCAGTCCCAGCTACTTGGGAGGCTGAGGCAGATGGATAGCTGGAGCCCAGGAGTTCAGGGCTATGGTGAACTATCGCACCACTGCACCCTAGAGTCTGGGTTACTAGGGCAATACTGTAGCCTATCCTGGGTAACAGAGTGATACCCTATCTCTTAAAAAAAAAAAAAAAAAAAGTTTGGTCTTTTCTCAGGTCAGGAAAATAATATTAATGTATGCTCTGTTAACTGTTTTCATTCATTTTTCTTATGTCTTTTTTTGGAAATGATGACATGGATCCATATTATATTATGGATATATGATTATGGATCCATGGTCTCCAAAATCAGCACATTCTCTTTTATCGTTCTCATTGTTTCCTCTGCTTCTGTGAGAGTTTCTCAAGGTGTTCTTCCAATCCTCTTATTCAATTTTGTACTACAATGTCTGTTCTTTACTTCCTTTAGCACTAATTTTATTTTTTCTATTGAATTTTTAGTTTAGCTTGAAATCCTTCAAGATATCAGTACAGTATGTTCTTCTTCTCTGTTTAAAAAATATTCTTAAAGTTTTCTTTTTCTCCATAGCATGGATATTCTAATGTCAAATGCCAAAAAATTTAAACACTGGGCTTTTTTAGTTTAATTTCAAGTAATTTTCAGATGTAGAATCAACCTTTAAGAATTCTTTTTTATGGCTGCATAGTATTCCATGGTGTATATTTACCACATTTTCTTTATCCAGATTAGCACTGATAGGCATTTAGATTGATTCTACGTCTTTGTTATTGTGAACAGTGCTGCAACAAACATACACGTGCATGTGTCCAAAATGGCTGAATTAATTTAGACTCCCACCAACAGTGTATAAGTGTTCCTTTTTCTCCACAACCTTCCTGGCATATGTTATTTTTTGACTTTTTGATAATAGCCATTTTGACCAGTGTGAGATGATATATCGTTGTGACTTTGATTTGCATTTCTCTAATGATCAGTGATACTGAGCCGTTTTTTCATATAATTGTTGGCCATATGCATGTCTTCTTTTGAAAACTATCTATTTCCTTTGCCCACTTTTTAACGAGGTTGCTTTCTTCTTGTAAATTTGTTTAAGCTCCTTATAGATGCTGGTTATTACACCTTTGTCAGTTGCATAGTTTGCAAAAATTTACTCCCATTCTGTAGGTTGTCTGTTTACCCTGTTGATAGTTTCTTTTGCCATGCAGAAGCTCTTATGTTTAATTAAATCTCGTTTTGCTTTTGTTTTTTGTTTTGCTTTTGCTTTTGTTGCAATTGCTTTTGGCATCGTCATGAAAACTTTGCCTGTTCCTATGTCCAGAATGGTATTGCCTAGGCTGTCTTCCAGAATTTGTATGGTTTTGGGGCCATTATCCTTAGCAAACTAATACAGGAACAGAAAACCAAACACCACAGGTTCTCAATTATAAGTGGGAGATAAATGATGAAAACACATGGACACATAGAGGGGAACCCCACACACTGGGGCCAGCAAAGGGTGGAGGGTGGGAGGAGGGAGAGGATCAGGAAAAATAACTAATGAAATACTAAGCTTAATACCTGGGTGATGAAACAATCTGTACAACAAACCCCCATGACACAAGTTTACATATATAACAAACCTGCACATGTACCCCTGAACTTAAAAGTTAAATGTAAAGAAAATTCTTAATAAGGTTCTATTTCTTGTGATGTATAATTTCTACTATTTTTATTCAACAGGTATGGAGCTACATTGATAAATCATTTTTGCCAAAGTTGTACAAAAATATAGATGTTTGCCAAACAACTAAAAGTAGGTAAAAAGAGGAGTGTGAGGGTTGTGAAAGTGAGCTGCCAAATGGTAGCTGACAAAAAGTTTGTTAAACAAGTATCCAAAAAACGAAAACCTTAGAAAAGAAGAGAGTGCACTCAATCAAAGAGGAAGGCTTAAAGGAGAAAAATAAAAAGGATTTTCAGCAGAGAGACAGTATAAAAACAACTTTATATTTGGCAGCAGGACATCTTACTTTCTCACTCCAACGTTTTGAGAACAGCCTACACTTTTTCTGTCTTCAAGATATTGCATGCAAGGTAGGTCCATAAATGTAAAACTCTAGAAACTGTACACAATTATGAAGAACAGCTTTTCAAACTAACTCTATAAAAACTTTTTAGAACCTAATGATAACCAATTTATACACAGGGAAGATTTGGCAGGGATAAAAATTGTAATTATAAGTAAGTTTGCTTATAGGCAGATACAAATTGAAGTCCCAAATGTATAAGAAAATTGGGTTAGAGAATGCAAAAAATACACGTCAAATAAAAAGAAAGCCATCTTTTTGAATAAAGAAAAATGTGCACATTAAAGAAACAATCACCACTGGTTATCATCTATTCTAAAGATCTGTTAAACTCAGAGCTATAGAAAGGATAAAGAGGACAATTTGACAGAATACAGCAGAGGCCAAATTCTAACTGAGCACACTAACAAAGATAGACTATAAGAGAATTAAGCATTTAATTTAAAAAAAAAAATTTTTTTTGAGACAGGGTCTCAGTAATATTGCCCAGCTTGAGTGCAGTGGCACAACCTTGGCTCACTGCAACCTCCGGCTTTCAGGCTCAAGGGATCCTCCCACCTAAGTCTCCTGAGTAGCTGGGACCACAAGCACATGCCACCAAGCCCGGCTAATTTTTGTGTGCGTTTTTTTTTTTTTTTTTTTTTTTTTGCAGAGACAAGGTCTTGCTATGTTGCCCAGGCTGGTCACAAACTCCTGGACTCAAGTGATCCTCCTGCCTTGGCCTCCGGAAGTGCTGGGATTGCAGGAGTGAGCCACAGTACCTGGCTCAAAAATTTTTTAAATATTATATATATGGCAAATAAATGCTTTAAACAAAAAGTATCACTATACAGAATTGTCCATGTGTTACCATATCATTTAAACTGAAGGTGTCCAATCATTTACTTGAAAAACAAGTAAAGTCTGGGCATGGTGGCTCACACCTGTAATCCCAGCACTTTGGGACGCCAAAGTGGGCAGATCACCTGAAGTCAGGAGTTCAAGACCAGCTTGGCCAAAATGGAGAAACCCCATCTCTACTAAAAACTACAAGAATTACCCGAGCGTGGTGGCGTGTGCCTGTCATCTCAGCTACTTGGGAGGCTGAGGCAGGAGAATCGCTTGAACCCCAGAGGCGGAGGCTGCAGTGAGCCAAGATCACACCATTGCACTCCAGTGTGGGTGACAGAGCAAAACTCCATTTCAAAAAAAACCAAAAAAGTCAAACTTGCAATCTATGTCTTGTCCTTTGAGTAGAAGTGTCTCATTCTACTATATGATGTTGGGGGAAAAAGATGAAAGTATGACACAGAAAAATTAGCATAGGTTTCCAAAGATTTTAATGGCTTATCTATAATACTCTCTCTCTCTCTCTCTCTCTCTCTCTCTCTATATATATATATATATATAAAATATTGCTAAAAATAATATATCTTTATATTATTGCTTGCTAAAAATAATTGATCTTTATGTCATTTTTCTGTTTCTTCTTTCATTCTAAAAAAAGTCATTATAAATCTATATTGATGAAGAAATCACTAGAAATAGATAATAGTCATGAAAAATTATTATATCATGTTCATGATAAATGAGCTATATTAAGGCTGAGCACAAAAAAAAAACCCTTAATCATCTGAAGCAATGAATAACTGAAACATGATATGACAGCTACAGTATGCAAAACCCAAACACATATAAGGCTATTTATTATTCTAACTCAAAATCTTATTACATGAGGTTTAATCTCATTCATTGTTTTGGATCAGATGCTAATACTAGTGTCTCTCAATAGAGAGACAGATGATTGATAGGTAGGTAGGTAGGTAGATAGATAATAAATCTGTTTTGAAAATATGGTCAATTTGGCAGACAATAGTATATGGGTTATTGGAAAGGTATATCCCCTTCTAAAAATCCCAAGGCACTTTAAAAAAAAGAAAGGAGTGAAAAAAGGAAAGAATACAGGTTCAACTTACACATTTATATACAGTTATTAGGAGAGTTCACACTATTGTGTGTCTTCTAAGAGACACCCACATATGAAGCCATGTATACTGTATAGTTTACATGCAATCTCCACACTCGGGTTCACTGTGAGTAGCAGAGATATATGAAAGGGCTTTGAAAAGTGCTATACAGTCTGGACACAGTGGCTCATACCTGTAATCCCAGCACTTTAGGAGGCCGAGGCTGGTGAATTACCTGAGGTCAGGAGTTCAAGACCAGCCTGACCAATATGGTGAAACCCCGTCTCTTCTAAAAATACAAAAATTAGCCGGGTGTGGTGGCACACGCCTATAGTCCCAGCTACTTGGGAGGCTGAGGCAGAAGAATTGCTTGAACTCAGGAGGCAGAGGTTGCAGTGAGCTGAGATCGTGCCACTGTACTCCAGCCTAGGCGACAGAGCGAGACTCCCTCTGGAAAAAAAAAAAAAAGAAAGAAAGAAAGAAAAGTGCTACATAAATAGAACCAATCGGTCGGGCGCAGTGATTCGCGCCTGTAATCCCAGCAGTTTGGAAGGTCGAGATGGGCGGATCATGAGGTCAGGAGTTTAAGACCAGCCTGACCAACATGGTGAAACCCCATCGCTACTAAAAGTACAAAACTTAGCTGGGCAGCTGGGCGTGGTGGTGGGCGCCTGTAATCCCAGCAAGTTGGGAGGCTGAGGCAGGCGAATCATTTGAACTCGGGAGGCGGAGGTTGCAGTGAGCCGAGATTGAGCCATTGCACTCCAGCCTGGGCGACACGGCAAGACTTCATCTCAAAAAAACAAAAACAAACAAACAAACAAAAAAACATAGTGTCCTTTGTGATGAGATCTGAAACAGGTAATTAGCAATACTACTTAACTTTTTTTTTTTTTTTTTTTTTTTTTTTTTTTTTTTTTTTGAGACGGGTCTCACCCTGTTGCCCAGTTTGGAGTACAGTGGCGCAATCTCGGCTCACTGCAAGCTCTGCCTCCCCGGTTCACACCATTCTCCTGCCTCAGCCTCCCAAGTAGCTGGGACTACAGGCGCCCACCACCACACCCAGATAATTTTTTGTATTTTTAGTAGAGACGGGGTTTCACTGTGTTAGCCAGAATGGTCTCGATCTCCTGACCTCATGATCTGCCCACCTTGGCCTCCCAAAGTGCTGGGATTACAGGCGTGAGCCACCGCCCCTGGCAATACTACTTTAATTTTAAGATAAAAAGTACACAAAAGAACATACCATGAAAATAATCCAAAAACACTTTAAAATAAAACTAACCATTTTGGGCCAAAAAACACTTTAAAATAAAACTAATCACTCCCCACAAACAAAAAACTCTCCACTTCTTAAAGGAGTTCATTATAATGGATTTTTACTGAGGAAAGCAGACTTCAAGTAAGACACAATCACAGCATTGTATCTCACTCAAAATAAGACTAACGTCTTTTGTGTATCAATAGCTATCATGACAGACTTCCATATACTATATATCAGCACCATCCAATATAATTTTCTGTGAAAATGGAAATATTCTATAATCTACATTGTCTAATACAGTAACCAGTAGTCATATTTTTTTATTTTTATTTTTTAGATAGAGATGGGGTCTGGCTATGTTGCCCAGTCTGGTCTCAATTTCCTGGGCTCAACCAATCCTCCTAACTTGGCCTCCCAAAGTGCTGGGATTACAGGTGTGAACCATCACTCTCAGTCACCTTATTTGGATATTAAGCACTTGAAATACGGTTAGTGTGACTGAGGAACTGAATTTTTAGTATTGTTTTAATTTCAATTAATTGCAATGTAAATTTAAATAGCCACTGCTGTAAGACTTAAAATTGTGTCCCCCTCAAATTCACTTACTGAAACCCTAACCCACAATGTGATGTTATTTGGACATGGAGCCTCTGGAGGTAACTAGGTTTCAAGGACGTCATGAGATAGGATTAGTACCCTATAGGAACAGACACTGCAGAGCTTGCTTCCTCTCTCTGTGCTATGTGAGGACACAGAGAGAAGGTGGCCATCTGCAAGCCAGGAATAGAGCCCTTACCAGGGATCCAAGTCATCTAGCACCTTGATCTTGGACTTCCCAGCTTCCAGAGCTGTGAAAAAATAAATTGCTGTTGTTTCAAGACATCGAGTCTATTGTATTTTGTTGTGGCAGTCCAAGCCAACTAATATAACCACGTGTCTCTAGTGCTATTTTAGATAGTGCAGCTCTAGAGAGTTTATATAAATATACTAAGCACTATATATAAACAAAATTGTCAAATTGTAATCATGTTTTGGTTTTGTCCATTAAAGCACAACTGTAAATTGTTCTGATAATCCCTGCTTCTCCTAAAGACTTCCTCCTCACAGACTCAGAGCAAGTACTATAAATGAGTGCTCAATAACGTAACAAGTTACTAGATAACAAGTAACAAGTAACTAGATAAGTTAGTAGGTAAGTTACTTGGTTATAGACTGTTACCGAAAATCAAATACCAGGCCTCTTGGCTTTATCCCCGATTTACTTCCAGCAAGTAGCCTTCTCTTACATAAATGGGAATTTAAAACTTTAGTATTCCAGTAGCATCTGCATATTTAAATTCTACATATTCAGGGCTGGGTGCAGTGGCTCACCCCAGTAATCTCAGCACTTTGGGAGGCCAAGGTGGGCGGATCGCTTGAGCTCAAGAGTTTGAGACCAGCCTGGGCAACGTGGCAAAACCCTATCTCTACCAAAAATACAAAAAATTAGCCAGGTGTGGTGGTGTGTGCCTGTAGTCCCAGCTACTTGGGAGGCTGGGGTGGGAGGATCACTTGAGCCCGGGAGGTGGTGATTGCAGTAACCCAAGTTCACGCCACTGCACTCCAGCTTGGGTGACAGTGAGACCCTGTCTCAAAAACAAAAATTAAAAATAAATTTTTTTACTTATTCAGAAATAAAATAATAAAATGGGGAGTGGTCCTAGTCTTACTGCAATATTTTACTCACCTTCTTGATAGCATCTCTTACAAAAAATTTTTTTATTTTTGTGGGTACATAGTAGGTATATATGAGGTAAATGAAATATTCTGATACAGACATGCAATGAGTTAACAATCACATCAGGGTAAATGGCATATGCATCCCCTTAAGCATTTATTCTTTGTATTACAAACAATCCAATTATACTCTATTAGTTATTTTTAATGTACAATAAATTATTGTTGACTGTAGTCACCTTGTGCTATCAAATATTAGATCTTATTCATTCCATCTAATTATACTTTTGTACCCATTAACCATCCCCACTTCTGCCCTGTCCTTACCCCCTCTGCCACTATTCTTCTCAGCCTCTGATAACCATCTTTCTACTCTGTATCTCCATGAGTTCAATTGTTTTAATTTTGAGCTCCCACAAACAAGTAAGAACATGCAAAATTTGTCTTTCTGTGCCTAGCTTATTTCACTTAACATAATGTCCTCCAATCCATGTTGTTGCAAATAACAGAATCTCATTCTTTTTTATGGTTGAATAGTACTCCATTGTGTATATGTACCACATTTTCTTTATTCATTCACCTGTTGATGGCCACTTAGGTTGCTTCCAAATCTTGGCTATTGTGAACAATGGTGAAGTAAACAGGGGAGTGCAAACATCTCTTTGATATACTGATTTCCTTCCTTTTGGGTATATACTTAGTATTACTAAAAATTATTATTAAAAGTAATAGAATTTTAAATAATGGGCAGAATTTCTGATAATGAAGGGACTATAAATAATTTACTCAAAAAAAAAAAAGACAGTATATATTAAACTGCAATGATAAGATCCACAATTTGATCACGTCACGTCCTTGCTTGAAACATTTTAGTGATTTCCTACCATCTTCAGGAAAATTTCCAAAATCCTTAAGATGTTGTACAAGGACCTACATAATCTAGAAACTCCAAATCCCTCCAGCTTCATCCAGATAGCACACATAAAGTACCATTCTCTTTTTCACATCAAGGCCTTCATGCATTCTGTTCTCTTTACCTGGAGTGCCTCATTTATTTACTTTCTGTTCCTCTTAAACATTTCTCTGAAGACTCCTACTCTAATTACCCCAGACCACTGAGGCGGGATCCCCTATCACATACTTCCATAACATTCTATACTTATGCACACAATCCCCATAATTCTTACTACTTGTAAATGTGCTTAGCTTGTTCATTAAAGTATAAGCTAAAATAAGAGCAGGGGCTGAGTCCTTGTTCACCATTGTGTTTTAAGCACATGGCATTATACTTGGCATTCAACAAGTATTTATTGAATAAGTAAATTATTGATGTACTTCTTTCCCCTAATTTTTGCCACTAACAAGAACTATTAGAACCAATTATTTTAAGAGACAGGGTCTTGCTATGTTGCCCAGGCTGGACTTGAACTCCTGGGCTCAAGTGATCCTCCTGCCTTGGTCTCTGGATAGTTGGGACTATAGGCACAAGCCACAATGCCTGACTACTAGAACCAATCTTTTTTATTAATGAAAACCAAAAACAAAACAGGAAAATGAAATCATATATCACACAAAAACTCATACAATAGCAATTTATTTACAATACGTAAACAACTGTTCATAAATTGGTGATCAACAAAATGTGATACATCCATATAAGTTACTACTCAGCAATAAAAGGAATAGATTATGTAACAATATGGATAAATATCAAAAACATTGTTCAGAGCAAAAGACATCACACACAAGTGCATATAGATTCCATTCATATGAAATCCTAGAGAATACAAAGTAATCTAAAGCAGATCAGTCATTGCCTGGTGCTAAGGGCAAGGGGCAAACAGAATACAAAGGGGCATAAGGAATCTTTGGGGGATGATAAAAATGTACTGTATGTTGAGTATGGTGGGGAGTTTCATGACTATTATACAATTATAAAAACTCACCGAATTGGCCAGGCGCAGTGGCTCACGACTGTAATCCCAGCACTTGGGGAGACTGAGGCAGGCGGATCACCTAAGGTCGGGAGGTTGAGACTAGCCTGACCAACATGGAGAAACCGCATCTCTACTAAAAACACACAAAAAATTTAGCCAGGAGTGGTGGCTCATGACTGTAATCCCAGCTACTCAGGAGGCTGAGACAGGAGAATCGCTTGAACCTGGGAGATGGTGGTTGTGGTGAGCTGAGATCATGCCATTGCACTCCAGCCTGGGCAACAAGGGTGAAACTCTGTCTCAAAAACAACAACAACAACAAAAAACAAAACAAAAACTCATCAAATTGTAGTTTTTTGTTGTTGTTTTGAGACAGAGTCTCGTTCTTGTCCCCCAGGCTGGAGTGCAATGGCACGATCTCGGCTCACTGCAACCTCTGCCTCCTGGGTTCATGCAATTCTCCTGCCTCAGCCACCCGAGTAGCTGGGATTACAGGCACCTGCCACCACACCCGGCTAATTTTTGTATTTTTAGTAGAGACGGGGTTTTGCCATGTTGGCCAGGCTGGTCTCGAACTCCTAACCTCAGGTGATCCTCCCGTCTCGGCCTCCCAAAGTGCTGGGATTACAGGCGTGGGCCACTGTGTCCGGCTGGAATTGTACAGTTTTAAATAGATGCAGTTTATACCTCAATGAAGTCCATTTTTTCAAAGGCAAGACACAATATAGAGCTGAATAGGACAACATATAGTTCAGGGGAATTTAAATATTTTTCATTCGTGTTATTAAAAGGTGTTATTGAGTCACAGAATCCTAGGCATAACCTATAATTGAAAAGTAGGATCTATAAGTGAATATAAATTTTCCCATAAGTTTAACTGATAGAAATTTTTTAAGACCTTCACTGTCATTCTGTATCTAAAAATACAAGAGTCACATAACACCCATTTTTCAGTAGTTGTAATATATTTATCTGTACTGGAGAAGTCTAAATGTCTTATCTTTACCCTGGAATGAAGTTCAGGGACTAATTCTGGGCATGCTTGTGTGTTTGGCTTTGGTTTATCTAAATGTCAAAATGAACTATCTAAAATAAACAACACAGGAACCTTGCAGTAATGGGGCAAATAACTAAATAGCTGAAGCAACAGTATTCCTTTCCCAGAACACAAACTTCTCAAGACAAATACAACTGGGATTTCAGAGTATCACAAATTCTGTTATGAAATATATGAAAAACAGAGTATCTTAATCTAACATAATTGTCCCTATAAAATTTAGTGTAAACTCAAATTTCTAAATTTAAGTATATAAATCAAGCAAGAGTCCTCTATTTTCCCAATCTTATGGTGAAATCTTTTTTTTTTTTTTTTTTTTTGAGATGGAGTTTCACTTTTGTTGCCCAGGCTGAAGTGCAATGGCATGATCTGGGCTCACTGCAACCTCCGCCTCCCAGGTTCAAACGATTCTCCTGCCTCAGCCTCCCAAGTAGCTGGGATTATAGGCATGCGCCACCATGCCCGGCTAATTTTGTATTTTTAGTAGAGACAGGGTTTCTCCATGTTGGTCAGGCTGGTCTCAACCTCCCAACCTCAGGTGATCCACCTGCCTCGGCCTCCCAAAGTGCTGGGATTACAAGCATGAGCCACCTCGCCCAGCCCATGGTGAAATCTTTTGTAAAGCAAATAATCCTTTCAAAAATAAAATATTCATCCCTTAATTTACATATTTCTGTATCTAGAATACAACAGATTAAATTATCATTTTGCTGAGCATTCTCATGATGTCAGAGAAAGATCATAGTAGGAAAGAGATCAAAATCTTCATAAGGTACCTACCTGCTCAGGATGTTCTCAAATTTGATGTTGTGTTGGGGATCCCTGAGACCCACAGAATTCAGCACAAAGTCGTACTCAAGGCTATAATGCTTTTTTTGTTGTTGTTCTTGTTGTTGTTTTTTGAGACGGAGTCTCGCTCTGTTGCCCAGGCTGGAGTGCAGTGGTGCCATCTTGGCTCACTGCAACCTCCACCTCCCTAGGTCAAGCAATTCCCCTGCCTCAGCCCCCCAGATTGCTGGGATCACACGTGCATGCCATCAAGCCTGGCTATTTTTTTTTTGTATTTTTAGTAGAGATGGGGATTCACCACGTGGGCCAGACTGGTCTCGAACTCCTGACCTCAGGCAATCCACCCACCTCATCTGGGTGTAATCCCAAAGTGTTGGGATTACAGGCGTGAGCCACCGCACCCAGCCTCAAGGCTATAATATATTACAGCAAAATAATACAAACCAAACTCAGCAACAGGAAAAGACATGAATCAAAGTCAGGAGAAAACCAGGTGTAAACTTCCATCAGTTCCGTGGAGTTACATAGGGTGCATTTAATTCCTCTAGCAGTGAATTGTGACAAAACGTGTGAAATGTTGTTTAACCAAGGAAGCTCATTAGAGACTCAGTGTCCAAAGTTTTTATTGGGTCATGGGTCACAGAGGCATACTTAGCCTAGCAGGTATCCAAATTCCCAGAAGAAAGGGAGGCATTCAATATAAAGCATATTTCCACACTGTTTGCACAAACACTTTAGGCATAGTAAACCACTCATATCGGTTTGGGGATGGTGGGAACACTCCCAAAATCTAAATTCCTAAATGCCAGCTAAGGGCCAAGTTGCAAGCAGGCCATTCTAAAGATAGCAGTCTCAGGTCTGTTATTTTTTTATTATTTATTTATTTATTTATTTATTTATTTATTTATTTATTTGAGATGGAGTTTCGCTCTTGTTGACCAGGCTGGAGTGTAACAGCGCAATCTTGGCTCACTGCAACCTCCACCTCCCGGTTTCAAGCGATTCTCCTGCCTCAGCCTCCTGAGTAACCGAGATTACAGGCATGTGCCACCATGCCCGGCTAATTCTGTATTTTTAGTAGAGACAGGGTTTCTCCATGTTGGTCAGGCTGGTCTCGAACTCCCGACCTCGCCTGCCTTGGCCTCCCAAAGTGCTGGGATTACAGGTGTGAGCTGCCACCCCCACCCCAGGCCTGCTATTTTAACTCTTTTCTGTACACCTAAAGAGAAAGACAAGCAAAAGCTGATTAAAACAAAAAATACACACACACACACACACACACACACACACACACACACCAATTCTAAACTGACAAAATAATCCAAGCTTTCCCAAACAGCAATAAGATATATTGTTCTCTCCTAATTCAGAGCCAACAGCTAAACCACAGAAAAGCACATAAGCCACGCTTAAACCTCTAAGAGGCTTATATATCCTGGAGTCTACACAAAAATCAGTCATTAAAGAGGCCGGGCGCGGTGGCTCATGCCTGTAATCTCAGCACTTTGGGAGGCCGAGGCAGGCGGATCATGGGGTCAGGAGATCGAGACCATCCTGGCTAACATGTCGAAACCCCGTCTCTAATAAAAATACAAAAAATTAGCCAGGCATGGTGGCACGTGCCTGTAGTTCCAGCTACTCGGGAAGCTGATGCAGGAGAACTGCTTGAACCCGGGAGGAGGAGGCTGCAGTGAGCCAAGACCAAGTCATTGCACTCCAGCCTGGGCGACAGAGCAACACTTTTTTTTTTTTATTTTTTATTTTTATTTTTTTTTTGAGACGGAGTCTCCTTCTGTCGCCCAGGCTGGAGTGCAGTGGCACAATCTCGGCTCACTGCAAGCTCCGCCTCCCGGGTTCACGCCATTCTCCTGCCTCAGCCTCCCGAGTAGCTGGGACTACGCCAGCCACCATGCCCGGCTAATTTTTTTTGTATTTGTAGAAGAGACGGGGTTTCACCATGTTAGCCAGGATGGTCTTGATATCCTGACCTCATGATCCGCCCGCCTCGGCCTCCCAAAGTGCTGGGATTAGAGGCTTGAGCCACCGCGCCTGGCCAACACTCTGTCTCAAAAAAAAAAGTCAAATACTTATTATTAGGTGTGGGTTATGTGCCCGGCAGTATTCTAAACCAGGAAAAATGCTGGGAATAAGACAGTGCCCACCTACCCTTAAGGTGTTATATTCTAATGGTGTAAATATAAGTCATAAACCCATAAACAAATAAATAAGAATTCCATGAGATGGTTTTGGATGACTCTATTTTTTCAACCCATGTTGCAATGGGTGGCCATCCTCATTACCTACTCTTAAAAGAGGACTAAATTTTGAATATCCTAGAAACATTCTTAACCTACATAATTTTCTATAACCTGCCTGGAGAGCATCATAAAATAACAATTTTAAATATGGATCTTCCTAAGACTCCACATTCCCTTTCAAATTTTTATATTAAAAAAATACAAATATGTATAAGTGTACTTACTTACTAGAACATTATTTGTAATAGCAAACACTGGTAATCATTTCTCTCTTCTTGTGTATGTGAGACAGGGTCTTGCTCTGTCACCCAAGCTGGAGTGCAATGGTGCAATCACAGCTCACTGCAGCTTCAAACTCATGGGCTCAAGGGATCCTCCCAGCTCAGCCTCCCGAGTAGCTGGACTATAGGCACATGCCGCCATGCCTGTCTAGTATTTTAAAACACATTTTGTAGAGATGGGGTCTCGCCCTCTTGCACAAGCTAGTTCAAGGATTCCTCCCACCTCAGGCTCCCACAGTGTTGGGATTTACAGGCGTGAGCCACTGCACCCGGCCAGTAATCAGTTCTCTATAGATATATTTAGGTTGTCAAAATCATACTATACCCCAAAATAAAATACTATGCAGTCATGAAAAATTGTTTAGATGTGATTTGTTGACAGAGTCTCACAGCATCGCCCAGGCTCAAGGGTAGTGGCGAAATCTTGGATCACTGCAACCTCCACCTCCCAGGTTCAAGTGATTCTCCTTGCATCAGCCTCCCAAGTAGCTGGGATTACAGGCATCTGCCACCATGTCCAGCTAATTTTTTTGTATTTTTAATAGAGACAGGGTTTCACTATGTTGGCCAGGCTGGTCTCAAACTCTTGACCTCATGATCCGCCCACCTCGGCCTCCCAAAGTGCTGGGATTACAGGTGTGAGCCACCACATCCAGCCAATCTACAATCTATTTTTAGAGGGGAAAGACCGTATTAAACACCAGCATAATGTAACTGCATTTTTAAAAATTTATGGCTAGGTGCAGTGGTTCACACCTGTAATCCCAGCACTTTGGGAGGTCGCAGTGAGTGGATCCTGAGGTCGGGAGTTTGAGACCAGCCTGGCCAACGTGGTGAAACCCTGTCTCTACTAAAAATACACAAATTAGCAGGGCGTGGTAGGTACATGCCTGTGATCCCAGATACTCAGGAGGCTGAGGCGGAAGAATCACTTGAACCTGGGAGGTAGAGGCTCAGTGAGCTGAGATGGCACCACTGCACTCCAGCCTGAGCAACAGAGCAAGACTCTGTTTCAAAAAAAAAAAAATGTATGTGAGTGTGTGCACATGGGCACAAAAAGGGTCTACAGACTATATCCCCAAATGTGGTAGGATCATGAGTATTCATATACTCTTTGCTCTGTTACACTAATACTATATTGAAATGAATGCCCAATAGGCCCATCATTATGATTTACAGACTCAAAAACACAAGCGAACATAAAATTGTAGAGCTAAAAATTATTATGCATATCTAATGAAATAAAATTATTTCAACAATGTATAATTTTCTTTCTTTTTTTTTTGAGACGGAGTTTCGCTCTTGTTGCCCCAGCTGGAGTGCAATGGCGCAATCTTGGCTCACCACAACTTCTGCCTCCCAGGTTCAAGCATTCTCCTGCCTCAGCCTCCCAAGTAGCTGGGATTACAGGCATGCGCCACCATGCCCAGCTAATTTTGTGTTTTTAGTAGAGACAGGGTTTCTCCATGTTGTCAGGCTGGTCTTGAACTCCCAACCTCAGGGGATCCGCCCACCTCAGCCTCCCAAAGTGCCGGGATTACAGGCGTGAGCCACCACGCCCAGCCTGTGTTAATTTTCAAATTTCAAATTCTTTGTATAAAATTGTTTGTGGCCGGGCGCAGTGACTTATGCCTGTAATCCTAGCACTTTGGGAGGCCAAGATGGGCAGATCACGAGGTCGGGAGATCAAGACCATCCTGGCTAACACGGTGAAACCCCATCTCTACTAAAAATACAAAAAATTAGCCAGGTGTGTTGGCGGGCGCCTGTAGTCTCAGCTACTCGGGAGGCTGAGGCAGGAGAATGGCATGAACCTAGGAGGCGGAAGTTGCAGTGAGCCGAGATTGTGCCACTGCACTCCAGCCTGGGCGACAGAGCAAGACTCCCGTCTCAAAAAAAAAAAAAAAAAAAATTATGTTTGTAGGGCTAGGCATGGTGGCTTATGCCTGCAATTGCAACACTTTAGGAGGCCAAGGCGGGAGGATCACTTGAGCCCAGGAGTTTGAGACCAACCCTGGCAACATGGCAAAAGACAGGCAATAACAAATGCTGCAAGGGTCTGGAGAAAAGGGAACCCTTATACACTGTTGGTGGGAATGTAAATTAATAAAACTACTACAGAGAATGGTTTGGAGGTTCCTCAAAAAACTAAAAATAGGCCAGGTGCAGTGGCTCACCCCTGTAATCCCAGCACTTTGGGAGGCTGAGATGGTTGGACTGCTTGAGCCCAGGAGTTTGAGATCAGCTTGGGCAACATGGTGAAACCCTGTCTCTACAAAATATTAAAAAATTAGCCAGGCATGTTGGCACACATCTGTAGTCTCAGGTACTTGGGAAGCTGAGACAGGAGGATGGCTTGAGACTGGGAGGTTGAGGCTACAGTGAGCTGTGATCACCCAACTGCACTCCAGCCTGGGTGATGGGGGAGACTCTGTCTTAAATATATAAATAAATACAAATATAAATAAATAAATAAAAATGTTTGCATATCTTGTGGGACTCCTATACAAAAAAGCATCTGGATAGCATTTTCAAGTATATGGTGATGCAACATTGCCAGTATGTCACATATTTACTACACTTTAAAAAATGTCTAGGCCAGGTGTGTTGGCTCACACCCGTAATCCGAGCACTTTGGGAGGCCAAGGCAGGTGGATCACCTGATGTCGGGAGTTCGAGACCAGCCTGACCAATATGGTGAAACGCCACCTCTACTAAAAATACAAAATTAGCCAGGCATGGTGGCGCATGCCTGTAATCCCAGCTACTTGGGAGGCTGAGGCACGAGAATTGCTTGAACCCGGGAGGCGGAGGATGCAGTGAGCTCAGATCGTGCCATTGCACTTCAGCCTGGGAAACAAGGGTGAAACTCCATCTCAAAAAATAAATAAATAAGTTTCTAATTCACTGAGAAGATTATTTGGCTTTGTTATTAAAAATTAAAAAATGTAAGATACACTACTTCCAAATGTAGAGTTAAGTTCTAGAGAAAAAGAAGGGTAAATAAAACAATGGATCATTCCATCCAATATTACATAGAACATTTTAGTACATGTATAGTGTTCTAAAAATCACTAGTGACCTCCACAAAACATTTCAACACAAAAGTGTTCCACATGTAGAACACATCTAACTAAAGTCTTTAAAATTTTTGATGTAACTATATACACCAACACCAACACAAAAAACAAATTACATAATTTCTCTAGGTTTTGTTATTTTTTTAGAAATTTGTTGAATTAAACTATCTTTAACACTTCATCTCTCTCAATATCTACGGATTTCTTCACAAGCACATGTGCCCCAAATTATTTCAAAAATAAATTTTCTTATAAAAAAACAAATAAAATGAGGATACTTTCATCCATCTCTATTCTATGTTTCTAAGTTCAAATTCACTTAGAAAAACCTGCCCTGAGAATTATTTAGCAATAATTTAAAGCAGTAACCTACTTCTTTTATTTGAAAGGTTAAAATTTTGCTGAGCAAGGTTAAATATTGTAAATGACAAATAATCAAGACTAACAGAAAAGAAAGCGAGCAGAGAATAAAACTGTATCTCTTTCTTTAGGGCCATAAAGTTCTCAATGATATGCAGTTTTACGCCCCAGGGGATATTTGGAGATGTCTGGAGACATTTTTGGTTGTCACTACAACCGGTGGTAGTACCACTAACATTTGTCGGTAGTACCACTAACATTTGTACCACTATGTTATTAGTCGGTAGTACCACCAACATTTGTCAAGGATGCTGGCAAAATCTTACAATGCACATATGGCTCCTCCATATACACACACAGAAATTATCTGGAAAAAAAATTATCTGGTACAAGATGTCAATGAGCTAAAGGAGGAAAACCCTGCTCTGAAGGCAATTACAAGGTAATATATCTTCCAATTTAGTGGGCAAAGACCAATAGTCTCTACCAAAAATAAAAATAAAAATAAAACAATTAGCTGGGCATTGTGGCACATGCCTGTAATCCCAGCTACTTGGGAGGCTGATGCAGGAGAATCGCTTGAACCAGGGAGGTGGAGGTTGTAGTCAGCCGAGATCGCGCCACTGCACTCCAGCCTGGGTGACAGACCAAGACTCCGTCTTGAAAAAAAAAGAAGAAAGAAAGAGAGAAAGAGAGAGACAGAAAGAGAGAGAGAAAGAAAGGAAAGAAAGAGAGAGAGAGAAAGAGAGACAGAGGCAGAAAGTAAGTGTTGGTGAATATATAAAGAAATTGGAATCCTTGACCCTTGTACACTGTTGGTGGGAATGAAAAATGGTGCAGCCGCTATGGAAAACAATATGGAAGTTCCTCAAAAAATTAAAAATAGAACTACTACATGTTCTAGCAATTCTATTTCTGGGTATAAATAGAATACAGTTTTCCCACTGTATAAAAGAATTGTAAAAAATCTTGAAAAGCTATTTGTACACACACAGCCATTATATTAGTCAGCTTGGGCTACTGAATACCACAGACTAGATCGTATAAACCTATCTGAGCAGTCCAAGATCCAGGTGCTATCCATCAGTTCCTGGTGAGAGCTCTCTTCGTGGCTTACAGATGGCCATGTTGTTGCTGTGTCTTCCCACAGTGTAGAAAAAAGATCTGGTGTCTTCCTCTTCTTATAAAGGAACCAGCCCTATTGGATTAGGCCCCAACCTTATCTTATTTAACCTTTATCATCACCTCCTTACAGGCCTTATCTACAAACCCAGTCACACTGGGAGTTAGGGTTTCAATATATGAATTTGAGGAGAACACAATTCAGTCCACAGTACACATGTTCACTGCATTATTATTCACAATAGGCAAGAGGTGGAAGCAACTTAAATGTACATCAACAGATGAACAGATAAACAAAATATGGTATATACATACAAGAGAATATTATTCAGTCTTTTAAAAAGAAGTAAATCCTGTCATATGCTACAACAAGGATGAACCTTGAGGACATTATGCTAAGAGAAGTGTACCAGTCACAAAAGATGAAATAATGCATACTTATATAAAGCATCTAAAGCAGTGAAACTCACAGAAACAGAAAGTCAAATGGTGGTTTGTTGCCAGGAGCTAGAGGGAGGGTGAAGTAGGAAGTTGTGTTTGGTGGATGTAGACTTTCAGCCATGCAGGATAGGGGGATCCTGGGCATCTGTTGCATAACAATGTGCATGTTGTTGGCAATATTGTACTATATACTTGAAAATTGTTGGGAAAGTGAATTTTATTATATGATTTGCCATAGTTTAAAAAAAAAGAAAGGAAGTACCGATATACGCTAAAACATGGATGAACCATGAAGTTAATCACAAAAGACTACAATTTATAGATTTCAATTTATATAAGACACCCAAAATAGGTGAAGATACTGAAACAGAAAGTAAACTAGTACTTACCTACAGCTGGGATAGGGGAGTGTGTGTGGAAAAGAACTGGGAATAACTGCTAATGAGTACAAGATTTCTTGCTGGGGGACCATAGAAGCATACAAGCTATAAAGTAAAAGATCACTGAAATTTGAGGATAACAATTTTAAGATTCACTTAGACTAACTCCCTCTGTAACAGGTTAACCCAGATGAAGTACGTGACTCCCCCAAGAAAACATTTCCATTATCCCACTTTCAATGCATTTTATAATTTTTTTTTTTTTGAGAGACAAAGTCTCGCTCTTGTCCCCCAGGCTGGAGTGCAATGGCGTGATCTCGGCTCACTGCAACCTCCGCCTCCTGGGTTCAAGCGATTCTCCTGCCTCAGCCTCCCGAGTAGCTGGGATTACTGGCACCTGCCACCATGCCCAGATAATTTTTGTATTTTTGGTAGAGATGGGGTTTCACCATGTTGGCCAGACTGGTCTCGAACTCCTGACCTCAGGTGATCGCCCACCTCGGCCTCCCAAAGTGCTGGGATTACAGGCGTGAGCCACCACGCCTGGCCACATTTTATAATTTTTTTTTTTTTTTTTTTTTTTGAGACGGAGTCTTGCTCTGTCGCCCAGGCTGGAGTGCAGTGGCGCAATCTCGGCTCACTGCAAGCTCCACCTCCCGGGTTCACGCCATTCTCCTGCTTCAGCCTCTTGAGTAGTTGGGACTACAGGCACCCGCCACCACGCCCGGCTAATTTTTGTTTTTTGTTGTTTTTTTTTTTTAGTAGAGACGGGGTTTCACCGTGTTAGCCAGGATGGTCTCCATCTGCTGACCTCGTGATCCACCCGCCTCGGCCTCCCAAAGTGCTGGGATTACAGGCGTGAGCCACCGCACCCAGCCTTTATGATTTTTAAATAAAGTAAATTAGTGACAATTCAACCTTAGTGTTTAGAATTTCAAAAAAGATATTTATTGCACTCTTACGTTGATCCCTGCTTTCCCTTCAAAGTAGAAGAGAGAAAATAAGAGAAGAAAACTTTGAAAGACTAGTATTAAGAATATTTTCTTAATCCTAGCACTTTGGGAGGCCGAGGTGGGTGGATTGCCTGAGCTCAGGAGTTCGAGACCACCCTGGGCAACACAGTGAAACCCCATCTCCACTAAAATACAAAAAATTAACCAGGTGTGGCAGCATGCGCCTGTAGTCCCAGCTACTCGGGAGGCTGAGGAAGGTGATTTGCTTGAACCCAGGAGGGAGACGTTGCAGTGAGCCAAGATTGTGCCACTGCACTCCAGCCTGGGTGACCAGAGCAAGACTCCGTCTCCAAGAAAAATAATAACAATAATAATAATATTTTCTATGTGGGAAAGCAAATAAATACTAGTCAATGTGTATTTAATGTCTTAATAAATATACAACACCATTTCATGATTAGGAATAGAAAGGATCATTCTCAATGTGATAAAGGCATCTATGAAAAACCCACAACTGCTCTCCCTCTCCCTCTCCCCAGTCTCCCCGGTCTCCCCGGTCTCCCCGGTCTCCCTCTGATGCCAAGCCAAGGCTGGACTGTACTGCCACCATCTCGGCTCACTGCAACCTCCCTGCCTGAATTCTCCTGCCTCAGCCTGCCGAGTGCCTGGGATTGCAGGCTGGAGTGCAGTGGCGTGATCTCGGCTCGCTACAACCTCCACCACCTCCCAGCCGCCTGCCTTGGCCTCCCAAAGTGCCGAGATTGCAGCCTCTGCCCGGCCGCCACCCCGTCTGGGAAGTGAGGAGCGTCTCTGCCTGGCCGCCCATCATCTGGGATGTGAGGAGCCCCTCTGCCTGGCCGCCCAGTCTGGGAAGTGAGGAGCGCCTCTTCCCGGCAGCCATCCCGTCTAGGAAGTGAGGAGCGTCTCTGCCCGGCTGCCCATCGTCTGAGATGTGGGGAGCGCCTCTGCCCCGCCGCCCCGTCTGGGATGTGAGGAGCGCCTGTGCCCGGCCGCGACCCCGTCTGGGAACTGAGGAGTGTGTCTGCCCTACCACCACCCCGTCTGGGAGGTGAGGAGCCCCTCTGCCCGGCCGCCACCCCGTCTGGGAGGTGTACCCAACAGCTCATTGAGAACGGGCCACGATGAGGATGGCGGTTTTGTCGAATAGGAAAGGGGGAAATGTGGGGAAAAGAAAGAGAGATCAGATTGTTACTGTGTCTGTGTAGAAAGAAGTAGACATGGGAGACTCCATTTTGTTCTGTACTAAGAAAAATTCTTCTGCCTTGGGATGCTGTTAATCTATAATCTTACCCCCAACCCGCTGCTCTCTGAAACATGTGCTGTGTCCACTCAGGGTTAAATGGATTAAGGGCGGTGCAAGATGTGCTTTGTTAAACAGATGCTTGAACTCCCTAATCTCAAGTACCCAGGGACACAAACACTGCGGAAGGCCGCAGGGTCCTCTGCCTAGGAAAACCAGAGACCCTTGTTCACATGTTTATCTGCTGACCTTCCCTCCACTATTGTCCTATGACCCTGCCAAATCCCCCTCTCCGAGAAACACCCAAGAATTATCAATAAATACTAAAAAAAAAGAAAAAAGAAAAAAGAAAAACCCACAACTAACAGCATACTTAATGGTGAAAAACTAAAAACTTTCCTTCGAAGATCAGGAACGAGACAAAAATGTTGGCTTCCCCAAACCTATCCAAACTTGTACTGGAGATTCCCCTAGCCAGGGAAAGGAGACAAAAAGTAAAAATAAAGAAGAAAGAAAAAGAACAATGAAATAAAAAGACATACAGATTAGAAAGGAAGAAGTCAAGTCATCTCTGTTTGAAGATGGCATGGTCTTGTATTCTGCAATGTTGTTGAACTTTTATTAGCTCTAGTAATTTTTTGTAGGTTCCTTAGGATTTGCATATAAACAAATCCTAAGGAATCTACAAAATCCAAATTTGCTTGTATATAAGCAAATCCTAAGGAACCTACAAAAAAATTACTAGAGCTAATAAAAGTTCAACAACATTGCAGAATACATCAATATATAAAAATCAATTGTATTTCTGTACACTAGCAATGAGCAATCCAAATGCGAAATTAAGAAAATGAGCCCATTCATAATAGCATCAAAAGAACAAAATTATTAGGAATAAATGTAACAGAAGAAGTGCAAGATTTACACAATGAAAATGGCAAAACATCACTGAAAAAAAGTAATCTTATCTAAACAAATGAAGAGACATCCCATGCTCACTGATTATAAGACTTAATATTTATTAAGATGTCAATACTCCCCAAATTTATCTACATATTCAATGCAATCTCTTTCAAACACCAGCTGCCTTTCGAGTAGAAATTGACAAGCTGCTGCTTTATATGGAAATGCAAAGGACCCAGAATAGCCAAAACAATCTTGAAACAGAAGAACAAAGTCAGAGGATTCACATTTCCTGATTTCAAAACGTAATACAAAGCAACAAATAAAGACTGTAGCACAGTGTGGTACTGAAATAAAGACAGACATGCACATCAATGGAATGGAATTGAGAGTTCAGAGATAAACCCTTATATATATGGTGAACTGATTTTTGACAAGGGTGCCAAGACAATTCAATGGGGAAAAAATTGCCCTTTTCAATAAATGATGCTGTGATAACTAGATATCCATGTATAAAAGAATAAAGTTGGATCCCCTAACCTTGTATCATAAGCAAAAATTAACTGAAAATGGATCAGAAACGCAAAACGTAATAAGTAAATCTATAAATATCTCAGAATAAAACATAGGTGTAGATCCTTTATGATCCTGGATTAGGTAATAGCTTCTTAGCTGTGATACCAAAAAGCACAACAAAAGGAAAAATAGATAGAATGTCAACAAAATTTAAAACTTCTGTGCTTCAAAACACACCATAAAGAAAGTGAAGACAACTCACAGAATGGGGGAAAAATTTACAAGTCATATAACTAACAAAGTACTAGTATCCAGAATATAAAAAGAACTTTTATTTATTTATTTATTTATTTATTTGAGACGGAGTTTCGCTCTTGTTGCCCAGGCTGGAGTGCAATGGCGTGATCTTGGCTCACCGCAACCTCCACCTCCCGGGTTCAAGCGATTCTCCTGCCTCAGCCTCCTGAGTAGCTGGAATTACAGGCATGCGCCACCATGCCTGGCTAATTTTGTATTTTTAGTAGAGGCAGGGTTTCTCCATGTTGGTCAGGGTGGTCTCGAACTCCCAACCTCAGGTGATCCGCCCACCTTCACCTCCCAAAGTGCTGGGATTATAGGCATGAGCCACTGTGCCTGGCCATAAAAAGAACTCTTACGCCTTAACCACCTGACCCAGCAATTTCACTCTTGGGTATATGCAAGAGATATAAAAACATATGTCCACAAAAAAAAATTTGTACGTTAATACTCATAATGGCATTATTCACAATAACTAAAAAGTGGAAACAACCGCATGTCCATCAATTGATGAAAGGATAAAGGAAATGCAGTATATCCGTAATAGAATGTTATTGGGCAATAAAAGGAAATGAAGTGCTGGATATATGTTACAACATGGATGGACCCTGAAAACATTATGCTGAGTGAAAGAAGCCAGTCACCAAAGACTATATATTATATGATACGACTCAACTTACAGGATATGTCTAGAACAGGCAAATTTGAGACAGAAAGTAGATTAGTGGTTGCCAGAGGCTTGGGGAGGGAGTGAATGAAGAATTACTGCTAATGGACATGGGACTTCTTAGTGGTGTAAGAAAAATGTTCTAAAATTGACAGTGGTGACAGTTGCACAACTCTGTGGATACGCTAAAAAGCACTGAATTCTGCATTTTAATGGGTGAATTATATGCTATGTAGATTATATCCCAATAAAGCTGTTATAAAAAAGAAAATGTATATATGAATGGAAACAATTTTATAAAATAACATAAAAAAAGTTAAAATTTATTGCAACAACTGAAAATATAAGAAGAGATACAAATGGTCAGGTTGAAATTCCTAAAGAGGTAAATTTAGAGTTTTTTGGCTGGGCGCAGTGGCTCACGCCTGTAATCCCAGCACTTTGGAAGGCAGAGGCGGGTGGATCATGAGGTCAGGAGTTTAAGACCAGCCTGGCCAAAATGGTGAAACCCCATCTCTACTAAAAATATAAAAATTAGCTGGGCGTGGTGGCGCCCGCCTGTAATCCCAGCTACTCTGGAGGCTGAGGCAGAAGAATCGCTTGAACCTGGGAGACAGAGGTTGCAGTGAGCCGAGATCACGCCACTGCACTCCAGCCTCGGACCAAGCGAGACTCCATCTCAAAAAAAAAATTTAGAGTTTTTGAGGAAGCCCCAAAATAAATGCTAATTGACTAAAAATTGTCCATGTGAATAAAATGGGAAAGCATGGAAATAAGGAAAAAAAGAGATATGAGAGGAACACAATTCTTACTGCAAGGCGAAATATTTTGCGAAGACCTAGTAAAGAATTCTAGAGTCATGTTTCTTGAAAAACTTCCAAGTTTAACAAAGCCAATTCGGGCTGAGGTTATTTTCAGTACCACTGGAAAAACTGTATGAAAAGAATACATCATTTTCTAGGAATAGGACCACATATATAAGTTAGAATTATAAAATATTACTTGGAAAGAACTAGAAGTCAAATTTTCCATAATAAAGCAGGAATTCATCCTACCTGTAACATCTCTGACAGATGATCTACTTAGATGTTTTCAGGGGTGGCAAACTCACAAATTCAAAAGATAGGCCATGCATTGTTTCAATTTAAAAAGCTTAGAAGCAAATTAGATATCTTTGTCAAGATAAAACTAAGTTTCCTTTTCTTTTCGGCTTTTGTTTTTGTGGGTTTTTTTGTTGCTGCTGTTGTTGTTTTTTTTTCTTGAGACAGGGTCTCACTCTATCCATCAGGCTGGAGTGCGGTAGCACAATCAGGGCTCACTGCAGCCTCAATCACCTAGGCTCAGGTGATCCTCCCACCTCAGGCCCCCAAGTAGCTGGGACCACAGGCGCAGGCTATCATGCCCAACTAATTTTTTTGTAGAGACGGGGTTTCACCATGTTGCCCAGGCTGGTCTCTAACTCTGGGCTCAAGGGATTCACCCGCCTCAGCCTCCCAAAGTGCTGGGATTATAGGCGTAAGCCACTGTGCCTAGCCAAGATAAAACTAAGTTTTCATGAAAATGGCCGGTTTATTATCACTATTACCAGTGATGTACCATTTTATAGTTAACTTAGTATAGAAAGAAACATAGTATAAGAAATGCTTTTTTGAATCATGACCAAATGCAAAGGTAAACATAAAACTAAAATAAAAATTTCATGGAACAATACTTAAGGCAGTCATGTGTGGCTTAATGACAGAAATATGTTCTGAGAAATTTGTTGTTAGGTGACTTCATCGTATGAATATCATAGAGTGTACTTAGAGAAACCTGGATGACATAGCCTATTACATACCTAGGCTATATGATATAGCCTATTACTTCTAGACTATAGGATAGTTGTATAGCTATTCCACTGAATACTGTAGGTTGCTGCAACACAATAGTATCTGTGTATCTAAACACAGAAAAAGTAGAGCAAAAATACAGTATGAAAGATAAAATATGGTATACCTGTATAGGGCACTTACCATGAATGGAGCTTGTAGGACTAGAACTTGCTCTAGGTCAGTGTGTGAGCGGTAAGTGAATGTGAAGGCCTAGGACATTACTGTACCCTACTGTAGACTTCATAAACACTATACTTAGACAACATTACTTTTGTTTTTTATTTCCTTGATAATAAATTAACCTTAGATTACTCTAACTTTACTTCATAAACTTTTTAACCTGTGGTTTAACTGTTTTTAACATTTTTACTCTTATAATAAAACACTTAGCTTAAAACACGAACATACTGTATAACTGTACAAAAACATATATATATATATATATATATATATATATATGTATTTTTTTTTTGAGACAGGATCTGGCTCTGTCGCCCAGGCTGGAGTGCAGTGGCATGATCTCAGCTCACTGCAACCTCTGCCTCATGGGTTCAAGCAATTCTCCAGCCTTAGCCTCCGGAGTAGCTGGGACTACAGATGCCCACAACCACACCTGGCTAATTTTTTTGTCTTTTTTCAGTAGAGACGGGGTTTCACCATCTTGGCCAGGCTGATCTCAAACTCCTGACCTCAGGTGATCTGCCTGCCTTGGCCTCCCAAAGTGCTGTGATTACAGGCAGGAACCACCACACCCAGCCTATCCAGCTTATTTTTGAATTTTTTTGAAGAGAAGGGGTCTCACCATGTTGCCCAGGCGGGTCTGCAACTCCTAAGCTCAAGTGAGCTGCCCACCTCAGTCTCCCAAATTGCTGGGATTATAGACGTAAATAAATAAATAAATATATATATATATATATATATATATATTTTTTTTTTTTTTTTTTTTTTTTTTTTTTGAGACAGAGTCTCACTGTGTCACCAGGCATGAGTTTGAGCCCAGACTGGGCAACATACTGAGATCTCATCTCTACAAAAAATAAACAAAATTAGCCAGGCATGGTGGCACACCTTGTAGTCCTAGCTACTTGGGAGGCTGAGGTAGGATGCTCGCTTGAGCCCCAGAGGTCAAGGTTGCAGTGAGCCAAGATTGTGCCAGCCACTGCACTCCAGCCTGTGTGACAGAGCAAGACACTATCTCAAAAACAAACAAACAAAAAGATTAGGAAACAAAAAGAAGTCAGAAGGAGCCAAATCAGGACTATATTGATTTTCCATTGAAACTCTTTAAAAATTGCCCTTGTTTGATGACAGGAATGAGCAGGAGCATTGTCATGGTGGAGAAGGACTCTTTAACAAATTTCTCCCTAGTGTTTTTCTGCTAAAGCTTTGGTTTTCTCAAAACATTCTCATAATAAGCAGATGTTATCATTCTTTGGCCCTCCAGAAAACCAACAAGCAAAATACCTTGAGCATCCCAAAAAACTGTTGCCATGACCAGTCCATTTTGCTTTGACTGGACCACTTCCACCTCTTGGTAGCCATTGCTTTAATTATGCCCTGTCTTCAGGATATATTGGTAAAGACATGTTTCATCTGTTTTAATTTTTTCAAGAAATGCTTCAGGATCTTGATCCCATTTGTTTAAAAATTCCATTGAAAGCACTGCTCGTCTATAGCTGATTTGGGTGCAATGGTTTTGGCCCCCAATGAGATGAAAGTTTGCCCAAGTTTAATTTTTCAGCCAGAATTGTGTAAGCTGAATCACTTGAGATGTCTGTGATGTTCGCTATTGTTTTTGCTGTTAATCATTTGTCCCCTTCAAATAAGGCACAAACAAGGTTAATTTTTTCCTTGCAAATTTCCTTGCAGTCTGCCACTGCAAGCTTCATCTTTAACACTGTCCTGTCCTTTTTTATTTATTTATTTTTTGAGACAGAGTCTCGCTCTGTCGCCAGGCTGGAGTGTAGTCGTGCGATCTTGGCTCACTGCAATCTTTGCCTCCCGGGTTCAAGCAATTCTCCTGGCTCAGCCTCCCGAGCAGCTGGGACTACAGGCGCACGCCACCACACCCAGCTAATTTTTGTATTTTTAGTAGAGACGGGGTTACACCATGTTGGCCAGGATGGTCTTGATCTCTTGACCTCGTGATCCGCCCGCCTCAGCCTCCCAAAGTGCTGGGATTACAGGCATGAGCCATCATGCCCGGCCTGTCCTGTCCTTTTTTAAAACGAGTTATCCATTTGTAAAACTGCTGATTTCTTTGGGGCATTGTCCCCATAAACTTTTTGTAAAGCATCAATGATTTCACCATTCTTCTACCAAAGTTTCACTATAAATTTTATGTTTGTTCTTGCTTCAATTTTAGTAGAATTCATGTTGCTTTGATAGGAGCTTTTTTCAAACTGATGTCTTAGCCTTCCTTAGTGCCTCAAACTAGATCCTGTTCAAGTTTATTTTGGCACAAAAAATTTTTGAAAAACATGCAGAGTTTTTTCATAATATGCATTTTCCATGAACTTTCTGAGGTCCCCTTGTGTATCTATCTATACATATATCTATCTACCTACCTACCTACCTACCTATCTACTTACTCCTATTGGTTCTGTTTATCTGGAGAATCCTGACTAATACAAGTCCTAAAGATCCTGGAGGTCCAGTAAAGATGAAATTTAGCAGAGAGCATGCTTGCCTCTAGATCTAGCAAAGTAACATTCTTGAACATCCTAGACAGATGCTACCTTACCAGCTGGCAGATGGCTATATGATTTTCAGCCTCAAAGGTTAATTTAGATATAGGACTTGCTTACGGCTAGATCTGGCAAGGCAACACTCTTAAATATCCTTACTAGATACCACCTTACCAGCTGGCAGATGGCTATATATGGAATAAGGCCAGGTCAAACCTCAAAACAACAAAGTAGATTTAACAGCTGAGGATCCCTTTATCATTTTAGTTAACAACAACGACAACAAAACACACAGATTTCTGCTGCCTTTGATTTATTTTTAATTAAGGTAAAAACTTGCAAAACAAATGCCAATGCTATATGATAAAATGACTTTAAGATCAGAATCTGAGAAACAGAACAGATGTACCTATCTGTTGCATATTAGATAACATCTAATCTAGGATCATTTTAGTTTTAAAATAATAAAATAATAAAATCACAAAATAAACAGTCAACACAAACTATAATTAAAGAATGAGCGAGGCTGCAACTTATACTTAATTCATTATTATTTATGCTAACTTACGGTTTTTTTAACCTTAGTAATACTTGCATTTTGTGCCAGATGATTCTTTGTTGTGGAGGCTGTCCCACATATGGTAAGACGTGTTACAGCATCCCTAGATTCCATCCAGTAAATGTTAACAGTATCTCCTAGATGTTACAACCAAAAAATGTCTCCACATATTGCCAAATGTCCTTGAGTGCAAAATCACCTCTACTTAAATACCACTGTGCTAATGGAATGAAACAGCATGGTAAAGAAAAATCTCAAATAACCGGCAAGGAATAAATCATTACCTGGTGTTAGATATTAATTACTTTTCTGCTTATATGTGAACATGGACAACCTTTGTGATCTGAAAATTAACATTTCAAATTACAAAATGAAAACAAATCTTAAAGGAATTTTCTGACTGCATAAGCCCTTAAGAAGCCTTGATGAAAGAAAGGGAAGAGAGTTAATAACATTCATCATTTAAAATCTGCTGTACTGTTTTGCTTCATACTAGTTATTCTACATAACTTATTGTTTTTAATGGCAACCCCAAACACACATTTGTACATATGCACACACATACCTATACTTAATATATAAGTACCTATATTTATATATAAAAAGAATATTTCTGGAAAAACGTAAGAAACTTAACAATGGTCACTTTAAAGATGAAGAAAAAGAATTAGAGATCTAGAGTAGAAAAAAAGAGTTTTTCATTGGCTACTCTTTTGTACTGTTAGAATTTTAAAACAGTCATTGTGGCTTAACAATGGGAATAAGTTCTGAGAAATGCCTTGTTAGGAGATTTTGTTATTGTATGAACATCATAGAGTGTTCTTACACAAACCTACATGGTATAGCCTACTACACACCTAGGTTATAAAGTCTATTGCTCCTAGGTTACAAACCTGTACTCTATGTTACTATACTACTGAATATTGTAGGCAATACTAACATAACACAATGTTAAGTATTTATGTATCTAAACACAGAAAAAGTACAGTAAATATACAATATTACAATCTTACAAACCACCATCATATATTCATTAGGTCTGCTGTTGACCAAAAAACATCATTAAGTGGTGCATGACTATAAATGAATGTTTTACATTTTCAATTTTAAAATGCATTTAAATAAACCAAATTGTAATATAAATGTATCACTTTACAGATTAGAAAACTGAGACTCAAAGAGGTTTAATTGACCAGGCTCACTGAAAAGCAGTATTAACAAAATTCATACCTATGTTTGTATTACTCTCAAAACTCATCAACAGCAACAGAATACCTTGAAAAACATGTGTCTTATTTTTAACATCATCCAGAGGGAGCAATTTTTGTATTCTAATGTATTTATCTTTATACCATGCTTTCTACACAAAAGACAATAAAATATATGCAAAATCTATTATTGCTCCAGCAAAGGAGACATGATGGACACCAAAACATTAAACTGTTACTTAAAATTTCTTTCCCAAAATCTTAATGAAGTAGCATATTTTAGCAGATTGAAGTTGTTTAACAGCTGAGGAAATATATCTTGGTCTCCTCTAATCGTGAAAAATCCCAATTCTTTCTAAAGTTTTTAATCATTTAGAGTTCTTAAAATATAGATTAAGTTCATCAAGTTTTTTTTTTTTTTGGAGACAGAGTTTCGCTCTTGTTGCCCAGACTGGAGTGCAATGGCGTGATCTCAGCTCACTGCAACCTCCGCCTCCCGGGTTCAAGCAATTCTCCTGTCTCAGCCTCCTGAGTAGCTGGGATTACAGGCATGTGCCACCACACCTGGCTAATTTTGTATTTTTAGTAGAGATAGGGTTTCTCCATGTTGGTCAGGCTGGTCTTGAACTCCTGACCTCAGGTGATCCACCTGCCTCAGCTTCCCAAAGTGCTGGGATTACAGGTGTGATCCACCGCGCCTGTCCAAGTTGTTAATGTTATAAAATGCTTTGAATGAAAGTATATATAACCAAAGGACCCATCCAGTTGGCAAGCTAGGCAAAAAGAATGGGTCAAAATGATTCATCAGTAATGTCAGTCAAAGTTAGCAGTCCAGAAGACCTACTCTAGGCGTCTACCTTACTTAAATATACATCATTAATCCCATCCTATAATGCAATTAACTTAGCCCATTCAACAACTCCACATATTCAACAATTCCACATATTCAAAGTCTGAAGAATATTTTAAAAAGTAAACAATCCCAACTCTCAAGAAATGTGTAATCTAATGGGAAAGACAATCATGTAAACAGTGAATCATAAAACAAAAAGACTGTAGCACTTCTTTCAACAAATACTGCATACTGCTACAACTGAACTGTGTTCCCCCAAAATTCATATAATGAAGCCCTATCCCCCCTCAGTGTGACTATATTTGGAGATAGGGCTTTTAGGTACTAATTTAGGTTAAATGAGATGATAAGGATGGGGTCCTAATCCAAATGCATTGATGGCCTTATAAGAGAGAGATTTCTTTCTCTCTAATTTCACAGTGGAAGGCAACCCAGAGCTCTCACCAGAACCTGACTGCTGGCACCCTATCTTGGACTTCTAGCCTCCACATTGGAAGAAAGTAAGTTTCTGAAAATATGTTTAAGCCACATATTCTACAGTATTTTGTTACTGCAACCTGATATGGATTGGCTCTGTGTCCCCACCCAAATCTCATCTCAAATCGTAATCCCCATAATCCCCACGTGTCAAGGGAGGGAGGTGACTGGATCATGGTGCAGTTTCCCCCATGCTGTTCTCATGACAGTGAGTGGGTTCACAAGAGATCTGATGGTTTTACAAGTGTTTGGAAGTTCCCACTTCATGCTTCTCTCTCCTGCTGCCTTGTGAAGAAGGCACCTGCTTCCCCTTCTGCCACGATTGTAAGTTTCCTGAGGCCTCCCCAGTCATGTGGAACTGTGAGTCAATTAAACCTCTTTCCTTTATAAATTACTCAGTCTCAAGGAAGTTCTTTATAGCAGTGTGAAAATGGACTAATACACAGCCCAAGCAGACTAATATACTGCCCAATCTCTCTAGGGAATATCAAGGAATATTTTAAAATATCAGCATCACAGAAATATAACTTGAGCTAAACTGTCATAGATAAGTAAAGATTCAAAAAGCAGACCAGGAGAGAAGGAAATTCCAAGCAAGGGACGTATCATAAGCAAAAGCTTAGCAAGAACGTGTTAAGTTCCAGTAACCATAAATAGTTCAGTGTTACTGGAATGCAGAGTGGGAAAGGGGGAGTAGTAGTAGGAAATGATGCTGAAAATGTAAGCAGGAACCAGATGATGGATGTGCCATGATAAGGAGTTTGAACTTCATTTTGTAGGCCACAAGGAACCACTGAAGAATTTTAAGCAGGGGAATAAAATGAATAGATTTGTATTTTAGAAAAGTACTCTGGCGGAGTATGAAAAAGAGATTGGGGGAAGAAGAAAAGAGGGACATTTACCATCTAGAAACCTACTGCAATAATACAAGGAGAGAACTGATAAAGGCAGGAGCAGAGGAAAACAAGAAAGGAATAGATTCTAGAGATATTTATGGGGCCAAATGGAACTAGTATAGGCCCTGAAGTCACACAAAATACTTTACTTTCTTAAACTTGCTTTTGCTTTACTCTGTGGACCCACCCCAAAATCTTTCTTACAAGGTGCAAGAACCCTCTCTTGGGGTCTGGATCAAGACCCCTTTCCAGTAACACTATGGGCACATGCAAAGGCTTACAGTTAGATATATGTGGAAAGATGGAGAATTTGTGATGAACCTGAAAATGCCAAGATATCAAGAGATATAAAGGCATTTGAGAATATTAAGAACAGAACCATTGGAATAAATCTTTCCATTTTCATGGACTATAAGACAGTATGCGTGTGTACACATGTGTAAGAGAAAGGCTGGAGGCAGTGGCTCACACCTGGAATCCCAACACTTTGGGAGGCTGAGCAGGCAGGATCGCTTCAGCCCAGGAGTTCAGGACCAGTCTGGCAACACAGCGAGGACCCATCTCTACCAAAAAAAAAACTTTTTTAAAATTAGCCAGGGTGTGGTGGCATGCACCTGTGGTCCTAGCTACTCTGGAGGCTAAAGTGGAAGGACTGATTGAGCCTAGGAGTTTGAGGATGCAGTGAGCTATGACCGCACCATTGCGCTCCAGCCTGGCAGATGGAGTAAGCCCGTCTCTTAAAAAAAAAAGAGAGAGAGAAAGAGAGAGAGAGAAACAGAAGGAGAGAGACAGACTCGACTGCGGGGACAAGGGAGAGAGACTGGCAGTGTGTAGAGAGAGAGAAATAGGGACTCTGACAGTATGACAAGGGAGAGAGACTGGCAGTGTGTAGAGAGAGAGAAATAGGGACTCTGACAGTATGTGCACACATGTGTGTGCACGTGCTAAGAAAAGGGTAAAAGGTAAAGTTAGCATAGTAGAATATTATATTCTGTCCTATAAACACTGATCTGCAGACAGGAGGGAGCTACAGCTCTTTGTTGGGTATATTAAAAAAATGAAATTGCAGTTACCCCTAGGGGAAATTACACTGAATGCGGAACTGTAATAGGAATAGATCAGAGGTAAATAATAAAAGGTATTATTTATTTTATTTGTTTGTTTGTTTATTTTTGTGAAGACAGGATCTCACTCTGTCACCCAGGCTGGAGCACACTGGCATGATCTCAGCTCACTGCAACTACCACCTCCCAGGCTCAAGTGATCCTCCCACCCCTCGCCTCCTGAATAGCTGGGACTATAGCTGCGTGCCACCATGCCTGGCTAATTTTTGTGTTTTTTGTAGAGATGGGGTTTGGCCATGTTGCCCAAGCTGGTCTCAAACTCCTGAGCTCAAGCAATCCACCCACCTCGGCCTCCCAAAGTGCTGAGATTACAGGCGTGAGCCACAATGTCCAACCATAAAAAGTATTTCCTATAATGGTGCAGTAGAGGCATAATACAATTCTTAACTAGAGAAATACTGTGAGAATGGAAAAAAATGTAAATGAAGTGAAGAAATCAAACTACCTCAGAGAAATGATAGTATAGGAACGAAAAAGTTTTAAGGTTCAGAGGAAAACAAAGCCTTGTTAAGGGCTTGCTTCTTGTTTTTTTTTTTTCTTTTTACTTAATTTGATTTTTGGTCCACAAAAGCACTGTTTGCTTACTGTAAAAATTTTGTTGCAGAAATACATAACACATCCAATTGTTCACTAAATCCAATATACCTGCCCTTTTTTTTTTTTTTTTTTTTTTGAGCCAGGGTCTTGCTTGATGCCCAAGCTGAAGTGCAGTGGCGCGATCTCAGCTCACTGAGGTCTCAATCTCCCGGGCCTAAGCAATCCTCTCACCTCAGCTTCCTGAGTAGCTGGGAAGTACCAGGCACACATCACCACTTGGCACACCTGGCTAATTTTTGTATTTTCTGTAGAGACGGGGGTCTCACTATGTTGGCAGGTTTGTCTCGAACTCTAGGGCTCAAGTGATCCTCCCGCCTCGGCCTCCTAAAGTTTTGGCATTATAGGTGTGAAACACCTCGCCAAGCCCGCCTTCAATATTATCACTAGATTCCATCTAAATATACCACGTCCTATCCAATGCACCATCCTAGTCTTGAGTATCATCATATCTCGCCTGAATAACTTTAATGACTTCCTTAGTGGTTTCTCAACATCCTCTTATAATCCAATCTCTACATGGTAACCAGAGCAATTTATTTTATTTTACTTTTAAAGAGACAGGGTCTAACTTGGTACCCAGGCTAGTGTGCAGTGGCACTGTCATAGCTCACTGAAGCCTCAAACTCCCACGCTCAGTCACTCCTTCTGCCTCACCCTCCTGAGTAGCTAGGACTGCAAGTGCATGCCACCCACGCCCAGCTAGTTTTTAAATATTTGAAGAGACGGGATCTTACTATGTTGCCCAGGTGGGTCTCAAATTCCTGACCTCGAGTGATCCTCCTACCTCAGCCTCCCAAAGTGCTGGAGTTACAGACATGAGCCACCACACCCAGCCAAAATTTACTTTTTTTTTTTTTTTTTTTTTTGAGACGGAGACTTGCTCTGTCGCCCAGGCTGGAGTGCAGTGATACAATCTTGGCTCACTGCAACCTCCACCTCCCAGGTTCAAGCGATTCCTCCTGAGTACCTGGGATTACAAGCACCCGCCACCACGCCTGCCTAATTTTTGTATTTTTAGTAGAAATGGGGTTTCACCATGTTGGCCAGGCTGGTTTCAAACTCCTGACCTCAGGTGATCAGCCCACTATGACCTCCCAAAGTGCTGGGATTACAGGCGTGAGCCACCGTACCCGGCCATAAACTAAATTATATGCAATAACAATCCCAAAATCTCAGTGGCTTTAAATAACAGAAGTTTATTTCTTGCTCGTGTTCTATTTCCTATGGGTCACCAGGCAAGCTCTGATCATCCTAATCACTCAGGGCCTAAGTAAAGTGTTACTTCTGGCCACAGCATTTAATTGCTAATGTAAGACCATCCAAAACATTTTTTATCCTTCTTTCAAGCATTTCTTTGTTTAAGGATGCATCTTTTCAAGTATGTATCAACCATACAGGTTTCCTATTTTGTGAATTGCCTATTCAAATCCTTTCACATTTCCCTTTTGGATTGTTACCTTTTTAAAAAATATTTTTCATATTTTGGATAATTCTTACTTGATTACATATGTTACAAATATCTTACTCAATCTGTAGCTGTTTTTTCACTTTGTAATGCATCCTGCTGTATAGAATTTTAAAATGCAATTCAATGTATTAATCTTCCTTTTATTATTTTTGGTTTTTGTGCCCTTTTAAATAAATTCTTTTTTAGACCAAGGTCAAAAGGATATATTTTTTCTTCTAAAAGCTTTAAATTTTTCACATAAAGATTTTTTAAATAAGATTTATTTTTTCAGATGTTTCAAAATGTGATTTTGCCAACTTGGATTTTTGGTTTGTTTCTCTATCTTCCAACTCCCACTCACCAACTCCTCCACAGCATCTTTCCAGGTGCTTCCCCTCTATATCTGTTAAATAAAGTTTAGCCTAAAGCTGTCTCCTCATATCCTTTAATCTCGGCCCAGAGATTTTTCTATATAGTGAACTGTAACCCAACTCAATGTGTAAACAGATTATAACATACTCTTGTATCAATCACAAAGTTTTGGCCAATCACATGTTGCCAAATCTTCAAACCATGTTCAAATAAGACAAATGCCAAGCTGTAACCAATCGGCTATTTCTGTACCTCGCTTCTGTTTCCTGTACATTACTTTCCTTTTTCTGTCCATAAATCCTCTCCAACCATGCAGCAGCACTAGCGGCAGACTGAATCTATTCTGGCTGGGGCAAGGGGTGAAGATAGGGGTAGTCCTGACTCATAAAAAATTACTTGCTCGGCTGGGCATGGTGACTCACACCTGTAATCCTAGCACTTTGGGAGGGTGAGGCAGGTGGATCACCTGAGGTCAAGAGTTCGAGACTAGCCTGACCAATATGGTGGCATGTGCCTGTAGTCCCAGCTACTAGGAAGGCTGAGACAGGACAACTGCTTGAACCCAGGAGGTGGAGGTTGCAGTGAGCCGAGATTGCACCACTGCACTCCAGCCCGGGCGACAGAGCGAGACTCCATCTCTGGGGAAAAAAAAAAAATGTTTGCTCAATTAATCTCTTAAAATTTGTCTTGAAGTTGTCTTAAATTTATCTTAAAAGTTATTTTAACATATCTATCTCTTGCTCTCAGTCCAAAACTAGGTCTTATAATGGTATTTTGAGATGCCAACCTTGTAAAGACATTGGGGATATTGCAGATGCCTTTATAGAGCAAGTGAGTATATTGGCTAAATTTCTGGTACTAAGGGTATCTCTTAATTCTCATATTCCTTAGGTCCACAGCTTATTTTTATTTTATTTTTTGAGACGGAGTGTCGCTCTGTCGCCCAGGCTGGAGTGCAGTGGAGCGATCTCAGCTCACTGCAACCTCCACCTCCCAGGTTCAAGCAATGCTCCTGCCTCAGCCTCCAGAGTAGCTGGGATTACAGGCGCCTGCCACCACGCCCAGCTAATTTTTGTACTTTTAGTAGAGACGGGGTTTCACTGTGTTGGCCAGGCTGGTCTCGAACTCCTGGCCTCGTGATCCACCCGCCTCAGCCTCCAAAAGTGCTGGGATTACAAGCGTGAGCCACCACGCCAGACCTAGGGCCACAGCTTATAAAAAACGTGTTTTTTTTTTTTTCTTCAGACGAAGTCCTGCTCTGTCGCCCAGGCTGAAGTGCAGTGGCACAATCTTGGCTCACTGCAACCTCCACCTCCTGGGTTCAAGCAATTCTCTTGCCTCAGCTTCCCAAGTGGCAGGGATTACAGGCACATGCCACTATGCCCAGCTAACGTTTGCATTTTCATTAGAGACAGGGTGTCACCATGTTGGCCAGGCTGGTCTCAAATTCCTGACTTCAAGTGATCTGCCCGCCTCGGCCTCTCAAAGTGCTGGGATCACAGGGGTGAGCCACTGTGCCTGGCCTTTTTTTTTTTTTTTTTTTTTGAGACAGTCTTGCTCTGTCACCCAGGCTGGAGGGCAGTGACATGATCTTGTCTCACTGCAACCTCCGCCTCTAAGGTTCAAGCAATTCTCACGCCTCAGCCTCCCATGTAGTTGGGACGTCTGCACGGGCCACCACATCCGTGGTATGTAATTAAACAAATATAATTTTTGTATATTTAGTAGAGACAGGGTTTCGCCATGTTGGTCAGGCTGGTCTTGAACTCCTGGCCTCAAGCAATCCAACCACCCCGGCCTCCGAAAGTGCTGGGACTACAGCCATGAGCCACTGTACCTGGCCTTTTATCATTTCTCTTTTAGAGAGGAGGTCTTATGCTATTGCCCAGGCCAGAGTACAGTGGCGCCATCATAGCTCACTGCAGACTCGAATTCCTGGCTGAAACGATACCCCTGCCTCAGCGTCCTGAGTAGCTGGGACCACAGGCGCACGCCAACATCCCGAGAAATTTTTAAAATTTTTGTAGAGACAGAAAAGGGTCTTGCCACTGTGCCTAGGCTGATCTTGAACTCCTGGGCTCAAGCAATCCTCCCACCCCATCCTCCTCAACTGCTGGGATTACAGGTGTGTGCCACAGTGCCTGGCCAATGAAAAAAGTTTTTAACACCAAGAAGCAAGATGCTGTTCTCTTTCTGGCATCCTTTCAAGGAGACACAGCCCCCGTGTCTGAAGTGGGAGCCAAGTTCTGATCTCCTTCTCACATGGTCACTTTTGGACCCTGTCAGCCTGGCAAGAAATCATGGGAAAAACTGCCAACTTCTGGCCCCAGAGTTCAGTTAGGTAGAACACTTTGCTTTTCTATTCCAAGGAGGTGTTAAGCTTCATTTTTGAGCCTAGCCATGTTATTTTTTAGTATTTCACCTGTCAGCTGGGCATGGTGGCTCACACCTGTAATCCCAGCACTCTGGGTGGGCGAGGAGGGTGGATCACTTGAGGTTTGGAGTTCAAGACCAGCCTGGCCAACATGGCAAAACCCTCCACTAACAGTCCTTGGGTCATCATCTGATCCTTACATCTTTGTTGCTACTTTTTACTAATATCTAGCTCCCTATCTTTATTATTTTAAAAGAATATACAGGCCGGGTGCAGTGGCTCATGCCTGTAATCCCAGCACTTTGGGAGGCTGAGGCAGGTGGATCACCTGAGGTCAGCAGTTTGAGACCAGTCTGGCCAACAATGGTGAAACCCCATCTCTACGAAAAACAGAAAAATTAACTGGGTGTGGTGACATGTACCTGTAATCCCAGCTATTCAGGAGGCTGAGGCAGGAGAATCGCTTGAACCCACGAGGCAGAGTCTGCAGTGAGCTGAGATCATGCCACTGCACTCCAGCCTAGGAGACAGAGGGAGACTCTATCTCAAAACAAAGCAAAACAAAACAAAACAAAAACAATTTACAAACTTCACTGAAGATCAGACACTGGAAATGGCTAACTTAAAAAACTTTATGGCCGGGCACGATGGCTCACGCCTGTAATCCCAGAACTTTGGGAGGCTGAGGCAGGCGGGTCATGAGGTCACGAGATCGAGACCATCCTGGCTAACACGGTGAAACCCCGTCTCTATTAAAAATATAAAAAATTAGCCGGGCATGGTGGCGGACACCTGTAGTCCCAGCTACTCGGGAGGCTGAGGCAGGAGAATGGTGGGAACCCGGGAGGCGGAGTTTGCAGTGAGCCCAGATCGCCCCACTGCACTCCAGCCTGGGCGACAGAGCAAGACTCCGTCTCAAAAAAAACAAAAAAACAACTTTATGATGAGTACTTTGAATCAGCTACAAGACAAATAGCAGCTGTCATTCACATGTATCTTTGAAAGTGTTTTCTGCTTACTAAAGCAAGCTTTAACGGCCGGGTGCAGTGGCTCACGCCTGTAATCCCAGCACTCTGGGAGGCCGACGCGGGCAGATCACGAAGTCAGGAGATCGAGACCAGCCTGGCCAACACGGTGAAACCCTGTCTCTACTAAAAATACAAAAATTAGCTGGGTGTGGTGGTTTGTGCCTGTTATCCCAGCTACTTGGGAGGCTGAGGCAGGAGAACCGCTTGAACCTGGCAGGCGGAGGTTGCACTGAGCCGAGATCGCACCACTGCACTCCAGCCTGGCAATAGAGCGAGACTCCATCTCAAAACAACCACCACAACAAAATACAAACTTTAAAATGACATTACATGTTATTTACTCTACAGTTACCTATCAATTTCTTGAGTACTCCTGCTCAACCCATCCCACATTAAAAAAGAAAATCAAAAGTTCCCCCAGTTGTGTTTTCCCAACATCTATGAATCTTCTAGTGGAAGTGACTTTTTTTTTTTTTTAATGGGCAGAGACTGGGAAAGGGAAGCTTCTAGTCTACAGTTAAAGTCTAGTTCCATTCACCTCCCTACTTCCAAATTCTTTTTTTTTTTTTTTTGAGACGGAGTCTCACTCTGTCGCCCAGGCTGGAGTGCAGTGGCACAATGTCCGCTCACTGCAAGCTCTGCCTCCCAGGTTCACGCCATTCTCCTGCCCTTCCAAATTCTTAAAATTCCTCTCTGCCAAGCACCATTCAGTCTTGTATAATGCAAAACTTGTTTTAAAAAAAAAAAAAAAGGTGGGGGCGGGTAGCTTTGCTATCAAATACTATAGTGCTAAGAATACTAGTTACAAAGTTAAATTTCTGGAGAAGAAAGCCTTCTGTGATGATAACTGTACATCTGCAAATAGGTCCTGACCTGGTTTTAAACTTTTTTTTTTTTTTTTTTCCTTTTGGAGATGTGGTCTTATTGTCCAGGCTGGCCTCAATATAATTTCTCCCTTTTTTTGAGATGAAGTCTCACTCTGTCGCCCATGCTGGTGTGCAATGGCACTATCTCAGCTCACTGCAACCTCCGCCTCCTGGGTTCAAGCGATTCTCCTGTCTCAGCCTCCCGGGTACCTGGGATTATAGTCGTGTGCCACCATGCTCGGCTAATTTTTTTGTATTTTTGTAGAGACGGGGTTTCACCATGTTGGCCAGGCTGGTGTTGAACTCCTGACCTCAAGTGATCCACCCGCCTCGGCCTCCCAAAGTGCTGGGATTACAGGTGTGAGCCACCATGGCTGGCCTCAATTTCTCTTTTTTAAATGAAGCCTGGTAACATTTTTGTTCCTTCTAAGTTGGACCTCATAGATTAAAGGAATCAATTACTAAATATTGCATTATATTGCCTTAAAAACTCCTCATCCTGGCTGGGCGTGGTGGCTCATGCCTGTAATTCCACCACTTTGGGAGGCCAAGGCAGGTGGATGACCTGAGGTCAGGAGTTCATGACCAGCCTGGCCAACATGGTGAAACCCCATCTCTACTAAAACTACAAAAATTAGCCAGGCATGGTGGCATGCACCTGTGGTCCCAGCTACTCAGGAGGCTGAGGCAAGAGAATCACTTGAACTCGGGAGGTGGAGGTTGCAGTGAGCTAAGATCATGCCACTGTACTCCAGCCTGGACGACAGCAAGACTCTGTCTCAAAAAAAAAAAAAAAAAAAAAAAAAAAAATCATGCTTCTACAGATGTTTGCATACTCCAGACAGGACGTATAGGGTTATAAACGCATATTTAGTAATGTTAGCAGGCCTCATCCTTCAACTTAAACCCAAAAACCTTAACTGTAAACAATGTTAGAAAGGAGTCTGAATGTTTTAAGACAAAGCAATAAAATTCACAGTTTCTCTGTATAAATTATTTTAATTAACTATACTATCTTATTTAATAAGGATATTCTCAAGTTTAATTTTGTAATTGCTCATTATTTCTTTGAATAAATGTATTTTGAATAGATGTTTATAAAGCTACCTTTTGATGGTCAAGAGTCTTTTGTATTTTTTTCTTAGTCTTTTATTTTTTGTTAGATACATCCTAATTTCCCTAATTATTATAAGCAATAAGCAACATAAGGCAATTAATTATTCAATTATAACTCTAGAGGAAAAATGGAAGGGATAAAAGCATTATTATGAAAATCTTCTGATTTCTTTACAGCAAATGACTATCATTCCATTCCCTTTGGGATTTTTTTAATTTTTTAATATAATTTTTAAAATATGTAAAATAGATACGAGGTCTCACTATGTTGGCCAGACTGGTCTCAAACTCCTGGCCTAAAGCCATCCTCCTGCGTTGGCCACCCAAAGTGCGCGTATTACAGGCATGAATCGCTGTGTCTGGCCCCCTTGGGTTTTTAATAACCTTTTTTCTAATTTCTCATATTGCTTTTCGGGGAAAAGCATTGTAAAGAGTAGTGAAAAGCTAAAGAATCAACAAGACGCTGTTTTCTTCTAGAGACATTTGACACTCTAAACATTTAAGATCTTACTTATGGAAACTGAAATACTTCACTGTTTCACATTTCCCAGTTAAGACTTCATTTAAAAAAAACATACACCAGGTGCAGTGGCTCATGCCTGTAATCCCAGCACTTTGTGAGGCCGAGACGGGTGGATTACAAGGTCAGGAGTTCAAGACCAGCCTGGCCAAGATGCTGAAACCCCATCTCTACTAAAAATACAAAAAGTAGCCAAGCATGGTGGCACGCGCCTGTAATCCCAGCTACTCAGGAGGCTAAGGCAAGAGAATCGCTTAAACCTGGGCAGCAGAGGTTGCAGTGAGCTGAGATCTTGCCACTGCACTCCAGCCTGAGTGACAGAGCAAGACTCTATCTCAAAAAATAGAAAATAAAAATAAATAAATGAACAAAAATAAACATAAATCCCAAAAGAAATTTTTAAAAACTACCTAGAAAATGTTACGCTAATTAGTACATGGCATTTTAAATAAGTGAATCGCTGAATAAAAAAGTAAATTGTTAAAACAAAAATACATAATGTTAAATTTGACTTTAAAATGAAGGCAATTTAATTTTCAAATAGAAAGATATGAGGGAAATCTTACTATTCTTGCCATCTGAGGACTAAACTCTGACCTTTTTCTTCTCCTCAAATTTCTATCTGAGGGACCTGGGGAGTCACGCCTTACAAACCATAGTCTCATCAGAGGGGTTTTATTTAACCCTACATAATGTGGCTTACCTGACTCTGACATAACATCACATGACAGATAAGGAAAGAAATCAGAATATTTTAACCCCAAATATGTTTATTTGCCATATCTTGAAATAGCCTACAAAGCTGTCTCTTGGGAAAATCCACATTCTGCAGAGAATCCCCTTCCCTTTCCAGGTCTTTTCCCTGATCCAGAAGAGAATCCACTAACAGTCTGGCACCTTTTAAAGACTGATAAGATACATTTACAATCTATTCTCTGTGAAGCCTGCTACAAGGAAGCTTCATTTGCATAAGAACCTTGGTCTCCCCCACCCCTTATCTTAACCCAGACATTTCCTTCTATTGATTCCAGGTCTTCAGAGGGTAACTTAACTACAAAATCTTTGAATCTGCCTATGACCTGGAAGTCCCCCCTTTCTGAACTGAAACAATGTTCACCTTACATGTGTTGACTGGTATCTATAACTTCTGCCACCCTAAAATGTATAAAATCAAGCTGTAACCCAAGCACCTTGGACACATGTTCTCAGGATTGCCTGAGGGCTGTGTCATGGGCCCTTGGTCACTCATATTTGGCTCAGAATAAATCTCTTCAAATATTTTACAGAGTTTGAGTCTTTTTGTCAACACATCTAATTAAATGTCAAGATAAATTTACAGATGCCTTTACTGTATGTCTTAGGCAAAACAGATAATGTCATCTAAAAAGAGATTTTTAATCTGCAGACTTTGGAACCAGACCCTGAGTTCTGGCTATTATATTGGGCAAATCACTTAATTTTGTCTGTTCTCACTCCTCATGTAGAAGGGCCTGGATGCTTTAGAAAGATTAGATAAGAAATACAAGCATACCTCAGTGATATTGCAGGCTTAGTTCCAGAACACTGCAATAAAGCAAATATCACAGTACGGCAAATCACATGAATTCTTTGGTTTCTCAGTACATATATAAGTTATGTTTATACTGTAGTCTGTTAAGTGGGCAATGGCATTAGGTCTAAAAAAAAACATGACGGGCCAGGCACGGTGGCTCACACCTGTAATCCCAGCACTTTGGGAGGCCAAGGTGGGCAGATCAGGAGGTCATGAGATCAAGACCACCCTGGCTAACACGGTGAAACCCTATCTCTACTAAAAAAACAAAAAATTAGCCGGGCGTGGTGGCGGCCACCTGTAGTTCCAGCCACTGGGGAGGCTGAGGCGGAAGAATGGCATGAACCCAGAAGGCAGAGGTTGCAGTGAGCCGAGATGGCAGCACTGCACTCCAGCCTGGGTGACAGAGTGAGACGCTGTCTCAAAAAAGAAAAAAAAAAAAGGAATATAGAAAAAGCCATGATCAGGCCCCTGCACTCCTGCCTTGGGACTCCGTCTCAAAAAAACAAAACAAAAAACGTAATGTACATTCCTTAATTTAAAAATACTTCATGGAAGGCTGGGCGCAGTGGCTCATGTCTGTAATCCCAGCACTCTGGGAGGCCAAGGCGGGCGTATCACCTGAGGTCGGGAGTTTGAGACCAGCCTAACCAACATGGAGAAACCCTGTCTCTACTAAAAAATACAAAATTAGACGGGCATGGTGGCGCATGCCTGTAATCCCAGCTACTCAGGAGGCTGAGGCAGGAGAATCGCTCGAACCCGGAAGGCGGAGGCTGCGGTGAGCCGAGATCGTGCCATTGCACTCCATCCAGCCTGGGCAAAAAAAGTGAAACTCCGTCTCAAAAAAAATAAATTAGCCGGGCATGGTGGCAGGTCCCTGTAATCTCAGTTACTCAGGAGGCTGAGGCAGGAGAATAGCTTGAACCTGGGATGCAGAGGTTGCAGTGAGCCAAGATCGTGCCACTGCACTCCAGCCTGGGCGACAGAGGGAGACTCCATTTCAAAAAAGAAAAATGTGCTAGGCTGGGCGCCACGGCTCACGCCTGTAATCCCAGCATTTTGGGAGGCCAAGGCGGGTGGATCATGAGGTCAGGAAATTCAGACCATCCTGGCTAACACAGTGAAATCCCGTCTCTACTAAAAACACAAAAAATTAGCCGGGCGTGGTGGCGGGTGCCTGTAGTCCCAACTACTCGGGAGGCTGAGACAGGAGAATCGTGTGAACCCAGGAGGCAGAGCTTGCAGTGAGCCAAGATCACACCACTGCACTCCAGCCTGGCCAACAGCGCAAGACTCTGTCTCAAAAAAAAAAAAAGAAAAAGAAAAAGAAAAAAGTCCTTTGTTGTCATTTAAACAATGTTTACAGCGTCTGCACAAGTAGATTCCACCTCAAGAAACAACTTTCTTTGCTCATCCATAAGAAGCAACTTTTAAACAGGGCACAGTGGCTCATGCCTGTAATGCCAGCATTTAGGGAGGCTGAGGCGGGCGGATCACGAGGTCAAGACATAGAGACCATCTCGGCCAACACGGTGAAACCCCGTCTCTACTAAAAATACAAAAATTAGCTGGGCGTGGTGGCACGTGCCTGTAGTCCCAGCTACTTGGGAGGCTGAGGCAGGAGAATCGCTTGAACCCAGGAAGCAGAAGTTGCAGTGAGCCGAGATCGCACCACTGCACTCCAGCCTAGCGACAGAGCAAGACTCCATCTCAAAAAAAAAAAAAAAAATTATCCAGGTGTGGTAGTGCACACCTGTAGTTCCAGCTACTTGGAAGGCCGAGGTGGGTTGATAAAGCCCAGGAGGTTGATGCTGCAGTGAGCTGTGACCACGCCATTGCACTCCAGCCTGGGCAAGAGTGAGACCCTTTCTGAAAAAGAAAAAAAAAAAAGCAACTCTTCCTCCATTCAAATTTTCTCATGAGACTGCACCAATTCAGTCACATCTTCAGGTTCAACTTCTAATTCTAGTTCTCTTGCTATTCCACCACATCTGCAGTAACTTCCTCCACTGAAGTCTTTAACCTATCAAAGTCATCCATAAAGGTTGGAATCAACTTCTTCCAAATTCCTGTTAGTACTGATATTTTAACCTCCTCCCATGAATCACTGATTCTCTTAAAGGCATCTTGAATGGTGAATTCCTTCCAGAATGTTTTGCATTTACTTTGCTCAGATTCAGAGGAATCACTATCTATGGCAGCTATAGCCTATGAAATATTATTTCTTAAATAAGATTTTAAAGTTAAAATTACTCCTGGATCCATAGGCTGCAGAATGGATGTTGTCTTACCAGGCATGAAAACAACATTCATCTCCTTATACATCTACATCAGAGCTCTTGGGTGATCGGGTGCATTGTCAATGATCAGTAATATTTTGAAAGCAATCTTTTTTTCTGAGCAGTAGTTCTCAATGGTGGGCTTAAAATATTCAGTAAGTCATGCTGTAAGCAGATGTGCTGTCATTCAGGCTTTGTTGTTCCATTCATAGAGCACAGGCAGAGCATATTTAGTATAATTCTTAAGGGCTCTAGGATTTTCAAAATGGTAAATAACCATCGGCTTCAACTTAAAGTCACCAGCTGTATTAGCCCCTAACAAGAGAGCTGACTTGTCCTTTGAAGCTTTGAAGCCAGGCATTGATTTCTCTCCAGTTACGTTTATTTATTTATTTATTTTTCTTTTGAGATGCAGTTCCGCTCTTGTTGCCCAGGCTGGAGTGCAATGGCGCAAACTTGGCTCACCGCAACCTCCGCCTCCCAGGCTCAAGCAATTCTCCTGCCTCAGCCTCCCAGGTAGCTGGGATTACAGGCATGCAGCAACACACTCAGCTAATTTTTTGTATTTTTAGTAGAGACAGGGTTTCTCCATGTTGGTCAGGCTGGTCTCAAACTCCCAACCTCAGGTGATCTGCCCGCCTCGGCCTCCCAAAGTGCTGGGATTACAGGTGTGAGCCACTGAGCCCAACAATTTCTCTCCAGTTATAAAAGTCCTAGATGGTATATTCTTCCAACATAAAAATGTGTCATCTACATTGAAAATCTGTTGAGATTCAGCCTCTACTAACTTTAAACTTTTCTTCTGTAGCTTCCTTACCTCTCTCAGTTTTCACAGAAGACTGAGGGGGCTGGGCACGGTGGCTCACACCTGTAATATCAACACTTTGGGAGGCCAAGGGAAGCGGATCACCTGAGTTCAAGACCAGCCTGGACAATGTGGCGAAACCCCATCTCTACTAAAAATACAAAAATTAGCCGGGCATGGTGGTGCACACCTGTAGTCCCAGCTACTCAGGAGGCTGAGGCAGGAGAATTGCTTGAACCCAGGAAGTGGAGGCTGCAGTGAGCCAAGATTGAACCACTGCACTCCAGCCTGGGCGACAGAGGGAGACTCTGTCTCCAAAAGAAAAAAACAAGACTGAGGGTTAGGGTGTTGCTCTGAGATTAGGTTTTGACCTAAGGGAATGTTGTAGTTAGTTTAATCTATCCAGACCACTTAAACTTTTTCTCTATCAGCAATAAAGCTGTTTAATTTTCTTATCATTCCTGTATTCACTGGAGTAACACTTTTAATTTTCTTCAAGAACTTTTCCTTTGCATTCACAACTTGGCTAACTGGAGCAAAAGGCCTAGCTTTCAGCCTGTCTTGGCTTTCAGCATGCCTTCTTCCCTAAGCCTAATCATTTTTAGCTTTTGATTTAAAGTGAAAAACGTGCAACTCTGTCATTCACTTGAACACTTAAAGGCCATTGCAGGGTTATTAATTGGCCTAAATTCAATATTTGTGTCTCAGGAAACGGGGAGGCCTGAAAACAGGGAGACAGGGGAACAACAGCTGATAGAACAGTCAGAACACAAACATTTATTAAGTTTGCCATTTTATATGGGTGTGGTTCCTGGTGCCCCAAAACAATTACAATAGTAACATCAAAGATCACTGATCACAAATCACTATAACAAATGTAATAATTAAAATGTTTGCAACATTGCAAGAATTACCAAAATATGACACAGACATGAAAAGAGCACATGCTGTTGGAAAAATGGTGTTGAGTGACTTGCTTGATGCAGAGTTACCCCAAACCCTCAATTTGTTCAAAACACAGTTATCTGTGAAGTGCAATAGTGAAGCACAATAAACAAGGTATGCCTGTGTATGTATATGTATATATGAAACATATATTAATAATATAAGGTTGGGCGTGGTGGCTCATGCCTGTAATCCCAGCACTTTGGGAGGCTAAGGTGGGCAGATCACTTGAGCTCAGGAATTCCACACCGCCTAGGCAACATGGTGAAACCTCATCTCTACTAAAAATACAAAAAATTTGGCGGCGTGGCAGTGCACGCCTGTGGTCCCAGCTATTCAAGAGACTGAGGTGGGAGGATCATTTGAACACGGGAGGTGGAGGTTGCAGTGAGCCAAAATAACACTACTGTACTCCAGCCTGGGCAACAGAGTGAGACCCTATCTCAAAAAAAAAAAGTAATATAATTAATAACATTTTTAATATATAATGAACAATATGTAATATATATTAGATAGATGGGTATCACACACATACAAATGATTCTTGTATGTTCTATATAGTTATTGCAAACACTGAATTAGTGAACAATGAACCATTGCTTCTAGGAGAAATACAAGGTTAGATTGCTATAAGCCTGTGCTCACCACATTTGCATTAACAGATCAATATATAATGTTGTTTTGTGTGCGTGTGATTGTTTAAAGTCACTTTAATATATTTTGTTGATGCACTGACACTCAACTCCTGGCTACCAGCACTATAATTCATGCCTGTATAACTCATGACTGACTGAAGATTATCTAACATAGGTATTTTCTCCCTAAGGAAAAGAGCTTTCTTGCACTTAGAACACCAGACAACACTTTAGCACTATATTTGTGGGCCATTTTGAACAGTGAAATCACCAGCAAAAAGCACAAAAATGAGAAAAATATGGCACTAAATGGGCCACGAACAGGACATTTGTTTATGGCATGAGACCTGAAACAAGAAGTCAGAATGTGGCCTTGTTTGACCTCAGCTGAGAACGTGTGCATCAGGTGACTTACATTTTTCACAGCTCTATAGATATCCTTATATGACTACAAAAACACTATGCATATTAATTTGGGGGTTACAAATAAATTTCAGTGAGTAGGAACATTTACAAATATGGAATCCAAGAACAATGAGAATCAACAGCATGTAAGTGTGTACACACACACACACACACAGCATATAGTACACATTAAACTAATACTTCTCCTCTTCCTGCCTTAATTTCATATTCTTACAACTATCAGTGAAATAGTAATTACTGAAGACCATAGGTATAAACATAAGAAAATCAGTTTGCACAAAAAAATGTCTAAAATAATGTGGTTAATGATTACATAAACTCTAGTATCCCTTTAAGATTTATTAGACCCAGATTATAAAATTTACAAAACTAAAAATTCCTGCTTATATTTTTATTGAGAAATATAGGTGCCAAATATAAATTATATTTTTTAAAGTATAACAGAAACGGCCGGGCACGGTGGCTCACGCCTGTAATCCCAGCACTTTCGGAGGCCGAGGCGGGCGGATCACGAGGTCAGGAGATCAAGACCATCCTGACTAACACAGTGAAACCCCATCTCTACTAAAAATACAAAAAAATTAGCAGGGCATGGTGGCGGGCACCTGTAGTCCCAGCTACTCGGGAGGCTGAGGCAGGAGAATGGCGTGAATCCAGAAGGCGGAGCTTGCAGTGAGCCGAGATTGCGCCACTGCACTCCAGCCTGGGCGACAGAGTGAGACTCCATCTCAAAGAATGAATCTGCCAAAAGTATTACCTGAAATTTATTGATAGATTTTGGTGATTTCGTTTTGTTTCTTTGTTTGTTTTTTGGTGACTTCATTTTACTATCTCAAGAATTCCTTCTATCATCTTAAATATATTTAAGATTATTAGAGACACATACGCATGTGTCTCTAATACATGTGTTTTCAACTTTTTAGTTGGAAAATGTTTTAAACTTACAGAAAAAATGCAAAAATAGTATAGAGTTTTTGTATAACCTTTACCCAGCTGCTCCTAATATTAACAAACCTTACATAATCACTTGCAATTATGAAAACCAGGAAATGTACACTGACACAATTAACTTCAATATAAGATCTCATTTGAATTTCATCAATTTTCCCACTAATGTCCTTTTGCTGGTCCAGGATTTAATCAAGAATTCCACAAATTGTAATACTTCTTTAGATCGCTCCAATATGCAATAGTCCCTCAGTTCTTTCTTGTTTATGACTTTGAGACTTTTTTAAAGTACTGGGAAGTTATCTTGTAGAATGTTCCTCAATTTGGGTTTATCTCTGTTTTCTCATGATTAGACAAAAATTACCTTTCCTGGCAAAAAATACCACAGAGGCGATGCTATGTCCTTCTCAGTGCACTGCATCAGGAAGCATCTGACGTGTTAAATAAACGTATAGAAAGCCACTGTTTTGGGCTGAGTTTCTACACTAGACTCCAACAGAGCACACAAAACCTGAATGGAGTCACTCCTGCTAGGCACCACATAATCAAACTGAACAATAAAATGGGCCAGTTTTCCAACAAACAGGCCATTCACAGCAACCAATCAGAAGGGGCCCAGTTTATTTGTGCTAGCAAGATAATGAAGTTCCTCTGTTTTAACCCTACAAGGAAAGTAATTTTGTAATGAGCAATCACTCTTTTTCCTTGTTTCTGCCTTCTTCAGCTTTTTTCTACCAATAAAGCCTGCCTCCACTGCTCAGCTCATTGGAGTGCCTTTGTAAATCTTTAGATGGGATGCTGCCTGATTCATGAATTGCTAATAAAAGCCAATTAATCTTTAAACTTGGTTTGTCAAAATTTTTGTCTTCTGACAGATGTCAATGTGTCACCAGGTTAGAGTGGTATATCCAGATTTCTCCAGTGTTACATTACAAAGGTTCCCCTTTGTAATGAATAAGTATTTTGTAGGGCAGATACTTAGAGCCTATTTAAATACCGTGTTTCTTACCACACTTTCACCCACTAATTTTAGCATCCATTGGTTGATTCTTGCCTGCAACAAGAACCTGCCATGGAGATCGCCTAATGATGATTTTCTATTTCCATCACTCCTTCTATTTATTAACTGAAATTCTACTGTAAAAACAAAAAAAGAGCTGCCTCTCAATTTTACTGTGAACATAAAATTGCTCTAAAAATAAAGTTTACTATTTTTTATTATTATTTTTAAAAATAAAAAGACTGGGCGCAGTGGCTCACGTCTGTAATCCTAGCACTTTGGGAGGCCGAGGCGGGCGGATTACGATGTCAGGAGATTGAGACCATCCTGGCTAACACAGTGAAACCCCATCTCTACTAAAAATACTAAAAATTAGCCGGGCGTGGCAGCGGGCGCCTGTAGTCCCAGCTGCTCGGGTGGCTGAGGAAGGAGAATGTTGTGAACCCGGGAGGTGGAACTTGCAGTGAGCCCAGATCGTGCCACTGCACTCCAGCCTGGGTGACAGAGCAAGAGACTGTCTCAGATAGCTAGCTAGCTAGATAGATAGGCTGTCCTTTCTCCCTTGTTTATATTAGTATGGACTCACTGATATTTATTATATTCTATGGATTCGAATCCAATACTATGATTATTTATTTTGTCTTAGCTTTGACCAATGGAACTATCTCTTCAAGTTGGTTAGATCCTTTCATATGCCCCTATCATTTTTTAGTTACTTTCTGATACCATTAAATGTTTCAGGTTCATTTTGATTTTCCCTGCCTCAGTCCTGGAATCAGTCATTTCTCAAGGGTTCTTATTAGTGGAGAATGTTATTTAGAAACCAAGATCTGGGGCCGGGCATGGTGACTCACACCTGTAATCCCAGCATCTTGGGAAGCCGAGGCGGGCGGATCACTTGAGGTCAGGAGTTTGAGACCAACCTGGACAACATGACCAAATCCCATCTCTACAGAAAATACAAAAATTAGCCAGGCGTGGTGGCAGATGCCTATAGTCCTAGCTACTAGGGAGGCTGAGGCAGGAGAATCACTTGAACCTAGGAGGTGGAGAGTGCAGTAAGCCAAGACCGTGCCACTGCACTCCAGCCTGGGCGACAGGGTGAGACACTGTCAAAAAAAAAGAAAAAGAAAAGAAATCAAGATCTGGGGCACTATTGTGGTCACTGCTACTGTGGTATTCCTAATTCTAGGTCCTCTCAGTGGAGAGAGTTAGGAACCTAGGTCTTATTATCCACAATATTTTCTAATTTGTTTACTGTTAAGTATATATATAAAGTAGAATTGCTAACCCCTGCCCCTATGAGAAAGAAACTTACTAATGACACCACAATATTTGCATATAATTCTTTTTGTCTTTAGCCTTATAATTTTCCAAAGTATCTTAGACAAGTTATTTTCTTCCCCAACCCCTTCAGTGTATTATCCATTTATAATACAATTAGGTTTGTGTGTTATTGTTTATATACCTTTTTGAGTTCTCCCCACATCCTGGTTGACCTGCATGATTCGTTTGTTTCGGAGATCATATGTCTGTCATTTTTGTTTTTGTTTTTGTTTTAATTAATAGAGACAGAGTCTTACTATTTTGCCCAGGCAAGTCTCAAATTCCTGGGTTCAAGTGATCCTCCTTGCCTCAGCCTCCCAAAGTGCTAGGATTACAGTCATGAGCCACCATGTCCAGCCTGTTTTACAGATCATATACCTGTGGGGTTTTTGGTTTTGGAAAATATAATTTTTTTGAAATATATGTGTAATCTTATATATATATTTTGAGACAGAGTCTTGCTCTGCATGAAGGCTGGAATGAAGTGGCGCGATCTCAGCTCACTGCAACTTCCCCGCCTTCTGGGTTCAAGTGATTCTCATGCCATAGCCACCCAAATAGCTGTGATTACAGGTGTGCACCACCACACCTGATTAATTTTTGTATTTTTTATAGAGACAAGGTTTCGCCGTCTTGCCCAGGCTGGTCTCAAACTCCTGGCCTCAAGTGATTCACCCACCTCGGCCTCTCAAAGTGTTGGAATTACAGGCGTGAGCCACTGCGCCCAGACTCATATACCTGTTTTGATGAACATTTAAGAAGAGTAGTTTGTTCCTTTGGCTAATTATGGGACTAGGAAGAAAATGCAGTATCTCCTTGACAAGGAAACACTCACACTACTCCTGATATTAATGAATCAACTGAAAACGTCCAGACATGTCCAGACATAGAATACAATAATATACCACAAAGCAGATAAAGCAACAGATAAAAACAAATTTTAAAAAATACTTATATGACCATTGTTTGATGTTATACCCTGTGTTTCCAAGATAGTTCAAGTGGAATGCGAAATAAAAACATGGATAATCTTCCTGTTTCCTTGTAGGTCCTACGCCCTATTTCCTGCTTCTTTCAAATCTCAAAGATAGAAGACTGATTACAGTGCCTGGAAGTCCTTCATGTAATTAATACTAATGCTTACAAGAACTGAATTTTTATTTATTCTAAAAACATTTGTTGCATGCCTCCCCTCTGTACCAGACACAGTGAGAAGTGCTTTATGTACTTTTATCTAACCAAATAAGTGCTTTGGAGAAGACCCATTAACTATGCTATGGTTCACATTGATTTGTTTCCTCTCTAGATTTTATACACCATTGTGCCAGTACAGTCAAGATCTGGTGATAATGAAAAGCTAACAGCAAAAATTTGTCAAAACTAACCTTTTATGAGAAACAATTTAACCTACTGGTGCACTTAGGTGGATATTTGATAGAGCTAAGAAGCAACCACAGACATATGGTTTCTGTGAGGAAATAAGAATATGAAATTATTTTGCCACCTAAAACTGCAAAAGTAAAAAGCACTTCATAGAAGAATAGTCTTTTAGCATTTTACCCAAAATCAGACATGACTATTCAGAGCTATACATTATTTTATACAACAAACAGATTTGGTTTTTCTCAATCTTGTTTTCTTTATGAAATCCTGAGTTAAAGCCCAGGCACGGTGGCTCACGCCTGTAATCCCAGCACTTTGGGAGGCAGAGGCGGGCAGATCACGAGGTCAAGAGATCGAGACCATCCTGGCTAACACGGTGAAACCCCGTCTCTACTAAAACTACAAAAAAATAGCCAGGCGTGGTGGTGGGCACCTGTAGTCCCAGCTACTCGGGAGGCTGAGGCAGGAGAATGGAGTGAACCTGGGAGGCGGAGCTTGCAGTGAGCCGAGATCACGCCACTGCACTTCAGCCTGGGCTACAAAGCGAGACTCCGTCTCCAAAAAAAAAAGAAAAGAAAAAGAAAAAGAAATCCTGAGTTAAAAGAAGTTATGCAGAATAAAGTATAAATACAGTTTTTTTTTTGTTTTTGTTTTTGTTTTGAGACGGAACTCCGTCGCCCAGGCTGGATCTTGGCTCACTGCAAGCTCCGCCTCCCGGGTTCACTCCATTCTCCTGCCTCAGCCTCCCGAGTAGCTGGGACTACAGGCGCCCGCCACCACGCCTGGCTGATTTTTTTGTATTTTTAGTAGAGACGGGGTTTCACCATGTCAGGATGGTCTCGATCTCCTGATCTCGTGATCCACCCGTCTCGGCCTCCCAAAGTGCTGGGATTACAGGCGTGAGCGACCACGCCCAGCCAAATACAGTATTATTAAGGAGCAGTACCTGATCACACCAAAATTTATGATAACCAACAAGGTGCCCCAAATGAACAAAACAAATATACGCATGAAGAATAACAGCTGAGGCCAGGCACAGTGGCTGACACTTGTAATCCCAGCACTTTGGGAGGCCAAGAAGGATGGATCAGGAGTTTGAAGTCAGGAGTTTAAGACCAGCCTGAGCAACATGGCAAAGTCCCGTCTCTAATAAAAATACAAAAATTAGGCCAGGTGCAGTGGCTCACACCTGTAATCCCAGCACTTTGGGAGGCCAAGGTAGGCGGATCATTTGAGGTCAGGAGTTCGAAACCAGCCTGGCCAACATGGTGAAACCCTGTCTCTACTCAAAAAAAAAAAATACAAAAATTAGCACATGCCTGTAGTTCAAACTACTTGGGAGGCTAATGCAGGAGAATCACTTGAGCCTAGGAAGCAGAGGTTGCAGTGAGCCGAGATCACACCACTGCACTCCAGCCTGGGTGACAATCGAGTAAGTTTGAAACTCTGTCTCAAAAAAAAAAGAAAAAGAAAAAGTAAAAAAGAAAAAAGAATAACACCTGAACAGGACTCCTCGGGTATACTAACCCAGACCTTAATCACTACTATCAGACAATTATAGCATTACTACAGCTTTAAGTTTATTACGCCATTCTTGCCATCCTTGCATAGCAGCCAGGGCACAGTAGCAACCAAGTGAAACACTTGAATTACCAAGTCACAGCCTCTAGTGTGTGCCTAACCCTAACTTGGAATGACACCATGATCCAAAAAGCCTGCCAATCTCTGGCAGAGGTTTATTTATTCATTGATGCTCAATTCTGTATGGTTTCCCCTTACAGCAGGGTAAAACCATAAGGGATAAGCTAACTGTACCTAGAGAGCAATTTTAATATGCTACAAATATTCCACACTCATGAAACTACATTCACTTTCCAGAAAATAAAACAGTAGGACTCCTGTTATGGCCTGGGCCTTAAATTCCTATTAAACAATTTATTACTGTATAAATGGTTAACAGCATATAACCAATTTCCTTAAACCCATAAAGCCTAGCATCCTCCTGACAAGGACTAGCCAGGGTTCTCAAAACAAAACAAAGTAAGAGCATCTTCTCTGCCATAGAGTACAAAGAAAATTGTATTAATTCTCACTGGAGGGGGTTGCTCACAGCCCCAAGGGGCTACAACTTACTCGGAACACAGAAAGAAGGCAATGGTGTTTTATGAAACTAACAATGAAGGAACCCTATTATATCCTTTATTTCTCCTATTACTTGCCTATATTAATCAACCACTTATGCTGGATATAATAACATAAAAGTAAAGGTAGAGATAGGGCCACCCATAATTCCTTTTCTTCTCAGTCCTTCCCTACTCATCAGTAAGCAGAAGGTAGAATGTTGGTAGAATATGTATTCATCAAGAAGTGAAATACAAACCACTGAGTTCGTTTGTACAGAGTTTCTACTGTTCTAGCAAAAACAAACTACACATGCAAGTGCAACTACAAAATGACTGTATAATTTCAGTTTCCACAAATGAGGTAAATATTCTTATATTTGCATTTTAAATGGACACTACACAACATATAGGGATGAACAGTAAAATACAGGCTAATGATTTAAAATTCTAATTTTTCTTTGCTTAGACTGACATTAGATGATAAATTTTTTTAAAATATGACAAGTTGAAGGAGACACTACAAAGAAAGAAAAAAGGTATATATTTTAGTACCTTTAGCAGCACATTTTCCCTGCTTTTTTTTTTTTTTTTTTTTTTTTGAGGCGGAGTCTCGCTCTGTTGCTCAGGCTGGAGTGCAATGGCTTGATCTTGGCTCACTGCAAGTTCCGCCTCCCAAGTTCATGCCCTTCTCCTGCCTCAGCCTCCTGAGTAGCTGGGACTATGGGTGCCCGCCACCACACCCATCTAATTTTTTGTATTTTTAGTACAGACGGGGTTTCACCGTGTTAGCCAAGATGGTCTCGATCTCCTGACCTCGTGATCCGCCCGCCTCAGCCCTCCAAAGTGCTGGGATTACAGGCATGAGCCACCACGCCCTGCCCCTTTTCCTGCTTTTTGAATAAGGGAGCCCCCATTTTTATTTTGCCCTGGGACTTGCAAATTATATAGTCACCCTACCAACAATCAACCTTTTCCTGTCTGGACTTCTACAGAATGAATAAAAATAAGATAGCAGAGGAAATGATGGAACAGTTAAACAGTTCTAATTACTGTATCTGACTTTTTTTTCAGGCTTCAGGACCACAAAACTTCATTAATGTCCAATTTATAGTACAATAAGAAAAAGCTGACCAATGTTGTAAATGGAGTTTAAAAAGTGCACAGGGCTAGGTGAGATGGCTCGTGCCCGTAATCCCAGCACTTTGGGAGGCTGAGATGGGAGGATCACTTGAGTCCAGAAGTTTGATACCATCCTGGGCAACATAGCGAGACCCTGTCTCTACAAAAAATTTAAAAAGTACCTGGACATGGTGCACACGCCTGTACTCCCAGCAACTTGGGAGGCTGAGGTGGGAGGATTGCTTGAGCCTGGAAGGTTGAGGTGCCAGTGAGCCTCCAACCTGGCACTCCAGCCTGGCAGAGCAAGATCCTGTCTTAAAAAAAAAGTCTCCACCCACATAAAGATTGGAACGATAGACACTGGGGACTCCAAAAGCAGGGAGGGAAGAGGGCACGGGTTGAAAAACCACCTATTGGGTACTATGTTTACTATTTGGGTGATGGGATTAGTAGAAGCCCAAACTTTAGCACCACCCAATATACCCAACCTAATATACCCAACCCATGTAACAAACCTTAACTATGAACTCCAAAAGGAAATATATTTATCTCGTTTATTGCTGTATCACCAATATCTGATGTTCATTAACTATTAATTCATAAAATAAACTATGATCATTGCTACTGCACACTCATCTACAAATCCATATACCTAGCAAAAGACAAATTTTAGGCCAGGCTCAGTGGCTCACGCCTGTAATCCCAGCATTTTGGGAGGCCAAGGCGGGCGAATCACCTGAGGCCAGGAGCTCGAGACCAGCCTGGCCAACATGGTGAAACCCTGTCTCTACTAAAAAAATATATAAAAATTAGCCGGGTGCAGTGGTGCATGCCTGTAATCCCAGTTACTTGGGAGGCTGAGGCAGGAGAATTGCTTGAACCAGGGAGGTGGAGGTTGCAGTGAGCCGAGATCATGCCACTGTACTCCAGCCTGGGTGACAGAGTAAGACTCCATCTCAAAAAAAAAAAAAAACAACCCAAAGAAACAAGACAAATTTTAGCTCTAAAATGACAATAAGTCATTTTATTAGGGCTTAAAATTATATTTCTAATCACAGTAATTATAAGACTTACAAATTTGGTAAAATGATATTCAAGTATCATAGAAATATAAAATATAGAAAGTAAAAGCCCTTAATATCTCACTTTTTTTTTTTTTTTTGAGACGGAGTTTTGCTGTTGTTGTCCAGGCTATAGTGCAATAGCACAATCTCGGCTCACCACAACCTCCGCCTCCCAGGTTCAAACAATTCTCCTCCCTCAGCCTCCCAAGCAGCTGGGATTACAGGCATGTGCCACCACACCCAGCTACTTTTGTATTTTTAGTAGAGACAGGGAGTCTCTATGTTGGTCAGGCTGGTCTTGAACTCCCGACCTCATGTGATCACCCGCCTTGGACTCCAAAAGTGCTGGGATTATAGGCGTGAGCCACCACGCCCTGCAATATCTCACTCTTAAGTGAGTGTACATCCACATAAAGTAAAATGTTCAGTAGGTTTGAAACTTTTTAAAATATAAAAATATGAAATCTAAAGAATCTGAACAAATAAGATGACCCTATTATAATCTTGCTTTCTTAAAATGAGTCAAACGTTAACTTTCTAGAGGTATCACTTTTACTTAAATTTCTAATTTGAATGAAAAACTAAGTATTATTTTGTTCAAAATTATACGAGAAAAAAAGGCTCATGCCTGTAATCCCAGCACTTTGGAAGGAGAAGGCAGGAGGATCACGAGGTCAAGAGAATAAGACCATCCTGGCCAACATGGTGAAACCCCATCTCTACAAAAAATACAAAAATTAGCCAGGCGTGGCAGTGCGCAACTGTAGTCCCAGCTACTCGGGAGGCTGAGGCAGGAGAATTGCTTGAACCCGGGAGGCGGAGGCTGCAGTGAGCCAAGATGACGCCACTGCACTTCAGCCTGGGCAACAGAGCAAGACTCTGTCTCGAAAAGAGGAGGGGAGGGGAGGGGAGGGGAGGGGAGGGGAAGGGGAGGGAGAGGGTTCATCTCTACTAAAAATACAAAAATTAGCAGGACAGCCAGGCGCGGTGGCTCATGCCTGTAATCCCGGCACTTTGGGAGGCCGAGGAGGGTGGATTACCTGAGGTCCGGAGTTTGAGACCAGCCTGACCAACATGGAGAAATCCCATCTCTACTAAAAATACAAAATTAGCCGGGCGTGGTGGCGCATGCCTGTAATCCCATCTACTCCGGAGGCTGAGGCAGGAGAATGGCTTGTACCCGGGAGGCGGAATTTGCTGTGAGCTGAGATCGCGCCATTGCACTCCAGCCTAGACGACAAAAGCGAAACTCCATCTCAAAAAAAAAAAAAAATTAGCAACACAGGGTGGCATGCACCTGTAGTCCCAGCTAGGGAGGCTGAGGCATAAGAATAGCTTGAACCCAGGAGGCGGAGGTTGCAGCAAGCCAAGATCATGCCACCGCACTCCAGCATGAGTGACAGAGCAAGACTCTGTCTCAAAAAAAATACACACACACACACACACACACACACAATGCAAGTTTTGCTATCAGTATTGTTTCTTATTAACTGAAAAAAAAAATGGAAAGGCTAATGGGAGAAAAAGTTAGAGAGCATTCAAGGCTTAAATTAATTCTTTCTTTTGTTTGTTTGTTTTTTGTTTTTTGAGACGGAGTCTTACTCTGTTGCCCAGGCTGGAGTACAGTGGTGTGATCTCAGCTCACTGCAACCTCCGCCTCCTGGGTTCAAGCGATTCTCCTGCCTCAGCCTCCTGAGTAGCTGGGATACAGGCGTGTGCCACCACACCCGGCTAACTTTTTATATTTTTAGTAGAGACAGGGTTTCACCATGTTGGTCAGGCTGGTCTTGAACTCCTGACCTTGTGATCCACCCACCTTGGCCTCCCAAACTGCTGGGATTACAGGTGTGAGCCACCACACCCGGCCAAATTGATTCTAATAACACAAGTATGCTAAACTCATTTGACACAATAAATACATAAAGTTACTACGTAAAAAAGGCCTATTCCACCTCCCACCTCCACCTCATTCCCTTCCCCAACTGCTCCTCTTGGATGGCAGGGAAGTCTGGGGTCTGGATCACTGAATGTCTGGCTATAATTCAGCATTAGCTTAATGAAGCACTGGCAACTTTTAGGCATTACAGCCTTCCCCTAAAAGACAGAGGACCCACGAGCAAAATTGTACTAACAATAGAGCTCTTTACAAAAAGCACTTTTGAGCCCTTTTTGCAGCATGTTCATTTTAAGCAATCACTGTGATTTCCAACATTTTACTGCATCATACAGAACAATCCCAAAAGGAAAATGTAGTCTTGAAATCATTCAACAACAAAAATTAAATCATATCTTTGTTAAGAAGCTGGGTTAATTATTATGTTGAGGCTCCTTGGTTGATGCTGCATGATTCCTTAATCTGAAACTTTCTCAACAAATTTTTGTCCACTATATTTGTTAAAGATTAATATTTTGGCTCACCTTTTGCTTTAAAAATAAAACCCCCAAAATACTGCTCATTTATATCAACTTAAAATGTTATATAATGAAGATTAACCATCTCATTGACTTATACCAAGTAAAAGACTAAGTATTACATATGTATTAAGGATTAACAACCTATACAGAAGATGAAGATATTTCAGTTGGCGTGCCACACTTGGTAAATGCGGTCTACTGATCATTATCTCCAAAATTCATTAGCAAAACAAACCACTTTTATCTATTTTTATTTTAATACCTTTGCCTTGAAATGCTTCAGCAAAGTTCTTAGTACACTGTAATTGTCTGTATCCACTACCAGAAAAATGTGCACCTACTGGAGTAAAAAACATCTATTAATACAAATGATAAACTATTTAAATTCACTCTTAGAACCATGTTCCTTTCAGGTATTGCCACCACATGCCATCTAATTTTACTCTTATATAAAAGGGGAGATGAGATGTGAGGTACTGTTGGCAATCTTCATCAGTTCTCCTTCACTCACTACTGCTGAGTTGGGTGGCATGCAAACAAAAGACATTTGCATACTCAATAGGCTGAGTGACATCCAACTGAAAGAAAGCTGCCAACCTTTGCCTGGCTTAGATAATAAGAATGTTATAAAATATTCTTTCCATTTTATGCCCTTTCACAATTTGAATTTTTTCTGTCATGTATGTGTATTATTTTGAAGTAATTGTATTTTTTAAAGTTACCAGCTTAAAACCATTTTATCTAAATCAAGAATAATTTAGGAGAGTTCGGAATTCAGTATTAGAATAGATTATAGAAGTAGAATTAAGTAATTTAAATAAGAAAAGGCTTAAATTGATTTACATGAATAAAACAACAAAATACTAAACAAAAATGTTTCACAATTAGTAGCTAAATTAAAAATTAAGTGTATTTCTAGTGGCAAAGTTAAAGATTTAAAACTATGCACTAATCAGATAATTATATTGAGACCTGAGCCTAAGTATAATTTGTTATGAAAATCACCAAGTAGAAATAAAAACATAAATTTTAAAACTCTCATTAAATATAACCATTATGCTCATTAACTATGAAAAAACAGCAATGTGTGCTATTATCATTATCATCTACTAAACTCTAAGACTACTTCCTCTACCAGTACTTTTAAAAGAATTTAGTTTTCAGTCAAGGCATAGTTAAAAATCAGCTTTTGTATTATTCAATTCAAATCTAATTCTGCAGTCAAAGAATACTACATTAAGGGTGGCATGATGGCTCACCCTGTACTCCCAGAACTTTTGGAGGCCAAGGCAGGAAGATCCTCTTGAAGCCAGGAGTTCAAGACCAGCCTGGGCAACATAGCGAGACGTTGTCTCTACCAAAAAAAAAAAAAAAAAAAAATTAGCTTGGCATGGTGGTATACACCTGTAGTCCTAGCTACTCAGGAGGCTGAAGTAGGAGGATGGCTTGAGCCCAGGATTTAAAGGTTGCAGTGAACTATGATTGTACCACTGTACTCCAGCCTGAGAGTGACAGAGCAAGATCTCATCTCCATAATAATAATAAACTAATTCAACTATGTATTCTTTTTTTTTTAAGACAGGGTCTCGCTCCGTCACCCAGGCTGGAGGGCAGTGGCATCATCTGTGCTCAATGCAGATTTGAACTCCTCCTGGTCTCAAGTGATTCTCCCACCTCAGGCTCCTGAGCAGCTGTGAATACAGGTGAGTGCCATCACACCCTGCTAATTTTTTATTTTTTGTACAGACAGGATCTCACTATGCTCCCCGGATTGGTCTGGAACTCCTGGGATCAAGTAATCCTCCTGCCTCGGCCTCCCAAAGTGCTGGGATTATAGGCATTGGCCATCAAGCCCAGCACTCAACTATACACTCTAAATCCAAAGAGTCTCTGCTATTTAAAAAACAGTATATTAGAGAAGTAGGCTTGCAATGATACCAAAATGCTACTTGACAGTACTAGAGGAAAAAATCCAACCTGCCACTACCCTTGGCCATCTTGACTAGCACATCTGCCTAACCAGTCTTCTTGTTTTTCCTATGCCTCCCCTCTAATTCTTCTCTACCGATAAACCAGAGTGGTCTTTGAAAAATGAAAATTAGATTATGAAATTACTCTGCTTAAACTCTTTCTAAAGCATTTCTTATTTTCTCAAAATAAAATTCAAACTTCATCTTTACTATGGCCTACAAATCCCCAAATGATTTGGCTCCTGCCTGCCTGTCTAACCCCTTGTTGTGCATCTCTCTTCCTAGTTCACAACATTCGAGCCACAACAAGCTCCTTTCCGATCCTGTGAAATATCGAGCTCTTTCTTACCTCCTAGCCTTTACACTTTCTGTTCTTCTACCTGGAATGTTTTTCCTGCAATTATTCACATATCTGGCTGATTATTCCTCAGGTCTCACCTCATAAGGAAAGCTTCACTGACCCCCTTTATCTAATGTGAGTGGCCTTCCCCAATTACCCTCTAATATAGCCCTGTGGCATTTATCACAATCTCTAATGATCTTGTTCCTTTATGTATCTACTTATTTATGATCTGTCTTTTTTTTTTCTCTTGAGACAGTTTCACTCTTGTTGCCCAGGCTGGATTGCAATGGCACGATCTCGGCTCACCATAACCTCCGCCTCCCAGGTTCAAGCAATTCTCCTGCCTCAGCCTCCCGAGTAGCTAGGGTTACAGGCATGCGCCACCATGGCCAGCTAATTTTGTATTTTTAGTAGAGACGGGGTTTCTCAATGTTGATCACACTGATCTCGAACTCCCAACTTCAGGTGATCTGCCCACCTCGGCCTCCCAAAGTGCTGGGATTACAGGCGTGAGCCACCGCACCCGGCTATGATCTGTCTTCTTAACAAGTACATAAGTGCCATTGAAGTCAGGGATCCAGATGCTTTGTATAGCTACAAAATACTACGGTATTTTCTCTTAACCTAACCTAATCTACATAAACATGTAAAAGCTAGATTACAGAAGGCAGGGTTCCAACTTATTTTGCTCAATATCTCCTTATAGTATTACTAAACAATGTTCAAATGTCAGTAGACATGGGAAAACCACAAGAATATTCAAAACTCAGCAGTTAATATTTTGTCTTAGTGTGTTACAAACTTGCCTTCTCCTTAAATATATAATTTCTTCAAACTTATTTTAACTGCTTCCCTGCAGAAAAGCACTAGGCCAAGTTATCTCCCTTGATGGCTAAATGGCCTCCTGCCTCCTTCATTAAGCATACATGGCAAAATTAGGTGCATAACAGCACACGATTTGCTTCACATATAGCTTTTTTTAAAAAAAAAGCCAGTTGTTTTCACCTGCAATTAGAAAAGAGCTGAATGAGAAATTTCCCTAAAAACAAAAGGAAATCTTTATATTATTTTGTTTTGAGACAGCTTACATTATACAGAAGTTAACTATCAATTGATATCTCATTGAACCTTTAGAACTTGATCTACAGTCTCATTTAAGTAGATCACAGTAATAAGAAAAAATGAGTCTCTGGTTTCAATATTTTATGATTAAATGTCTATAAAGAAAAGTAAGTACAGGTAAGTATAGATTTTTTTTTTTTTTTTTGAGACAGGGTCTTGCTCTGTTGCCCAGAGTGGAGGGCAGTGGTGCAATTTTGGCTCACCGCAATCTCCAATCTCAGGAGCATGCCTTAGCTCCTGAGTAGCTGTGATTATAGGTGCCTGCCACCGTGCCTGGCTAATTTTTTATATTTTCAGTAGAGACCGGGTTTCACCATGTTGGCCAGGCTGGTCTCAAACTCCTGACCTCAGGTGATCCGCCCACCTCAGCCTCCCAAAGTGCTGGGATTACAGGCGGGAGCCACCATGCTTGGCCAGAAAATCTTTAAAGATGACAATATAAGGAAGCATTTTTGGCCAGGCATGGTGGCTCACGTCTATAATCCCAGCACTTTGGGAGGCTGAGGTGGGAGGATTGCTTGAGCTTAGAAGTTCGAAGCTAGCCTGGGCAACATGGTGAGACCCTGTCTCTAAAAAAAATTTTTTAAATTAGGTGGGCGTGGTGGCATGCCTGTAGTCCCAGCTACTCAGGTAAGGCTAAGGCAGCAGAATTGTTTGAGCCCAGAAAGTGGAGGCCCCAGGGAGCCATGTTTGTGCCACTGCACTCCAGCCTGGGTGACAGAGAGAGACCCTGACTCAAAAAAAAAAAACAAAAAAAAACCTACACTTACCTACATTTACTTTTCCCTATAGATATCCAGTCACAAAATATTGAAACCAGAGACTGACTTTCTTATTACTGTAATCTACTTAAGTGAGACTATAGATCAAGTTCTAAAGGTTCAAGGAGATATTAATTGATAGTTAACTTCTGTATAATGTATGTACTGCACATCGCAACATTTCTGAAATTGGGGTTAGTTTTACAATCACTATAGTTTCATAATTTACTTGGCAGTGTTTTTTTCCTAGTGGTGTCTCCTATGATTGATGATGTCTTAGGTTTAAAAAAATATGATATTTTTGAGGAAAAAGTATTATTTATTTATATTTATTGACCCTGCTCCCAACTTTATTATACTGGAGATTCAAGATATCAATAAAAAGTTTCTTGCTCAGGCTGGGCACGGTGGCTCATGCCTGTAATCCCAGCACTTTGGGAGGCCGAGGCGGGTGGATCACCTGAGGCTGGGAGTTCGAGACCAGCATGACTAACATGGAGAAACCCCGACTCTACTAAAAATACAAAATTAACCAGGCGTGGTGGCGCATGACTGTAATCCCAGCTACTTGGGAGGCTGAGGCAGGAGAATTGCTTGAACCCGGGAGGCAGAGGTTGCCTTGAGCCGAGATCGCGCCACTGCACTCCAGCCTGGGCAAGAAGAGCGAAACTCCGAAACTCCGTTTCAAAAAAAAAAATAGTTTCTTGCTCAAGATAACTCTAAGGCATTCACATCAATGAAATACATTGTTGCTGTATCTGTAAAATCCAAAAAATCCAAGCATGCAATATCTCTGATGTACCATGTATATCACATTTTACCAAATAATTTAAATGGGGCTTCTTTTCATATATCTCTTTATGATGTTCTCTGCCTTCATTTATTTTTTGCTTTCCAAGTGTTTCCTCTTACCTGACTTTTTTGCAGCCAAACAAAATAGATAAGCCTAGATGTCCCAAAGACCCCAGCTATCAAGAATAAAAATAGTGAGAAGAATCTACCTGGTAAATGCAACCCTAAACAGTATCATTGAGCTCTTACATGCACATCTCTGTTCTTCTGCACTGCTTTTACTGCTACCTCCTTAACCATCTATACTCCCCTTACAATACTTTCTTCACATAGAATGATAACCCATCAGCCAGATTTCAAGTCTTCAGAGCTGAGTACAGCAACTGAGCCAATATTAAATAAGGTAGACTACATATATACCAAATAACTCAGCCTTCATCACCACCCTCAGCTCATCCAGCAGCTCAGTGGAATAACTGCTGATCAGACCTAAAACTGAGTGGCTGTAGGGATGATAAAGGATTGCTCAAGTTACCGATTTTTCCCTTCCTTTTCATGTGCAGTTTAGACCACTTGACTAGGCCTCTCAGCCTCTATCCCTGTTTAGGACTGGATCACTCCTATTAATCACATATTTGATCACTGTGCCTTTGCCACCTGGCTGCTCTTCCAAAGAACATCTCCATCATCAGGCCAATTTCCTTAGCCCAGCCTCAAAGGAATTGTAAGCTTTTTTTTTTGTTTTTTGTTTGTTTTTTGTTTTGAGATGGAGTTTCACTCTTGTTGCCCAGGCTGGAGTGCAATGGTGCAATCTCAGCTCACTGCAACCTCCGCCTCCCAGGTTCAAGTCGATCCTCCTGCCTCAGCCTCCCGAGTGGCTGGGATTATAGGCTCCCGCCCCCATGCCTGGCTAATTTTTGTATTTTTAGTAGAGCCGGGGTTTTGTCATGTTGGCCAGGATGGTCTCGAACTCCCAACCTCAGGTGATCCACCCGCCTCAGCCTCCCAAAGTGCTGGGATTACAGGCATGGGCCACCGCATTCAGCTAGGAACTGTAAGCTTTTATCCCTACCTGTTCAGCCACAGTGACTTATCCATTGCCCAAATTATTACTATCTATGTGCATTCTGTATATCTTACTCCAAATCTGGATTTTTAAACTTACAATTTAGTAGTTGAGCATAAACCATCATGTTTATGTTCTTATCCTATAATAGCTTCAGTTCTGGGACCAAGATTCACACTTCTGTATCATAACACAGTTAAACATAGTATATATTCAGTGAATACATTCTAATTTGGAAACAGAATTGATCAAGAATAGTAATCTTTCTGGTAATGAATCACACATTCCTTATACACAATTGGTGTAAAGATATTAATCGACTTGTCCTACCTTGCTTAGTTTACAGAGAGAAAAATTCACAGAATTTAAAAGTTGAAAGGCAAGTCAATGTGATAAATTGTATCTTACAACATGAAGAAGTCATGAGAGGAAACATGGTTAAGAGTAAAGACTTGCCAGGCGTGGTGGCGCATGCCTGTAATCCCAGCACTTTGGGAGGCCGAGGCGGGTGAACCACGAGATCAGGAGTTCAAGACCAGCCTGGCCAATATGGTGAAATCCTGTCTCTGCTAAAAATACAAAAATTAGCCAGGCGTGGTGGCGGGCACCTGTAGTCCCAGCTACTCAGGAGGTTGAGGCAGGAGAACCGCTTGCCCGGGAGGCGGAGGTTGCAGTGAGCCGAGATTGCGCCACTGCACTCCAGCCTGGGAAACAGAGTGAGACTCTGTCTCAAAAAAAAAAAAATAAAAAAAAGTAAAGACTTTTAGAAATCAAGAAGATACTGGTTTGAAATACAGTTCTGTCACTTTCTAGACTCTGGATGATTTATTTAACCTCTCTGTGCCTCAATATCTTTATTTATGAAAAAATCTATATTTTTCATAAATATATGAAAAAGAAAGCTGATATAAGAATCAGGTTAAATAAAGCACGTAGTATAATACCTGCCACAAGGAGGTACTCGATGAATAATTCAATAATTATTTTTACATATCATTAGACAAAGTACTTATTCTGTTAGTCTGTTTCCCTAACTCTAAAACAGGAAAAATATCTACCTTTCAGCTACTCTGAGGATCTAAGGAAAATGTATGTAAAAACACTGCATTTCACTTGACACATAGCAGGCACTCATAAAGGGAGAAGTTACTTTTGTTAAACAGTAGCTATTTTACTTAATCTGTTACTTCTAGTAAGCATCTAATATGGTTCTCTGTATATTTTATGAATGTCAGTTATTTTGGGGGAAATATTATTATTATTATTATTACTTTTTTTTTTTTGAGACGTTGTTTCACTCTTGTTGCCTAGGCTGGAGTGCAATGGCACGATCTTGGCTCACTGCAACCTCCGCCTTCCGGGTTCAAGCAATTCTCCTGCCTCAGCCTCCAAGTAGCTGGGATTACAGGTTCCTGCCGCCATGCCCATCTAACTTTTTTGTATTTTCAGTAGAGAAAGGGTTTCACCATGTTGGCCAGGCTGGTCTTGAACTCCTGATCTCAGGTGATCCACCTGCCTCATCCTCCCAAAGTGCTGGGATTACAGGCATGAGCCACCACGCCCGGCCAGGAGTAATCTTTTATACAACCGGTTCCTTCAAACAATAATGAAATATTCATTAGCAACAGAAATTCACTGCTCCTCCAACACAGTTCTCAAGATAATTACTGATGATATGACTCAGCTGAATCTCACAGGAATCTCTCTCTCTCTCTCTCTCTCTCTCTCTCTCTCTCTCTCTCTCTCTCTCTCGCTCTCTCATTACCTTAATTAGATGCCATCTTCTAAACAACAAACTCTATAATTAGTGACCTAAATAAGTAAAATGGGCTTGAAAAGATTTCAAGAATCAGCTCACCTAACTTACAGGTGATAAATGCAACCCACAGAGTATATTCTCTTAGTAATTTTAATATTCCTATCTGTTAACTTTCTTCTGGTACTGTCATTTATTTCACTGTTTAGAATTCTGTTTTCAAATATAATTCTTTGCTTCAAGTAGTACCCTCAAGGCTTTCTAACATTAAAACTACTGTCTAGACTGGGCACAGTAGCTCTCAGCTGTAGCCCCAACACTTTGGGAGGCTGAGTCAGGAGGATCGCTTGTGCCTAGGAGTTTGACACCAGCCTGGGCAACATGGCGAGACCTGTCCCTACAAAAAAATATATATATTTTTAAATTACTACCAGAGGTCACAGTCAAAGAATCGTACACCGTTTTGGAGCCTACTCCAGTATAGATCAAAGCAAAGGCAAGGGCAATAAGGCTACACCAAGCTGGGGCAGTTTGGGTGGAGATAGAAAGACAGTATGAGAGAAACTTAGTAAAATATTTTGTCTCCTTCCTCTCCCAGACTCCCCAAACTCTGTCTGTTTATCTCTTGCTACCATTATTCTAACCTTAAGTGTATCACATCCTGTGAAATAGGACTACTAGAATGGACTACTAGGGTGACAAAGAATTCCAGTTTAATTCCAGTTTATGCTATGTATTTCCATACACCAACTGCAGAGACTAGGTTCTAACTCAAAGTTGTTCTGAATGTATTAAATATAGGTACATGCTGAGCCATTTTAAGTCATTGATACTAGTCATTTATTTACCTATTTGATGCTCCCTTAACTTTTTTTTTTTTTTTTTTTGAGACGGAGTTTCGCTCTTGTTGCCCAGGCTGGAGTCAATGGCACGATCTCGGCTCACCGCAACCTCCGCCTCCTGGGTTCATGCAATTCTCCTGCCTCAGCCTTCCAAGTAGTTGGGATTACAGGCATGTGCCACCACGCCCGGCTAATTTTGTATTTTTAGTAGAGACGGGGTTTCTCCATGTTGGTCAGGCTGGTCTCGAACTCCCGACCTCAGATGATCTGCCCGCCTCGGCCTCCCAAAATGCTGAGATTACAGGCGTGAGCCACCGCGCCCGGCCAGATGCTCCCTTAACTTTTTAAAGCTAGAAACTCAAACAACTACAGCTCTTAGACATTTTTAAATGAAAATAAGTAAGGCTCTACAATGAGAGCCAGAAATGTCTGGGTTCCAATGATCAGGCATTTTACCCAATTGATATTGGTCACCTACTTACCATGACACACATAAAATATACTGTGACATGTCCGCAGAAGTATATTTTACACGTATCAAATAACCTGTCCCTAAATGATACTTTCAACTCAAATGTAACACTTTCTTTATTTGGAATTCAGTGATGAGAAGACAACTTGACTATGTAAGAGACAGTACAGTCCAGCAGTTAAGAGTGTAGACTGGGTCAGGCACAGTGGCTCACGCCTGTAATCTCAGCACTTTGGGAGGCTGAGGCAGGTGGATCACCTGAGGTCAGGAGTTCCAGACCAGCCTGGACAACATGGTGAAACCCCATCCCTACTAAAAAATACAAAAACCAGCCAGGCGTGATGGCAGGCGCTTTAATCCCAGCTACTTGGGAGGCAGAGGCAGGAGAATCGTTTGAACCCGGCAGGCGGAGGTCGCAGTGAGCCAAGATTGAGCCATTGTACTCAAGCCTGGGGGACGAGAGCGAGACTTCTTTCAAAAAAAAAAAAAAAGAGTGTAGACTGTAGGCTGGGTGCGGTGGTTCACATCTTTAATCTCAGCACTTTGGGAGGCCAAGGTGGGCAGATCACGAGGTCAAGAGAACGAGACCATCCCGGGCAATATGGTGAAACCTCATCTCTACTAAAAATACAAAAATTAGCTGGGCGTGGTGGCGCGCGCCTGTAGTCCCAGCTACTCAGGAGGTTGAGGTAGGAGAATCGCTTGAACCCGGGAGGCGGAGGTTGCAGTGAGCCAAGATTGCGCCACTGCACTCCAGCCTGGCGACAGAGTGCGACTCCATCTCAAAAAAAAAAAAGAAAAAAGTGTAGACTGTAGCCGGGCATGGTGGCATGCATCTATAATCCCAGCTACTCGGGGGGCTGAGGTGAGAGGATGGCCTGAGTTGGGAGGCAGACGCTGCAGTGAACTGAGATTGAACCACTGCACTCCAGCCTGGGTGACAGCCTGTCTCCAAAAAAAAAGAGTGTACACTGGTCAGGTGTGTTGGTGCATGCCTATAATTCCAGGACTTTGGGACGCCAAGGCAAAAGGGTCGCTTGAGCCCAGGAGTTCAAGAGCAGCCTAGCCCCCATCTCTACAAAAAATAAAAAAATTAGCCGGGCATGGTGGTACACACTTGTAGTCCCAGCTACTGGGAGGCTGAGGTGGGAGGATCACTTGAGCTTCCGGGAGATTGAGGTTACAGTGAACTGTGATCATACCACTGCACTCCAGCCTGGGTGGCAGAGCAAGGCCCTATTTTATTGAAAAACAACAACAACAACAACAACAAAACTATAAGACTACTTACTAAGGCGCAGTGGCTCACACCTGTAATCTCAGCACTTTGGGAGGCTGAGGCGGGCGGATCACCTGAGGTCAGGAGTTCGAGACCAGCCTGACCAACATGGAGAAACCCTGTCTCTACTAAAAATACAAAATTAGCTGGGGGTGGTGGCACATGCCTGTAATCCCAGCTGCTCGGGAGCCTGAGGCAGAAGAATCACTTGAACCCGGGAGGCAGAGGTTGCGCCATTGCACCCCAGCCTGGGCAACAAGAGTGAAACTCCATCTCCCAAAAAAAAAAAAAAAAAAAAAAAAAAAGACTACTTACTAAAAGCATTTTTGGTAGTTGTACATAAGGTAGAGGCTTTCCTAAGATAACACAAAACCAGATGTCATAAAGGAAAAAAAAAGCAGTTGTAATTGCATAAAGTCATTTATATCATATATTTATATCATGTAACACCTTTAAATCAGTAAGAAAAACAAACAAATCATTAGAATAGGCAATTCAGAGAAATACAACTGGCTGACAAGCATGAAAAGCTTGGCTCCACTAATAATTAAAGGACTCTAAACCAACAAGATATCATTTATTTTGCTCTGGCAAAAATTGAAAAGAATGATATTACGTAGTATTTGAAAAGGTATAAGAAAATGGGAGATTCTCGGCCAAGCACGGTGGCTCACACCTGTAATCTCAGCACTTTGGGAGGCCGAGGCATGTGTATCACCTGAGGTCAGGGGTTCGAGACCAGCCCAGCCAACATGGTGAAACCCTGTCTCTACTAAAAATACAAAAATTAGCCAGGCATGGTGGCACGTGCCTGTAATTCCAGCTACTGGGGGGCTGAGGCAGGAGGATGGCTTGAACCTGGGAGGCAGAGGTTGCAGTGAGCCAAGATCGTGCCACTGCACTCCAGCTTGGGCAACAGCGCAAGACTCTGTCTCAAAAAAAAAAAAAAAAACACGAAAGAAAAGGGAGGTTCTCATACACTACTGGTAGAAATGACAGTACAACCTATTTTGAAGAAATTCTAGCAGTTCATTTCAAGATTTTAAATGTACAAATTTCTAACCACATGATCTTACTTCTAGAACTGTCCCAGATCAATAATCACAAAACTTTATGTACAATATACGCAATATTATTCCACCTTGTTTAGAAGCAAATTCTAATTATACAGATATTTATTTATAGCACATATAAAAAAGCATTAAAGATTATACACCAACTATTAACACTGGTTACATCCAGGAAATGGGATTAAGGAAACACGAGACGATTTTTTTTTTTTTTTGTATACTTCATTATCATTTCTACACTTCACCATCATCATCGTTTAAAAACCCTTTTTAATGGGCCAGGTGCAGTGGCTCACGCCTGTAATCCCAGCACTTTGGGAGGCTGAGGCGGGCGGATCACCTGAGGTCAGGAGTTCGAGACCAGCCTGACCAACATGGAAAAACCCATCTCTACTAAAAACACAAAATTAGCCGGACGTGGTGGCACATGACTGTAATCCCAGCTACTCGGGAGGCTGAGGCAGGAGAATCACTTGAACCCAGGAGGCGGAGGTTGCGGTGAGCCAAGATCGAGCCATGGCACTCCAGCCTGGACAAGAGCAAAACTCAGTCTCAAAAAAAAAAAAATAAATTTATAAAACCCTTTTACAATGACTTTGTATAATTTTAGAATCTTAAATAACAAAAAGTTTTTTAAAAGAAATGATAAAATCAAAAGCAAAAACAAGTCTTTTTTTTTTTTTTTTTTTGAGATGGAATCTTACTCTGTCGCCCAGGCTGGAGGGCAGTGGCGCAATCTCGTCTCACTGCAAACTCTGCCTCTCGGGTTCAAGCGATTCTCCTGCCTCAGCCTCCCGAGTAGCTGGGACTACAAGCGCATGCCACCACGCCAAGCTAATTTTTTGTATTTTTAGTAGAGACGGGGTTTCACCATGTTAGCCAGGATGGTCTCAATCTCCTGACCTCATGATCTGCCCGCCCTGGCCTCCCAAAGTGCTGGGATTACAGCCCTGAGCCACCACACCCAGCCTTTTTTGTTTTTTAAATTTAAGAGACAGGGTCTCAACCTGTCACCCAAGCTGAAGTGCAGTGGCATGATCACAGCTCATTGCAGTCTCCAATTCCTGGGCTTCAGTGAGCCTCCCACCTCAGCCTCCCAAGTAGCTGGTACTACAGACTCACACTCAGCTGATTTTTAAAAATTGTTTGTAGAGACAGGGTTCTCATTATATTGCCCAGGCTGGTCTCGAACTCTAGGCCTCAAGCAATCCTCCTGCCTCAGCCTCCCAAAGATTACAGGCGCGAGCCACTGCACCCAGCCCACACTTTTAATTGCAAATAACTAGAATTTAATCTATTAAAGAATGTCAGTTACTGAATTTAATCTATTTTCATTAAAAGGGTAATGTGAAATATAAAGCCTATTAGATGCTTAGAGTAGAACACAGTAAAAACCTAAGACTAAAATCTTGCTTTTTTTTTTTTTTTGAGACTGAATCTCACTGTGTCGCCCAGGCTGGAGTGCAGTGGCGCAATCTCGGCTCACTGCAACCTCCACCTCTCAGGTTCAAGGGATTCTTCTGCCTCAGCCTCCTGAGTAGCTGGGACTACAGGCACCCACCACCATGCCCAACTAATTCTTTTTTGTATTTTGTTGTAGAGACGGGGTTTCACCGTGTTAGCCAGGCTAGTCTCGATATCCTGACCTCGTGATCTGCCCGCTTCGGCCTCCCAAAGTGCTGGGATTAAAGGTGTGAGCCACTGCACCCGGCGTATCTTGCTTTTAAAAGAAGGCCTTAGCAAGGAATCAGAATAACTCAATTTCTTACAAACCTAAGTATATGGACAAACAATGTTTTTTTTTTTTTTTTTTTTTTTTGAGATGGAGTCTCGCTCTGTCACCCAGGCTAGAGTGCAGTGACACAATCTCGGCTCACTGCAACCTCCATCTCCCGGGTTCAAGCGATTGTCCTACCTCAGCCTCCCAAGTAGCTGGGACTACAGGCATGCACCACCACACCCAGCTAATTTTTGTATTTTCAGTAGAGACAGGGTTTCATCACGTTGGCCAGGCTGTTCTCAAACTCCTGATCTCAGTTAATCCACCCACCTCGGCCTCCCAAAGTGCTGGGATTACAGACATGAGCCACCGTGACAGCCAAACAATGATTCTTAAGAAACAGCTGTACAAATGGAACAAGTTGGTGTGAAAGACTAAACTGAATTTATAGATTAGCATTCTTGATAACGTTTCATCAAGCTAACACATTGGTTTAGCCAAAGGAAAAAACGATTAAGTATCTCAGAAAAGTTATATCCCACATAAAACTCTGTTTGAATAAGTAACATGAATAAATTCATCTCTTCATATCATTTGACTGTTTTTAATCTTGCCTTTCTTATCACTACAATACAGTCGTTTGTGAAGTAACTAAATAAAAGTTTTTCTTCACACTAGACTGGCCCCATGGGGTTTTAATCACTAAGAACACATGGAAACATTAAAAATGTAACCTCAACTAAATATGTCATCATCACTCTTCTAATCTAACTGGTGTTCTTTTCCAAAACTGAAGCTTTGAATCTTCAATGAATTTTTTTATTATCCACTGACATTTGAATGCTACACATAAAACAAAACCTAAGATATTTGCTGTCATTTACAGCAAAAGAAGAGACTATATCTAAGACATAGTTCAATCTGGACAATTATTCTGGCATGATCAAAATACCAGTAAGATTTTCAGATGCCTAAAAGATTCCAAGTATTTTATACCTTTAGACTAACACTTTATGTATTATATGAATGTTTTGCTTTGGAGCCATAGGGGCCTGACCTTGATTCCCAAGTGTCCCACTTACTCAGTTTACTCATCTGCAGAATAAAGAAAAATAATAGTACTGATCAGTCTGTTTAGAGGATAATGAGATAACACAGTAAATATGTAAGGCCCTTAGTATTAGTAACTATACTAAAGATGAGAAATGCTCATGTGTCTCTTCACTTCCCCAATATAGATTAACTAATTGTAGCCACTGTCAAATTAGATAGAATAAGGTATCTTAAACCTAATCTCTTCTAAAATATTTAATTTTCAGAATCTTTCCTAGTTTGTAAAGTTAAAAGCCCAATGAAAGTTGAGCAAGACAGGCTGGCACATGAGGTCATAAATTGCAGAAGCCAGATTGTGTACAATATTTTAAATGACTGTGACTATTATTCTGAATGAGATGGGAAGACAATAGTTTTAAGCAAAGAAATGTCTTATCTAACTTATGTATGAAAAGGGTCTGCCCGGGCGCAGTGGCTCACACCTGTAATCCTAGCACTTTGGGAGGCCGAGGTGGGCAGATCACGAGGTCAGGAGATTGAGACCATCCTGGCTAACACAGTGAAATCCCGTCTCTACTAAAAATACAAAAAAAATTTAGCCGGGCGTGGTGGCACGCGCCTGTAATCCCATCTACTCGGGAGGCTGAGGCAGGAGAATCACTTGAATCCGGGAGGTAGAGGTTGCAGTGAGCCGAGATCGCGCCACTGTACTCCAGCCTAGACGACAGAGCAAGACTCTGTCTGGCAAAAAAAAAAAAGAAAAGAAAAGGGTCACTCAGGCTACTATGTTGAAAGGAGACTGTAATAAAGCAAAGACGTTAACAGAGGAAACAGAGTCTAGTAAAAAAGTACAAGTAAGAGAAGATAGTGGCTTTTAGATTAAGGTAGTAGCACAGTGGAGGTGGTAAGAAGCAATAAGATTCTAGATATATTTTGAAGGTAAAGCCAAGAGTTTTTGCTATCAGATTGGATAAGAATGTGAAAAAAAGAAAGAGAAGAGACAAAGATATCTCTAATTTGGGGCCTGAACAACTGGAAGGATAGAACTGACATTTGCTGAATAGGCTAAGACATAGGAGGAACAGGTCTGGTGAAGCAGCTTCAGAAGTTCAGTTTTGGACAGGTTAAGTTTGTGATGAATATCAGACATCCAAGTAGATACGACAGATACACAGTTGGCTACATGCAACAGAATTTCAAGGAAAGAAGTCTGAGATAGAAATAAATTTGAAACTTGTACGCCTTTAGATGCTATTTAAAGCCATAAAACTGGATGAGATCACCAAGAGGGTGGGTGCAGACAGAGAAAAGGTCTAAAGACTGAATCCTGAAACACAACATTTAGCCATCAGGGACATAAGGAGGAACTATCAAAGTTGCTGGTGAGGTAGGAGAAAAATCAAGAGAGAATAGTATCTTAAAAGCCAAATGAAGAAAGTACTTGAAGGATGAAAAAAAAGGATTAAATTGGCTCATGCTACAGATAGGTCAAAACAAGAACTTGGAAATAAATCAAACAACAAGCAGGACATACGCACAGAAGTATTAAATATGGCATTGTTTATTAGAGAAGAAAATCGGAAACAACCTAAACATCTCCCAATATGAATTAAGTAAATAACAAATACACTCAATGGAATATCACACAATTATGAAAAAATGATAGTTATTAAGATCACATATACATGACTATATTATTCTATGTAAAAAAAACAGATATAATTAATAGATATTATAAAATCACAACCATATAAAAATACATGCTTTTTTTTTTTTTTTTGCCAGGCGTGGTGGCTCACGCCTGTAATCCCAGCACTTTGGGAGGCTGAGGCGGGCAGATCACGAGGTCAGGAGTTCGAGACCAGCCTGGCCAACACAGTGAAACTCCGTGTCTACTAAAAATACAAAAACTAGCCGGACATGGTGGCGCACACCTGTAGTCCCAGCTACTCGGGCGGCTGAGGCAGGAGAATCGCTTGAACCCAGGAGGTGGAGGTTGTCGTGAGCCGAGATCACGCCACTGTACTCCCACCTGGGCAACAAAGCGAGACTCCGTCTCAAAAAAAAAAAAAAAAAAAAAAGCATCTTTTTTTTAATTAGAAGAAAACATACCAAAACAAAAAGTGTTAGGGTTGTGTGAAGATTAATATTTTTTCTCTTAATTTTTCAAATGAAAACAAAAAAAAAAGCTTGCCCTAAAAGGTTAGCCTGGTGTGTCTACTACAATTACATAGATTTGCTCACAGACTATTCTTATTTACAAAAGCAAAGACTGAACACAGATTAATAATAATAGAAAGTCTTAACTATTTCCTCATCTAAATGAAACAAAAAACTGAAGAATTTGGATTACTGGCCAAATATTTATACATCCCTTCACACTTATCATTAACACATTTTGTTCTAAATTTTCCTATTTTGCACTAAACTTACTGGGGCAGAATGAAAGTACATGATCATGTACATTTTTGACACCAATTATAAGGGCAAACTACTGTCTTGAAGGAGAAAGGGGAAGTGAGATCTGGTTTTAAGAAACTGAAATTTCTTGGCCAGGTGCGGTGGCTCACGTCTGTAATCCCAGCACTCTGGGAGGCTGAGGCAGGCAGATTACCTGAGGTCGGGAGTTCGAGACCAGCCTGACCAGCATGGAGAAACCCCGTCTCTACTACAAATACAAAATTAGCTGGGTGTGGTAGTGCATGCCTGTAATCCCAGCTACTCAGGAGGCTGAGGCACAAGAATCACTTGTACCCGGGAGGTGAAGGTTGCAGTGAGCAGAGATCTTGCCATTGAACTCCAGCCTGGGCAACAAGAGCAAAACTCCGTCGAAAGAAAGAAAGAAAGAAAGAAAAGAAAGAAAAGAAAGAAAAAGAAAGAAAGAAAGAAAGAAAGAAAGAAAGAAAGAAAGAGAAAGAAAGAAAGAAAGAAACTGAAATTTCTCAACCTCCATTTGCATCTAACCTTCCAGAAAGAGATGTGGATCAAATACCTAACTGTCCCAAATACCTAACTCCATCTAAAATTCTTAGGCCAATGCCTCTGGCACAATACTTTATCATGTCTCATAATTTTTCCACCAAGTCCACCGTCGACACATTTAAGACGTGAATGATTGCACACATTTTGCACTATATCTTGATAATTTGGGTAATGTATTTTAAACGTTACTGATGCACAAGGCAGGGTTAAGGTACAGTGTTGGGCATTGTGATTCTAGGCATGCATATAATCTTTCATATCAGTGTTTTTTTGTTTTGTTTTGTTTTTTGAGATGGAGTTTCACTCTTTTGCCAAGGCTGGAGTAAAGTGGCACAATCTTGGCTCACTGCAACCTCTGCCTACTGGGTTCAAGTGATTCTCCTGCCTCAGCCTCCCAAGTAGCTGGGATTATAGGCGCCCGCCACCACGCCCGGGTAATTTTTGTATTTTTAGTAGAGATGGGGTTTCACCATGTTGGCCAGGCTGGTCTCAAACTCCTAACGTCAGTTGATCCACCAGCCTCGGCCTCCCAAAGTGCTAGGATTACAGGTATGAGCCACCAGGCCCAGCCAATATTAGTGCTTTTGAAAATAGTAATTTTTTTTTTTTTGAGATGGAGTCTCGCCCTGTCACCCAGGCTGGAGTGCAGTGGTACGATCTCGGCTCACTGCAACCTCCGCCTCCCAGGTTCAAGTGATTCTCCTACCTCAGCTTCCTGAGTAGCTAGGATTACAGGCATGCACCACCACGCGTGGCTAATTTTGTTTTTTTCTTTTTTTTTTTTTTTTGACAGAGTTTCGCTCTTGTTGCCCAGGCTGGAGTGCAAAGGCACAACCTCGGCTCACCACAACCTCCGCTTCCCAGGTTCAAGCGATGCCTCAGCCTCCCGAGTAGCTGGGATTACAGGCATGTGCCACCACACCCGGCTAATTTTGTATTTTTAGTAGAGACAGGGTTTCACCACGTTGGCCGGGTTGGTCTCGAACTCCTGACTTCAGGTGATCAGCCCACCTTGGCCTCCCAAAGTGCTGGGATTACAAGCGTGAGCCATGGCAACTGGCCTAATTTTGTATTTTAGTAGAGACGGGGTTTCACCACGTTAGTCAGGCTGGTCTCAAACTCCTGACCTCAGGTTATCAGCCCGCCTTGGCTTCCCAAAGTGCTGGGATTATAGGTGTGAGCCACAGCTCCCAGCCAAATTTTTGTATTTTTTGTACAGCAGGGCTGGTCTCGAAATCCTGACCTCAAGTGATCCGCCTGCCTTGGCCTCCCCAAGTGCCAGGATTACAGAGTAAGCCACTTCGCCCAGGCCACACTGCAAATTTTTAAAAGGAAAAGATTTTGGGTAATTGCTTAATGCACAAATTAAGAAATGTTTGTTCCTAATGTTTACCAGATTAAGCAATAAAAGATATAGATTAAGTAGTAATTACCACAAAAAGTAGAAATAAAGTTATAGAACTTGAGAGTTAGAAAGAATCTTAGATCCAGTAGTTCTCAAAGGTACCTAAAATTTACTGGCTGATGAGGGCATCAAAGGCAGATTCCCAGGCTCGTTGTCCAGAGATTTGGATTCAGTAGGTCTAGTGGGGTACCCATGAATCTGTATTTCAAAATGATCAAGTACAACCCCATATTATTACAAGTAAGAAAACTATGTTAAGTAACCTATTTGCCCGGAATCATATAGAATCTAGGTCTCATTAACTCCCAACAGTGGTCTTCCCACTATACCTCTTAAACTACATACTTTATAGTTGAAGGAACTAGGACAAAGAAAAAGTTATTGGTGTGTTATTTGAGTCAATAAACAACCCTAGAATATTCCTGGTTGAAATTCCTATTTATTATTCATTCACTAAGTATTTCTTAAATGTCTACTAAATTATAAAACTAATCAGACATGAATACTGTCCTCTGGAAGCAATTATCAGTAGGAAGGACAAGGCAAATACATAAAACTGATACCTGGTCAGGTGCGGTAGCTCACACCTGTAATCCCAACACTTTGGGAGGCCAAGGTGGGTGGATCAGCTGAGGTAAGGAGTTTGAGACCAGCCTGGCCAACATGGTGAAACCCCATCTCTACTAAAAATAAAAAAATTTCGGGTGTGGTGGCTCACACCTGTAATCCCAGCACTTTGGGAGGCCAGGGCAGGTGGATCACAAGATCAGGAGTTCGAGACCGGCCTGGCTAGCATAGTGAAACCCCATCTCTACTAAAAATACAAAAATTAACCAGGCATGATGGTGCACACCTATAATCCCAGCTACTCGGGAGGCTGAGGCAGGAGAATGGCTTGAACCTGGGAGGTGGAGGTTGTAATGAGTCGAGATCGTGCCACTCCACTCCAGGCTGTGTGACAGAGCAAGACTCCATCTCAAAAAAAAAAAAAAAAAAACAAAAACAAAAACTGATATCCAGCAGCACAGCAATCTATGAGTAGGTGCCAAAATAAGTGGTGTGGCCAATTATAAAATTAACTGATTCACACAGATTCCACTCAGTATTTTTTTAATGGTTAGAATTTACCCATTAGAGATCAATATTCAATTTCTTCTCTTTTTGTTAAAAAAAAAACTGGCCTTTAATGAAGGAAAGGTTTTGTCTTGTGTGAACAGTTATCTCTCACCTCACTACTCATCCACATCAATACCACTACTATCACATCATCCCACATGCCAGAATAGCTTTTGTAGAGACCAAAGTTTATATCATTTTAATGCAAAAAACTAATTAAGAGGTTGGCCCTCTTCAAAGGGTAAGAAAAGCCTCCCTTCTGGACCATCTTACTGGTTATATGTGGTCTACTGAGAATTTCAATTCTTCGTTCTTCTGCAATAGTACTATATATCCAAATATTACATTAGCCTCATCACAGGCAAAGTGTACTTTGATACCTCTTGTTTCTGAGCTTAGCCTAGCCATATGACTCGGTCAGCCAATGGGATGTTAGGAGAGCAGAGTCTGGAAATGTGCTGGTAGGGTTGGGCTTGGCCTCTTGCACTTCTGCCAATGCCATGACACAAGCCTCCCCCAGATAGATGTTACTTCTCCCTCTAGCCTGGACCCCAGAAAGAGACACATGGAGCAGAATAAATGCCTATTGTTGCATGCCACTAAGATTTTGTGGTTGCCAATAATTACACAGCAAAATGTCACTGAATCACCATATTTAAGAAATCCAGCCCAGGCGTGGTGGCTCATGCCTATAATCCCAGCACTTTCGGAGGCAGAGGCAGGCAGATCACGAGGTCAGGAGTTTGAGATCAGCCTGGCCAATATGGTAAAACCACGTCTCTACTAAAAATACAAAAATTAGCCGGGTGTGGTGGTGCACACCTGTAGTCCCAGCTACTTGGGAGGCTGAGGCAGAAGAATCACTTGAACCCGGGAGGCAGAGGTTGCAGTGAGCTGAGATGGCGCCACTGCACTCCAGTCTGGGTGACCGAGCCAGACTCTGTCTCAAAAAAAAAAAAAAAAAAAAAAAAAAAGAAAGAAAGAAATCCAGGGCCAGGGCCAGGGCCAGGGCCAGGGCCAGGGCCAGGCACAGTGGCCCACACCTATAATCCCAGCATTTTGGGAGGCCGAGGCGGGCAGATCACCTGAGATCAGGAGTTCAAGACCAGCCTGACCAACATGGAGAAACCCTGTCTCTACTAACAATACAAAATTAGCCAGGAGTGGTGGCACATGCCTGTAATCCCAGCTACCCGAGAGGCTGAGGCAGAATTGCTTGAACCCGGGAGGTGGAGGTTGCAGTGAGCCGAGATCACACCATTGCACTCCAGCCTGGGCAACAAGAGCAAAACTCAAAAAAAAAAAAAAAAAGAAAGAAATCCAAACAATCAGGACTGATGATATAAAGCAGTGCTTCTCAAGCACCTGCTTGAGTGAGACTTTGCGGGGGTTCTCCCAGAGAGATTCATTCAGTACATCTGGACTATAGGGCCAAAAATATGCATTTTTATCAAGAACCCCAGGTAATTCTGTTGCAGTACCCACACTTTGAGAAAAACTAAAATGAAGATTACTAAACTTCAGTTACTCAGTAATATTCACTAACATTAGATTAATCTTACTTTATATAATGTGTGTGTTCCTCAAGAGATGTATGTAAAATTGCAATCTAATCAAGTGAATTATTTAAAACGCATTACAGAAGTTGACCTTTAAATAATAGCTGTGTTGTATTCTTTTATTAAGAATTCATTCATAAACCAAGCCAGCACATCTTATTTTTCATAAGTTGTTTTTTTTTTTGGGGGGGGCATAGAAAATGTTCTAAGAATTAGGCGGGGTGTGGTGGCTCATGCCTGTAATCCCAGCACTTTGGGAGGCCGAGGCAGGTGGATCACGAGGTCAGGAGTTCGAAACCACCCTGCCAAAATGGTGAAACCCCGTCTCCACTAAAAATACAAAAAATAAAAATAAATTAGCTGGGCATGGTGGTGGGCTCCCGTAATCTCAGCTAGTCTGGAGGCTGAGGCAGGAGAACCACTTGCGCCTGGGAGGCGGAAGTTGTGGTGAGCCAGGGTCGTGCCACTGCACTCCAGCCTGGGCGACAGAGTGATACTCTGTCTGAACAAAAAAGAAAGAAAGAAAGAAAGAAAGAAAGAAAATGTTCTAAGAATTAAGGAGTCCAAGAACTCAATAAGTGAGAAAGAGGGAATCAAAAGAAATGATTTATCCATGACCCCGAAAAAGGATGTGCTATCAATCAGTCTTCTAGGATTTATTTTCCTGTTCAGCTGCACCATTTGCGCCTGTCGAGTTAACATCACTGCATCTGTGTAACCCAAATCCACACAGGCCCTCTCTAATCAGCTTGCACTTAATGAAGCTGCACTAGCCACTTCAATATTAGGCCAAGCAAAGTTTTACATGTTCAGAACTACGACATTTGCATAACCACTGCTGCACTAACACCTTGTAAGTGTCCCTGCTTCTTTACAAAGGTTGATCTGGTGAAGGCTAATTACTCCATCTCATATATCCAATAAGATGAGAAGTTGTTGCTGCTAGTGCTGCTGTTACCATTAATGTGGTATGTGAGGGCGCACACTATAATCCTGGCTCCATAATTTACTGACTGTGTGGTGAGTTATTCAAATTCTCTGTACTTTACTCTCCCTCTATGGAAAAGGGGAATGATAATAACCTACAACATAGAATTGTCATGAAGACGAAATGAAAAAATATATGTAAAGTTATTTGAATAGCTGATGGTGCATGGCAGGCACTTAATAAATACTAGCTATTATCATTACTGTTACAGGTCTGAAATCCAGCTTCACAAATTTTGTCATCTGGTGCTATGCAATACCAAAGAAAAAAAAGACTACAACCACTTTTAAGCAGTGATTCTTTTACTCTCTCCCTTTTAAGAGACACTATTCTAAGATGATTGTATTACCAAACAAAAATTAAGTTTATTTTTAAATAAATGCTTTTTCTCTTACTTTTATCAGTTCTGATCACAATATTATGAGCACGTCATCATAAATGAGAATCTATATTCTAAAAAGGTTAAGAATAACAAATAACATTGAAAAGCCTATGTTCTGAGATTTCTGCTCATGGAACGTTTAAGGCCTTTTACTCCATATTTTACAGGAACCACATGGCTTATGGCTAGAGAATTTAAATAGCTAACACAATATAAAGAAATTTAGAGAAAAATCATTTTTACTCTGAAAGCAACTACAATTATTAAAAATATTAAAATATCAGTTTTAAAGTAAACTCAGAAGTTCAAATTATTTTAACAGAACCATATAGATTTATCATCAATTTAACAGACATTAATCAACAGTAGACATTATTCAACAATAGCAAAAGCATAAAAGGAAACTTCAAATTTTCTTCGGCATTTTCCTAGATCAGACTTTCAAAATGAAAATAAGCAAGTAACCTCTGTATCTAACATAGCAATGAGAAATTTGTTTAATGTGAAACACACTTATCAAAAGAAAAAAAGTAATTCGAAAGGGTCATTTGGTCCTTTACTCGTTTTAAAAGCACAATCCATTTGCCCATCATAAACCAAGTGTACGAGTTATATGTAGAATTCACTCCTGAAAATTTCTAAAAGCAAATCACCAAAAGGCTGCTTGAAAAAATAGTTGCAAATAGAAGATAAGGTCTTTTTCCTAAGGTTTCTGAGAACTGAAATGAAAATATCCAAAGGAAAGGATGACTACCACCCTTTAGACTTTAGTGAAATGTCAAAGAACTTTCGGAGTCAAATCTCCTAGAAGTCTAATGTCAGGTCAAAGTTGTCTCGACAGCAAAGCCAATAGATAGATGCCAGATGACTAACAGTAAAGTTATCAAACCGTATAATACAATATATCAAGAATCTCACAGTTCTGGCTTCCTCAACATTTATTCTATTCATTCGGTAACATTTCTGAATAATGAAAGGAACATGGATTCCCAGAGTGATCTAAATTTCAAAATAAGGTTCAAGTGTGTGTTCTCTAGTTGATGTTCTTTTTACTATAAGCCAAAACCGCTTCTTTATAATAATAATTTTAAAAATCTACAGGTCTGTTTCCAGAGATCTCATAATAAGCACTGTTCACTGGTGATTAAAATATTATTTTTAATCGTTGCATTACCTCACAGCTAAAAATGTCAAGATACCACACCCAATATGTCTTTTTCACCCCGTAAAGGGGGGTGGGGTGGGAATATGGAAGTGGGGATAGGAAAATACACAAGAATATTAAAGGCGATTTCCCTGGAAGGCATGGGGCAGGCGCGCAGGCACCGGGTCGCAGCTCCGCTGCACCGCGATCGGGGGGACGCATGGCGAAGGGCAAGCACAGGCCTCGGCCTCTGCGGGCTCCCTCCCTCGCCACCCGCAGGGGCAGTGGCCGGGACGTGCCGGCCGGAGCTACTCACCAGCCGCAGTGCTGACCAGCAGGATGGTCCATGGTAGCCAGGGCACCCGCCAGGGCCGCTGCAGCGAGGAAGTCATCCCTGGGCCAGCCAAGAATCAGGAGGGCAAAGAAAAGAAATATGGGAAGTAGACCGGCGGAGAAACAGCCGGGAGGCTCGTCTTCTCTCCCGTGGACTGATCCTGCCCGTATCACAATACAGTTTGAAAGGACAAATGGCTGATGAGAGGACCTAGCTGCAGAGCTTTCATGCCGCTGCAGAAATTCCCTTCATTTCTCTCCCTCGCGGCTGGGGGGGTTCCTTCGCCTCGGACGGGGTGCCGCGGCCCTCCAAACGGAAGGCATGTCTGTGGGGAAAGCAGGGAGCCAAGAAGAAATCCCCCAAATTATTTCCCTCGTAGTTTCACGATATCAAAAAAATATCCAGGTCTGGGAGAAAACATATCCAGGGTGCGGAGGGCGGGGATTCGATCCGGGGTCGGGGGGCGAGGGTCAGAACTAGTTCCCGACTGCCGGGAAGGACGAAGCCGGACGGGCGGCGGCGGCGCCCGGCAGCCCTAGTCGCATCGCCCGCGGCTCCGGGAAGGCAGGATTCCTTAAGTTTCGCTTCGGTGCTTCCTTCACTCTGATTTCGAAAACAACAAATCCTCTTCCTTGACTGGATCAAAAAAGGTGCCTGCCTCCATGGACAAGCTCACAGTCCCCACGCCTTCGCAGAACAACCGTGAGAGGGTTGGGGAGGCCCTGGCGAAGGCTGAGGAGAGGTAGGAGCGGGGGAGGGGAGGGGTCGCGGTCGCGGCCCCGGTCCGGGCTCCCCGAGACGGCAGGCGGAGTGGGTGTGAGAGGCTGCCCCTTCTAGTCCTCCCGGCGGCGCTCCCTTCCCTTCCTCGCTTTTTATTCCTGCGGCTCGATCTTGCCTGAGGTAAATTCCACCAAGAAAGCCTCCTCTTCTCCCGTCAATGGCTCCTGTGAGCGAATCACAACCCCCCGAGGAAGCCGCTGCTGCTGCCGCCGCCGCCGCCGCCGCCGCCGCCGCCGCCGCCTCGTTCTCCCGCAGCTCTGGGCTCCTGACGGAACTCGGGCGTCGCGGACCGAGGGCGGGGGGCGGCGGGAGGGCGGATGAAGGTAGCCGGGGAAGGGGGTGGGCAGGGAGGCGGCGAGACACCCTGCGTCCCTCCGGGAGGCACTTCCAGTGGCTCCGAGCAGACCAGACACAAAGGGGGGAGTCGCCGCAGCTGCCAGTCTGCGGCGCTCCCGGTCACCGGAGTCGCCCCGCCTCCGCCGCCGCCTCCGCCTCCTCCTCAGTCTCCGGCTCTTCCCGGCCCTGTCTGTCTCTAGCCTGTGGTGCAGAGCGGGCGGCGGCGGCGGCGGCGCCGGCGGCGGGATGAAGCCCGCACTGCGCCTGCGCGCTCACGGCCCCGCCCGGCCCCGCCCCTCGTTCGGGGCTGGCTGAGGGCTCCGAGGCCCCACCGCAGCGCGTCTCTCCGGTGAATGGCCGAGGGCTGGGTGGGGCTGCGGTGGGCAGCGGTGGCCTTTCTCCTTCACACACATACACATGCCTTCCAAATGTGCATGGCTTGGGATTCGCGTATTTGTTTAAGAGACGACGGCCACATCCTTTTGTTCGGCGTTCAGCAGACTCCTCCGAGTTCCGGGATTTCTCCCGACTGAGGCGTCTCCGTCTCAGTACTCTCGGAGGAAAGCCTCGAGGGGCAGAACTGCCCTCTGTTGTTTCACGGGGCTGGAACCTCCCTCTCCGCAGCCCAAAGAATCCGGATGGACCCGCCTTTCCCAGAACCGGAGACCTTGGCCTCCTCAGGCTCCCCTCTGACTCAAACAAAAGCCGGAATTGGAAAGACCACCCCTTTGATGTGTTCGCTGTAATCGACGTCCTGCTTTCCTCAACCGCCCATTCCCTTAGCCTTCTTAGTTGACAGGAATATTGAGTATTTGCAAGGATGCGAAGCCAGAAAAAAAAAAAAGACTTTTAATTCTATAAATCGTCCCGCTGCGTGCGCGCGTCTGTCCGTACAGCGCGGTGCCCACCCCGAGAGAGGGCCTGGATTCACCAAGGCTGGGGGCCTTGAGGGCTTTTTAGGGCACGTGAAAGGAAAATGGAGTTAGAGTTGTGTCGGGATAGAGAGTGGGATCATTTTGCACTCAAGGAATTGAGAAGATCCCGTTGGTACCGCAGTTTCCAAGGATTTGTGTAGTGCGTTTTTTGGATCTGGTTTGTACAAGCGACCAGTATAGGAGACGGGATCCCTCCCGCCCTTACACCCCGCTGCGGGGTCAGCCGACGTGGGTGGGATTTTGCTGGCGGCGAGGGGAGAAGGTGACGTGCGTGGCGCCATGATCGGAAGTCTGGACTGAATTCTTAGCTGCGAGGTGGAAAATGCGCGTGGGAGGGCGATCTTGAGGGGTGAAGTCTGGCCTTCCCATCTCCTACCAGGCAGGAGGGTTATGCTGAAGGCTGGTTTTGCTGGTCTTTCATTGTGGCTAAGGGCAGTTCCACAGATACAGTCATAGATAGACTCCTTAAGTCATGCTCTGCTTGCTTCTTCTAGTCCGCTGTTACCTCTTTATCTGAATTTGATGTAAATAAATCTCCACATTCCTTAAACTGGTTCTGTTATACTAAACATCTTCCATAATTAGGGGTTGTAGCAATACCAACCCCGGATTCTAAGACTCTTTTTAGTTGAAATATGTTTATGCTGTTTACCCTTTAGACAGAGAAAAAAAAATTCTACCTAGTAAAATCCCTTAAAAAGACGAAGAGCATATGCTTTGATTCATTAGCTTTATTTATTTAGGTTTTATTTATTTATTTATTTATTTATTGAGGCGGAGTCTTGCTCTGTCGACCAGGCTGCGGTGCAGTGGCGCGATCTCGACTCACTGCAACCTCCACCTCCCAGGTTCAAGCAATTCTCCGGCCTGAACCTCCCGAGTAGCTGAGATTACAGGCGGCGCCATCACGCCCGGCTAATTTTTGTATTTTTAGTGGAGACAGGGTTTCACCATGTTTGCCAGGCTGGTCTCGAACTCCTGACCTCACGTGATCCGCCCGTCTCGACCTCCCAAAGTGCTGGGATTACAGACGTGAGCCACCGCCCCCGACCGATTCTTTATAGCTTTATTACTGTATTTTGTTTTGCCCAAAAGGTCTAAATTAGAAACGGTATTGTTTTACCATTTGTCTTTCAAGAACTGAGAGTTTCTAGCACTCAGAGAAATTGGATTTTAGTATGTTAGAGGTGCAGAAAGTTTAAAGTTTATTAATTCGTAGTACACTTTTATCTTCCTCAAATTGAGATCAAGTACTTCATCATTCAATTTTTATTTGCTTAAGATTTTTTCCAAGAAACATTAAGTGTCCTTTTTGTAGTTCCCCCTTATCCACCGTTTCAGTTACCTGCAGTCAACCACGGTCTGAAAATATTACATGGAAAGTTCCAGAAATAATAAGTGGTGTTTTTTTTTGTTGTTGTTGTTTTTGTTTTTTTTGAGACGTAGTTTCTCTTTTGTTGCCCAAGCTGGAGCACAATGGCACGATCTCAGCTCACAGCAACCTCCGCCTCCCAGACTCAAGCGATTCTCCTGCCTCAGCCCCCTGAGTAGCTGGGATTACAGGCATGCGCCACCACACCCGGCTAGTTTTGTATTTTTAGTAGAGATGGAGTTTCACCATGTTGGTCAGCCTGGTCTCGAACTCCTGACCTCAGGTGATCCGCCCTTCTGGCCTCCCAAAATGATAGGATTAGAGGCGTGAGCCACTGCGCCTGGCCTCATAAATTTTAAATTGAGTACTGTTACTAACTAGCTGTGAGGAAATCGCTGCCATCCCACACTGTCCTTCTGGGATGTGAATCATGGTTTGTACAGTGTATCCGCTATAACCTCCTTAATCACTTAGTAGCAGTCTCTTATCAGACTGACTGTGGCAGTATGCAATATCCAAGTGCTTGTGTTCAACTAACCCTCGTTTTACTTAATAATGGCCCCAAAGCACAAGAGTAGTGATGCTGGCAATTCAGCCATACAGAAGCTGTAAAGTGCTTCCTGTAAGTTAAAACGTCAGAGTTCTTGCCTGTAATCTCAGCACTTTGGGAGGCCGAGGCAGGCAGATCACAAGGTCAGGATGATCGAGACCATCCTGGCTAACACGGTGAAACCCTGTCTCTACTGAAAATACAAAAAAATTAGCCAGGCGTGGTGGCAGGCGCCTGTAGTCCCAGCCACTCGGGAGGCTGAGGCAGTGAATGAATGGCATGAACCCGGGAGGTGGGGCTTGCAGTGAGCCGAGATCATGCCACTGGACTCCAGCCTGGGCGACAGAGCAAGACTCTGTCTCAAAAAAAAAAAAAAAAAAAAAAAAAAAAAAAAAAAAAAAGTCAGAGTTCTTGACTTAATAAGGAGGGAAAAAAATTATAGGCTGAGGTTGCTAAGATTGCTGGTAACAATGAATCTTTGGCAGGGTGCAGTGGCTCACGTCTGTAATCCCAGCACTTTGGGGGACCAAGGCAGGAGGATCACTTGAGGTCAAGAGTTCAAGACCTGCCTGGCCAACATGGTGAAACCCCGTCTATACCAAAAATACAAAAATTAGCTGGGAGTGGTGGCACGTGCCTGTAATCCCAGCAGCTACTCCGGAGGCTGAAGCAAGAGAATCACTTGAACGCAGGAGGTGGAGGTTGCCCATTGCACTCTAGCCCGGGCGATAGAGACTCTGGCAAAAAAAAAAAAAAAAATCTATCTGTGAAACTGAATTGTGAAGAAAAAATAAATTCATGCTAGTTTTGCTGCCATACCTCAAACTGCAAAAGTGATGGCCACAATGTGTAATAAGTGCTTAGTTAAGATGGAAAAGGCATTAAATTTGTGGGTAGAAGACATAATAGAAATGTATTCCAGTTTATAGCAATTGGGTTCAGTACTGTCTGCAGTTTCAGGCATCCACTGGAGGTCTTGGAACAAGTTCCTTGTGGATAAGGGGCAGGGAGGACTACCGTACATGTTATAAATGTATGATAAATTATATAGAACATAAAGAAAAGGTCTTAGGAAATTCACAAGAAAAAACACATGCCGCTGACTTGGTAGGTAGACAACTAGATATGTACCCTCTTCCCTTTTCTGTTCCTTCTTGTGATATTTCAGTTGGGACATGGCTGTTCACTCACAGTGAGAAAGAACATCAAAGAACAGAATTAAGACTTGGCAAGAAACCTGTCCACGACAAAAGGCAGACAATGTAAGTCAAGCTCAGCTGAGAACAAAGGACTGGTGATGCAGGTGAGGTTTGGCATCTGTACTAATTAGGATGGGCTAAATTACAGTAACATTCACCAAATCTCAGCATCTTATTGCAATAAAGGTTTATTTCTCACACATGTTACATGTTTGATATAAGTCATCAGGGGACCCATCGCAACTTGAGTTCACAGGAAATAGACACTGAAACTCTGAAATTTGTATGCAGGAGGTTATTACCTAATGATGGCAAGAGCAACCTCTGTGGGGATTGAGGGATGCAAGACTGGGCAGAGGGAGAAGTTGAATTGCAACACATTTGCAACTGAGGCATCAATCAATCCTGCAGGAATTCTGGAGCTGGGCTGGCCTTTCAGCATTGTCCTAATCTGTGTCTGCTAACACTTTAAGGTACACCTAAAAGACCCCCCAAACCCAGCAAGCTTTTCATTCAAGATTCCTTCAGTGGAGTACATCTAGGGAAAAAGTCCCTCAAGTATACTGATAATTTAGGCTCCTTGAATGCTGCCTTGGAGTAGGAAATCCAGCATTAGACAGACTGCCTAGCCAAGTTGGGTAAAACCAGTAAATTTTTTTTTTTTTTTAAAGACGGAGTTTCGCTCTTGTAGCCCAGGCTGGAGTGCATTGGCACGATCTTGGCTCACTGCAACCTCCGCCTCCCGCGTTCAAGCAATTCTCCTGCCTTAGCCTCCCAAGTAGCTGGGATTACAGGCTTGTGCCACCATGCCCGGCTAATTTTTGTATTTTTAGTAGAGATGGGGTTTCACCATGTTGGCCAGGCTAGCCTCGAACTCCTGAACTCAGGCGATCCACCCGCCTCGGCCTCCCAAAGTGCTGGGATTACAAGCGTGAGCTACTGCGCCCGGCAAAACCCAGTAAAATTATACCTTCACACCAACCAGTCACTGGATGTGGGCTGCACATATTGAAAGAGATGTGACCGGCCTGGAGCGGTGGTTTACGCCTGTAATCCCAGAACTTTGGGAGGCCGAGGCAGGCGGATCACGAGGTCAGGAGATCGAGACCATCCTGGCTAACACGGTGAAACCCCGTCTCTACCAAAAATACAAAAAATTAGCCGGGCGTGGCGGCAGGCGCCGGTAGTCCCAGCTACTCGGGAGGCTGAGGCAGGAGAATGGCGTGAAACACGGGAGGCAGAGCTTGCAGTGAGCCGAGATCACGCCACTGCACTCCAGCATGGGTGACAGAGCGAGACTCCATCTCAAAAAAAAAAAAAAAAGACAGACGTGACCTTTGATAAAAGGGCTCTCTTTAGCCAACAGCTACCCCCAGAGAGGGACCCAGCTGACCACTGTCAGCCACCAGCAGTTCCAGCAGTTGGGAGAAAGAATGCTTTAGACCTAAAGGGTGGATCTGGGGAGCTCAGCAAAATGTCCACTGCATGGACTCTCTCATTTTAATCACTGAGGTCCTTAGGTTGGTAGAGGCTTCACTGAGACACATGTTTTCAAAATTGTGACAGTAGGGATCATAAAATTTAATTGCTAGTGTTGCAGTGTCTTGCTGTAGCCATTAAAAAGCTTCCACCTAGAAGCAGTGTGCTTTACTTCCACTCATATTTTAGTGGCCACCAAAGTCAGATGGCCAAACCTAACTTTAAGAGGGCAGAGGCTGGGAGCAGTGGCTCACGCGTGTAATCCCAGCACTTTGGGAGGCCGAGGCGGGCAGATCACAAGGTCAGGAGTTCGAGACAGGTGAAACCCCTTCTCTACTAAAAATGCAAAAAATTAGCTGGGTGTGGTGGCAGGTGCCTGTAATCCCAGCAACTCCGGAGGCCTAGGCAGGAGAATCGCTTGAACCTGGGAGGCAGAGGTTGCAGTGAGCCTAGATCGCGCCACTGCACTCCAGCCCAGGCGACAGTGCAAGACTCAGTCTCAAAAAAAAAAAAGAAAAAAAGAGGGCAGAAAATGTAATCCTACCATGTCATGAGAAAGAGAACCTGAATATTTGTGAACAGCCCTGATGACTAACATAGTATCCAAGGGTAAAATAATCCCCAATATTCTAATCACCAAAACCCCAACAAGTAGGATTTTTTTCCTGGTAGGGGTAAGGAAGCAGGAAATAAAGGAGAACAACACAGAAATCCAAGAGGACAGACTAACAGCATCTGCGAAACTGATCTTCACTATGTATTATAGCCCCTCATGGATGATATCTCTGCCTTCAGTTGGAGGACTGGTCCTGGTTTTAAGAAGGGACAGAGGGGCACTAAGCAGATTATTAGAACAAGAATTGAAATAAGGACCAAGGCCAATTTCTTGTTAAATAAATGAGGACATGTAGGTATTACCTGGGCTCAGAAATACCGACTACTTCTAAGAATAAACTTCATGATCATAAAGGGGTGGTATCAAAGAAAAATAGAAGAAAAACTCTTAGCTCTAGCAGACAAACAATATGGAAGTTAGCACTGGGACACCTTTCCAGATCAGAAAAACAAACAACTAAAAGCTGCTTAGAAACTTTAGAATTTTATCTTTAGGCTTAAACTGAGAAACAGGACAGGGCATTGTCTCCTTTTGGAAGATCAAGGTATAGTTGTGGGGAGAGAAGAAAATCCAGTTGACCTCCCTGACATCCTTTGGGCCTGAAAGCAACCTAATTCTGTCTTCCTAAAACAAACAAAGCTTTTAAAAAATAATAAACAAATAAAAAGAGCCTTGCTTTTGAAACCTAGATTTATTGTCTCATCTCTTTCCTTCCCTTTTCGTCTAACTTTGGAAATTTTAGTTAACCTAGCTTCTGGGGTCACCCTTTTCTTCAAGAGCAAAATAAAACCATCAGAACCTCCCATCCTGAGTGACTGACAGCAGGAAAACCCAGCTTCTCCCAAGCATTTGAAAGATCACAGAAAAGGACTTCTATTTTTCTTTTTTTTTATTTTTTGAGACAGAGTCTGGCTCTGTCACCCAGGCTGGAGTGCAGTGGTGAGATCTCGGCTCACTGCAACCTCCTCCTCCTGGGTTCAAGCAACTCTCCAGCTTCAGCCTCCTGAGTAGCTGGGACCACAGGCACATGCCACCACACCCGGCTAGTTTTGTTTTGTTTTGTTTTGTATTTTTCGTTGAGACAGGGTTTCACCATGTTAGTCAGGATGGTCTTGATCTCCTGACCTCGTGATCCACCCACCTCGGCCTCCCAAGGTGCTGGGATTACAGGCGTGAGCCACCGCGCCTGGCAGGACTTCTATTTTTCACAAATTTACTTATGTGCCTTTTGACTTCTCTACTGGTGTCTTCTAAGAGCTTTTCCTTGTTGATTTCAAACATGGAGCTCTATTTTCCTTCAAAGAGTAGATACAGTACCCTTCATTTATCTCCAAGTTATACCATATGTAGTTAAGATTTTTACTAAGGCTTGGAATTAGAAAAATAGGCTGGATGCAGTGGCTCACACCTATAATCCTAGCACTTTGGGAGGCCGAAGACGGTGGATCACTTGAGCCCAGGAGTTTAAGACCAGCCTGGCCAACAAAGCGAAAACCCCATTTCTACTAAAAATACAAAAAAATAGCCGGGCATGGTGGTGCACTGGAGGCTGAGGCACAAGAATCGCTAGAACCCAGGAGGCAGAGGTTGTAGTGAGCCGAGATCTTGCCACTGAACTCCAGCCTGGGTGACAGAGTGAGACTGTCTCAAAAAAAAGAGAGAAAGAAAGAAAGAAAGAAAGAGGGAGGGAGGGAGGGAGGGAAGGAAGGAAGGAAGGAAGGAAGGAAGGAAGGAAGGAAGGAAGGAAAGAAAGAAAGAAAGAAAGAAAGAAAGAAAGAAAGAAAGAAAGAAAGAAAGAAAGAAAGAAAGAAAGAATAAAAGTATAATGTAGTATAACACAGTGAAGGATATCTTAAAATAAGAATCAGGGCCGGGCGCGGTGGCTCACGCCTGTAATCCCAAGACTTTGGGAGGCCGAGGCGGGCTGATCACGAGGTCAGGAGATGGAGACCATCCTGGCTAAGATGGTGAAACCCCGTCTCTACTAAAAATACAAAAATTAGACCGGTGTGATGGCGGGCGCCTGTAGTCCCAGCTACTCGGGAGGCTGAGGCAGGAGAATGGCGTGAACCCAGGAGGCGGAGCTTGCAGTGAGCAGACATAGCGCCACTGCACTCCAGCCTGGGCGACAGGGTGAGATTCCGTCTCAAAAAAAGAAAAAAAAAAGAATCAGATATCACTGCTCTCTGAAGTCAGATATCATTTGCTCTCTGAAGTCCTTGAGCCACATGTATACCTGCCCAGTGGAACCACATTTGAAAGTACTATTTCTGGCCCGGTGCGGCGGCTCACGCCTGTAATCCCAGCACTTTGGCAGTCCAAGGCGGGCGGATCACCTCAGATGGGGAGTTGGACACCAGCCTGACCAACATGGAGAAACCTCGTCTCTACTGAAAAAAAAAAAAAAATTAGCTTGGCATGGTGGCGCATGCCTGTAATTCCAGCTACTTGGGAGGCTGAGGCAGGAGAATCGCTTGAACCTGGGAGGCAGAGGTTGCGGTGAGCCGAGATCGTGCCATTGCACTCCAGCCTGGGCAACAAGAGCGAACCTCTGTCTCAAAAAAAAGAAAAAAAAAGAAAAGCGCAGTGGCTCACGCCTGTAATCGCAGCACTTTGGGAAGCTGAGGCGGGCAGATCAGGAGGTCGAGAGATCGAGACCATCCTGGCCAACATGGTGAAACCTGTCTTTACTAAAAATACAACCCGGGAGGCGGAGGTTGCAATGAGCCGAGATCCGGCCACCGCACTCCAGCCCGGCGTCAGGGCGAGACTCCGTCTCAAAAAAATAAAATAAAAAATAAAAAAGTTAGCCGGGCATGGTGGCGTGTGCCTGTAATCCCAGCTACTAGGGGGGCTGAGGCAGGAGGATCTCTTGAACCCAGGAGGCAGAGGTTGTAGTGAGCCGAGATCGCACCACTGCACTCCAGCCTGGGCGACAGAGCCAGACTCCGTCTCAAAAGTACTGTTGGCCGGGCGGTGGCTCACGCCTGTAATCCCAGCACTTTGGGAGGCCAAGGCGGGCGGATCACGAGGTCAGGAGATCGAGACCGTCCTGGCTAACACGATGAAACCCCGTCTCTACCAAAAATACAAAAAAATTAGCCAGGCGTGGTGGCCGGCGCTTGTAGTCCCAGCTACTCCGGAGGCTGAGGTAGGAGAATGGCGTGAACTGGGGAGGCGGAGCTTGCAGTGAGCCGAGATCGCGCCACTGGACTCCAGCCTAGGGGACAGTCAGACTCTGTCTGAAAAAAAAAAAAAAAAAAAGTAAAATAAATAGTACTTTTTTTTTTGAGACGACTTCTCACTCTGTCAGGAGTCTCGGCAGGTTAGCTGGGCTGTCTGCTCAGAGTCTCGCGAGATCGCAATCAAAGTGTCAACCAGACTGTTAACACTTGGAGGTTTAACAGGGGAAGAATCTCCTTTTTTAAGCCTATTCACGTTGTTGGCTTAATTCTTTTTTTTTTTTTTTTTTTTTTTTTTTTTTGTGAGACTCCAGAGTCTTGCTCTGTTGTTGCCTGGGCTAAAGTGCAGTGGCGCGATCTCCGCTCACTGCAACCTCTGCCTCCCAGGTTCAAGAAATTCTCCTGCCTTAGCCTCCCAAGTAGCTGGGATTACAGGCACTCGCCACTCGCCACCACGCCCACCTAATTTTTTGTATATATATATATATATATATATATATATATATATATATATATATATATATATATATATGTGTGTGCGTGTGTGTGTGTGTATATATATGTGTGTATATATATATATATATATATATATATATATAATTTTTTTTTTTTGAGACAGAGTCTCGCTCTGTCGCCCAGGCTGGAGTGCGGTGGCGCAATCTCAGCTCACTGCAACCTCCGCCTCCTGGGTTCAAGCAATTCTCCTGCCTCAGCCTCCCGAGTAGCTGGGACTATAGGTGCATGCCACCATGCCTGGCTAACATTTAGTAGAGACGCTGTTTCACCATGTTAGCCAGGATGGTCTCAGTCTCCTGACCTCGTGATCCACCTGCCTCGGCCTCCCAGAGTGCTGGGATTCAGGCGTGAGCCACTCCGCCCAGTCAAGCCTCCCCGCCTGGCCTTTTTTTTTTTTTTTTTTTTTTTAGACAGAGTCTTGCTCTGTTGCCCAGGCTGGAGTGCAGTGGCACAATCTTGGCTCACTGCCACCTCCGCCTCCCAGGTTCAAGTAATCCTCTGCCTTAGCCTCCTGAGTAGCTGAAATTACAGGCATGTGTCACCATGCCTGGTTAATTTTTGTATTTTTAGTAGAGATGGGGTTTCACCATATTGGTCAAGCTGGTCTTGAACTCCTGACCTCATGATCTGCCCGCCTTGGCCTCCCAAAGTGCTGGGATTACAGGTGTGAGCCACCTTGCCCAGCCTATTCTATTTCTTTGAGACACGGTGTTGCTCTGTCCCCAGGCTGGAGTGCAGTGCCATGATCATAGCTCACTGCAGTCTTGACCTGATGGGCTCAGGTGATCCTCTTGTCTCTGCCTCCAAGTAGTTGGGACTACAGGTGCGCCACCACCACGCCCAGCTAAGTTCTTTTATTGTTTGTCAAGACTGAATTTCACCATGCTGCCCAGGCTGGTCTCCAATGCCTGGCTCAAGCCATCTGCCCGCCTTGGCCTCCTAAAGTGCTGGGATTACAAGCGTGAGCCACCACACCCAGCCTAGACTTATATTTTTTTTTAAATGGGAGGTAATACGGCAAACACTCACTAATACAGATTAAGTCAGGGGAAAGAGCACCTGCACCTGAGTGAATGAGTAAATGAGGCCTAACCTATATTATATAAAGAAACACTGTGTGTCAAAATAACCATGAGTTAAACAAAATAATGGGTCTATAAAAGTGAATAAAAATTGATCCACTTGAAAAATGCTTCATGAATTTTTATTCATGCTTTTGAATTGACTTACTAAAGAAAAATTTTCAGATAACTTCTGCTCAGACCCTGAATACATTTGTTCATATTTTACATTTATAGTTTGTTTGATTAGAGTCTGAAATAATTTAAGATTTATGCATTAATAGAATAAATGAAATCAAATTCTTAAAAAATATTACAGTAGGCTGGGTGTGGTGGCTCATGCCTGTAATCCCAGCACTTCGAGAGGCTTAGACAGGAGCACCAGGAGTTGGAGACCAATCTGGGCAACATAGCGGGACTTTGTCTCTACAAAAAATGAAAAAATTAGCCGGCCATGGTGTATACCTGTGGTCCCAGCTACTCAGGAGGCTAAGGTGGGAGGATCACTTGAGCCCAGGAGGTCGAGGCTGCAGTGAGCCATGATCATGCTACTGCACTCCAGCCTAGGCAACAGAGCAAGACCCTGTCTCAAAAAAAAAAAAAAAAAATTACTCTAAGAATAGCCATGAAATTTATTCATGGCTCTCCTAAGGAAATCCTAAGGAAATACTCAGAAAGGCAGATAAAAGTGTCTATCACAGCATTGTTTATATATAGTACTAAAAATTGGAATTAATTTAAATATCTAACAATAAAAGAACAGCTGGTAAACCATGAAATATAAATAGCTTTAAATATTATAGAGCTATTAAAATGGTATTTATAGAAAATAATGTCATGGGGACATGCCCATGATATAGTATTAAATTGGAAAACCAGAATGTTAAATGTAAGTAATACATTATCCCAGCTGTATGTGTGTACAATTCTCTATAAACATATACTTAGAAAATTCTGGAAAAATATAAATCAGGCAGGAGAATCGCTTGAACCCAGGAGGTGGAGGTTGCAGTGAGCTGAGTTCGTGCCACTGCACTCCAGCCTGGGAAACAAGAGTGAAACTCTGTCTCAAAAAAAAATTGTTTTACGTTTTTTAAAAAAAAATCATGATTCTGCCTCAAAAAAAAAAAGCCAGCCAATTGAAGACACAAAACAAGGCAAATATTTGATCCTGTGTAGGCTTATATTTCTATCGTCAGGATTAGAAAAAATCATAATGAATATGAATAATATGTACTGCACATTCTATAAACCTTTGATACCTTTTCAATACTTTTTCCAGGTCTTAAGCATGTCTACATTTTTCTTACTTAGCAGGTAAGACTGTTGCATAAGCGTATGAAATAAACTGAAGTCAATAAACAAGACCTTTATGGCTGGGCGCAGTGGCTCACACCTGTAATCCCAGCACTTTGGGAGGCTGAGGCGGGCAGATCACCTGAGGTCAGGAGTTCCAGACCAGCCTGACCAACGTGGAGAAACTCCATCTCCACTAAAAATACAAAATTAGCCAGGCGTGGTGGCTCATGCCTGTAATTCCAGCTATTCAGGAGGCTGAGGCAGGAGAATCACTTGAACCCGGGAGGCAGAAGTTTCAGTGAGCTGAGATCAGGCCATTGCACTCCAGCCTGTGCAACAAGAGCTAAACTCCATCTCAAAAAAAAAAAAAAAAAAAAAAAAAGGAAACAAGACCTTATTATGGCCTTGCTTCCTAGTTTTTCTGGCTTTTGATAATATTTATCTGGCCCTTCACAGTGACCTCCAAATAACTGCACTGGACTATCTGCTTGCAGAAATTACACAAATAATTTCAAGAGCAGGATTTGTGTAATAATGAAGCTACTGTAATACTCACTCTCACAGCCTTCACCCCATGTAAGATAAGTACATATTCATCCTTTTGGAGGCCCCTGAAACACAGAAATACCCATGTCAAAACTTACTTTCTTCTTTCTTAATCTAGAATTTCTCTAGTTAAAACTGATTAGATAATTAGAGCTGAATTGTGATGGTTTTATTTTCCAAATACAAAACTAATCATGATTTAAAATTTGAACCTCTTCCACTTGAATGTATTCCTTTTCCCTTAAAATAAAAGACTGATTTTAAAACCCATGTTGCAGTAGGAAATCACATCATACAACAAATTTAGGATAAAACCTTTGTCTGGGTTTGGTCTCAACTTTTTCAAAAAAGCAAGATAAACTTCCACACTTTTTTATAGAGAAAAATACAAGTTTCAACTATAAAAATAGTGATTAGGCTGGGAATGGTGCTCACGCCTCTAATCCCAGCACTTTGGGAGGCCAGGCGGTAGATCTCTTGAGCCTAGGAGTTCGAGACCAGCCTAGGTAACATGGGGAAACCTGTCTCTACAAAAAAAAAAAAGTTAGCAGGGTGTGGTGGCATGTGCCTGTAGTCCTAGCTACTTGGGAGGTTGAGGTGGGAGGATTGCTTGAACCTGGGAGGTAGAGATTGTAGTGACCCCAGACCATACCACTGCATTCCAGCCTGGGCAACGGAGTGAAACCCTGTCTCAAATAATAATAATAATAATGATTAAAAAGAAGGCTAATCATTAGCCTCCTTTTAGGCATTTTAGGGCATGTCTCTATTTAATCCAGCATGAGACTTACTGTATGTCTGGCATTTTTTGGCATTCTTTTCTTTCAGAAGCATGACTACCTTTTACTTACTGACTCGTCCTCCTAGGGGGATTTTTTCCATTATATAGTTATCAATCTAATCAGTTTTTTCAGTGTATATCTGTCAGAGACATTGGAACCAGAGCAACTCCATCTTAAATAGGGGCTGGGTGGCTAGGTGCAGTGGCTCACGCCTGTAATCCCAGCACTTTGGGAGGAGGCCGAGGCAGGCGGATCACGAGGTCAGGAGTTCGAGACCAGCCTGACCAACATGGTGAAACCCCGTCTCTACTAAAAATACGAAAATTAGCCGGTTGTGGTGGCCCGTGCCTGTAATCTCAGCTACTCAGGAGGCTGAGGCAGGAGAATCGCTTGAACCCGAGAGGCAGAGGTTGCAGTGAGCCAAGATCACACCACTGCATGCCAGCCTGGGCGACAGTGCCAGACTCCCTCTGGAAAAAAAGAAAAAAAAGGTGGGGGGCTGGGTAAAATGATGCTGAGACCTGCTGGGCTGCATTCCCAGACGGTTAAGGCATTCTAAGTCACAGGATGAGATGAGATAGAAGGTTAGCACAAGATACAGGTCATAAAGACCTTGCTGATAAAACAGGTTGCATTAAAGAAGCCAGCTAAAACCCAACAAAACCAAAATGGTGACGACAGTGACCTCTGGTAGTCCTCACTGCTATATTCCCACCAGTGCCAGGACAGTTTACAAATGCCATGGTAATGTCAGGAAGTTACCCTATATGGTGTAAAAAGGGGAAGCATGAATAATCTACCCCTTGTTTAGCATATGATCAAGAAATAGGGCCGTCGAGGTGGCTCATGCCTGTAATCCCAGCACTTTGGGAGGTCAGGGTGGGTGGATCACGTGAGGTCAAGAGTTCGAGACCAGCCTGGCCAACATGGTGAAACCCCATCTCTACTGCAAATACAAAAATTAACTGGGCGTGGATGCGGGTGCCTGTAATCTCAGCCACTCAGGAGGCTGAAGCAAGAGAATCACTTGTCACCGGGAGGCGGAGGTTGCAGTGAGCCGAAATCATGCCACTGCACCGTAGCCTGGGCGACAGAGCGAGACTCCATCTCAGAAAAATCTATAAAAGGCCGGGCGCGGTGGCTCGTGCCTGTAATCCCCGCACTTTGGGAGGCCGAGGCGGGTGGATCACGAGGTCAGGAGATCAAGACCATCCTGGCTAACATGGTGAAACCATTTCACTTTGCAGATTCGCCCTGAATTCTTTCTTGCTGGAGATCCAAGAACCCTCTCTGGGGGTCTGGATCAGAACCCCTTTCCTATAACATGTCTACCATCCAGAAACAGACACCGTACATTTATCCTTCATAAAGTGCAGAATAAAAAATGGAACTATCAGAACTGTGAGGCTTTTTTTCCCTCCTTCAAATATTACAGAATAATCTTTCCATATGCCCAAAATCAATGTCTTTAAGAAAATGCACAAAACACAAACTATTACTAGAATGGTTTCACAGCTAAGGATTACTCATATGCATTCTGTTTGCCAAATCCTTATGTAGAACATCTGTAAGACATCTTATTTTTGTCAGGGCAAAGGGAATTTTTTTCTACGCCTTTAAAGTTTCAAGTCCGCCGAAATAAACTGACAATAGATTAATAGGAGAAAAGGCAAACAGATTTATTAACATGCAAGCGTGCACAGGAGCCATACAAAATATGAAACTCAAAGAAGGGCCAGATGGCTGAAGCTTTGTAGGGGAGAGGGAGAAGGGAGATGGAGATGGGAAAAATATAGGCAATTTTGAGAGGCAGTAAATGATTTTGGGGAGAGTTGACTGGGCCCAAAGAATAGGCAATCATTTGTAAATGATTCTATTTGAAAATTGAATGGGACCTGAAGAACAGACAATGGCTTGTGACAAAGCCTGTCTAGATGAGGTGACTTTCCTCAGTCTTCCTTCCTGCTCCGTGAGTTTCATCCTCTCTGTTTTGAAATTTCAGTGATCAAAGGCAACTATGTTCCTTCTGGAGGAGCTTCAGATAAGGGAGCTTCAGAGAATTCCACCCTGGGCTTGGGGTTGGGGAGAAACAGGAGAAAGAAAGTTCTTGGTTCTGAGGCTGCTTCTAAGGCCTTTAAATTTCCTTTAGTTCAAAATGCTCAGCGTGCCAAAGCACCATATTTTGGGGTATTGTTTTCTGAGCCCCAACATTTGCTATTGTCTTGTCTTCCTGCATCCTCCTATAAGGATTTGTTTTTTCCCCTAACGATCAACTTTGGTAACAGAAAAATGAGGACGTAGAGGAAAATCTGATGGGGTGATTAGGCTAAGTAACAATTTTCTTTCTTTTTTTTTTTTTTTTGAGACAGAGTCTCGCTCTGTCACCCAGGCTGGATAGAGTGCAGTGGCGCAATCTTGGCTCACAGCAAGCTCTGCCTCCTGGGTTCACGCCATTCGCCTGCCTCAGCCTCCCAAGTAGCTGGGACTACAGGCGCCCGCCACCACGCCCAGCTAATTTTTTGTATTTTCAGTAGAGACGCGGTTTCACCGTGTTGACCAGGATGGTCTTGAACTCCTGAACTCGTGATCTGCCCGCCTCAGTCTCCCAAAGTGCTGGGATTACAGGCGTGAGCCACCGCATCCAGCCGGGGTAAGTAACAACTTTCTAGTTAAGGGGCTAGAGAACAGCATCGTGCTTCTAGTTGTCAATTACCTTGCCTATCTCAGTATAACTAAGGACAATCCTACAGAAAGCAGCCCAATTCCTTACCTTTATGAACAAAGGTCTTCATACTCTTTCCAACCTTATCCCCCTCTTTTATCTCTTATAGTCTAGATACACTGAACCTCTTAGAGCTCTCAGAATGTATCAGGCTCTTCCCCAAACTTTACCTTCTTTCTAATTAAAGAAAAAAAGAGAGTGATTCTATCATTTCCTACTGACTATTCCCTCCACCTTCAGTGCCTTTCCCTGCCCCTTCTCCAGGCTAAAGCCAGCATAATTGTCACCTCCCAACTAGCGAATGTTAAGCATTCTCCAATTCCCCAGTCAGCATTACTTGCCTTGTCCTCTATGTTCCCAAAGAGATTTGTTCACACTCTGGAGTAGTGTAACACTCCTCTCCTATGGTTTTGGTTTGGGGAGGAAAAGAATTATGGGTGACTTTAAATATTTTCTTCTTTATTCTTTTTTATATGTTTTAATGTCCTAGAATTTATTTTTAGAAACAGGGTCTCACCTGGCTGGGTGTGGTGGCTCACACCTATAATCCCAGCACTTTGGGAGGCCGAGGCTGGTGGATCACCTGAGGTCAGGAGTTCGAGACCAGCCTGGCCAAGATGGTGAAACCCCGTCTGTACTTAAAATACAAAAAAAATTACCTGGGCGTGGTGGTATGCACCTGTAATCCCAGCTACTTGGGAGGCTGAGGCAGGAGAATTGCTTGAACCCGGGAGGCAGAGGTTGCAGTGACCCGAGATCAAGCCATTGCACTCCAGCCTGGGGGCCTGGGGGAGAAGAGCGAGGCTTCGTCTCAAAGAAAAAAAAAAAAGAGGAAAAAAGAAACAGGGTCTCAACTTGTCATCCAGGCTGGAGTGCAGTGGCGTGATCATGGCTTACTGCAGCCTTGAACTTGAACTCCTGCACTCAAGAGATCTTTCTGCCTTGGCCTCCTACAGTGTTGTTTTGTTTTGTTTTGTTTTCTGAAACAGAGTCTTGCTGTCTTGCCCAGGCTAGATTGTAGTGGCGGCAATCTCGGCTCACTGCAACCTCTGCCTCCCAGGTTCAAGCAATTCTCCTGCCTCAGCCTCTCGAGTAGCTGGGATTACAGGCCCCTGCCACCACGCCCGGCTAATTTTTGCATTTTTAGTAGAGACAGGGTTTCACCATCTTGGCCAGGCTGGTCTCAAACTCCTCACCTCGTGATCCACCCGCCTCAGCCTCCCAAACTGCTGGGATTACAGGGTGAGTCACAGAGCCGGCCTGCTTTTTTTTTAGACGGAGTTTCTCTCTTGTCGCCTAGGCTGGAGTGTGATGGCGCGATCTCGGCTCACTGCAACCTCTGCCTCCCGAGTTCACGTGATTCTCCTGCCTCAGCCTTCTGAGTAGCTGGGATTACAGGCGCCCGCCACCATGTCCGGCTAATTTTTCATTTTTAGTAGAGACGGAGTTTTGCCATGTTGGTCAGGCTGGTCTCAAACTCCCGACCTCAGTTGATCTCCCGCCTCAGCCTCCCAAAGTGCTGGGATTACAGGCATGAGCCACTGCGCCTAGCCTCAGAACAAAAATTATACTCAAGGTAAGGAAATACAGAAAAAAAAATTATGTAAACTCATTGTTCATTATAAAAATCCAAATTACTTCACAGATGACACTTTATTATCAGCACTAAATCCTAACCCTAATATTTATTGAAGCCTCCAGGATATGTTAATATTCTATTTAGTACTCTGGTTTATCATACATTAGGTTTGCAATGTCTTTTTTCAAAGAATCATATTGTATCATTCTAGTAAGACTCCTCAGGCGCTTGGTGGAATAGAGAGTGTTTAAATAAGCCATTCCAGGAACCAGAATTTTGATTGTCCCTAGTGGATTCCACAAGATTAACATATTTAGCTGCAATGGGAATGCTTCCTTAGAGCAAGACTTTATGAAGACAGCAAAAATGACTAACCAAGTGTCTAAAATCTGCAGTATAAAAGAGCTCTCAGCTGGGCGCGGTGGCTCACGCTCACGCCTATAATCCTAGCACTTCGGGAGACCGAGGCGGGCAGATCACCTGAGATCAGGAGTTTGAGACCAGCCTGGCCCACATGGTGAAACCCCATCTTCACTAAAAATACAAAAATTAGCCGGGCGTGGTGGCAGACGCCTGTAATCCCAGCTACTCGGGAGGCTGAAGCAGGAGAATCACTTGAACCCAGGAGGCAGAGGTTGCAGTAAACCGAAGTCATGCCATTGCACTCCAGCCTGGGCTACAAAGCAAGACTCCGTCTCAAAAAAAAAAAAAAAAAAAAAAAAAAAAAATGCCGGGCGCGGTGGCTCACGCCTGTAATCCCAGCACATTGGGAGGCCGAGGCGGGCAGATCACGAGGTCAGGAGATTGAGACCATCCTGGCTAACACAGAGAAACCCCATCTCTACTAAAAATACAAAAACTTAGCCGGGCGTGATGGCGGGCACCTGTAGTCCCAGCTACTCGGGACACTAAGACAGCAGAATGGCGTGACCCCAGGAGGCGGAGCTTGCAGTGAGCCGAGATTGTGACACTGCACTCTAGCCTGGGCGACAGAGCGAGACTCCATCTCAAAAAAAAAAAAAAAAAAAAAAAAAAAAAAAAAAAAAAAAAGCTCTCATTTGCAGTCCACACAAACATGTCTATATGCAACATAAACAATATGCAGAAGGTTATGATATTTTGATATTTATTTTCATTTTTCTCTTCATTATAGAACGGTGAGCTGGATGTGGTGGTGCATGCCTGTAAGTTCCAGCTACTCAGGAGGCTGAGGCAGGAGGATGGATGAGCACAGGAGTTCTGGGCTGTAGTGTGTGCTATGCCGATCAGGTGTCAGCATAAGTTCCACATCAGTATGGTGACCACCTAGAAGCAGGGATCACCAGTTTACCTAAGGAGGGGTGAACCGGCCCAGGTCAGAAATGGAGCAGGTCAAAAACTCCCTGCTAGGCTGGGCGCTGTGGCTCACGCCTGTAATCCCAGTACTTTGGGAGGCCAAGGCCGGCAGATCACGAGGTCAAGAGATCGAGACCATCCTGGCCAACATGGTGAAATCTTGTCTCTACTAAAAATATAAAAATTAGCTAGGTGTGGTGGCAGGCGCCTGAAATCCCAGCTACTGGGGAGGCCGAGACAGGAGAATCGCTTGAACCCGGGAGATGGAGTTTCCGCAATGAGCTGAGATCACGCCACTGCACTCCAGCCTGGGCCACAGAGCGAGACTTCGTCTCAAAAAAAAAAAACAAAACCCTGCTGATCAGTAGTGGTATTGTGTCTGTGAATACCCATTGCACTCCAGCCTGGGCAACATAGTGAGACTCTGTCTCTAAAAATAAAAAATAAAATAAAAAAGGAAAAAGGAAAAGAACTGTGAAAGCCCTTAGCCATACATGGTTAAGTTGTGTTTTCTATTTTAATTTCTCTTCTTGTATGGTCCATTGATTATTTTCTTTCATGTGTCCTGTTCTCTTGTACCATGCAGGTCTGGCTATGGTGCAAGGTGACTTCTGAGGTCAGTTCCTTTATTACTATTTGCAAAAACAGTGATACATTGTCAACCTGTAATTTCCAAATGATTACTTCAAATAAAGATTTTATGAATTGCATTGTTGAAGAGTCTTGGGCAGTGCTCTGCAAAAGGTCCCAGTTTTACTTAGTACTGGGAAATTGTCTTCCTTCTGTTTGTTCTGTTCTGCAAGCTCTGCTCTAAGGCCAGCACCTCTTACTCAGCTGTCTTCATGTTTGATGTGATCAGTGTTTTCTGTACTGTGGTGACTGGTGAGAGATATAACTTGTATACTTTGACTTTTTCCACCTTGCACAAAAACTCCATTGTATTATCTCTGTAACGTTAGTTTAAACCTTCTTGTTTGTATCCCCACAGGGGTTTTGCTGTTAAGCCATTTTAATCTACATGAGGCCTGCAACAGTATTTATAGCATTGTGTTGCAAAACATCTCCTTAGGAAGAGAGATGGTGAATTCCTTAAGGTCTCCAACTGTAGCCCAAATATTTAGTCTAAGTCAGACATATATTAGGTCCTCAATAAATGCAGAACTTATTTGAAAAACAATAATCTAATATAAAACATACTTTCTAAGGAGCAGAGAAGCATCAGGAGAAATTCTCAAATGAGTTGAATATATGAATAGAATTTCCTGAACTAAAAGTGAAAATCCAACTTAAAAATGGACAAATGGGGCCAGGCACAGTGGCTCATCCTTGTAATCCCAGCACTTTGGGAAGCTGAGGTGGGAGGATCGCTTGAGCCCAGGAGTTCCAGGCTGCAGTGAGCTATGATCACACTGTACTCCAACCTGGGCAACAAGGTAAGGCCTGGTTTCTAAAAAATAAAAAATAAAGATAAAATGAACAAAATATCTGAATAGACATTTCTCTAAAGAAGGATATACAAATGGCCGATAAACACATAAAAAAAGATGCTCAACATCCTTAGCCATTAGGAAAATCAAAACTATAATGAGATGCCACTTTACACTCATTAAGACGGCTAAAGTAAGGCCGGGCGTGGTGGCTCACGCCTGTAATCCCACCACTTTGGGAGGCTAAGGCAGCAGGATCACCTGAGGTCGGGAGTTTGAGACCAGCCTGACCAACATGGTGAAACCTCGTCTCTACCAAAAAATACAAAATTAGCCAGGCATGGTGTCGCATGACTGTAATTCCAGCTACTCCGGAGGCTGAGGCAGGAGAATCGCTTGAACCCAGGAGGCGGAGGTTGTGGTGAGCCCACATTGTGCCATTATACTCCAGCCTGGGCAACAAGAGTGAAACTCTGTCTCAATTTAAAAAAAAAAAAAAGGCTAAAGTAGACAGAAGAAAGTATGGACAAGGATGTGGATAAATTAGAACCCTGACACATTGCTGTTGGGAATGCAAAATGGTGCAGCTGCTTTGGAAAGCAGTTTGACAGTTCTTCAAAAGTTAAGCATGCTGGCACACACTTGTAGACCCAGCTACTTGGGAGGCTAGTGTGGGAGGACTGCTTGAGCCCAGGAGCTTCAGGCTGCAGTAAGCATCATGGCACCTGCCATGATGCCTGAGAATAACCACTGCTCTCCACCCTGAACAACATAGCTAGATCCCCGTGATGGTTAATATTAAGTGTCAACTTGATTGGATTGAAGGATGCAAAGCATTGTTCCTGGGCGTGTCAGTGAGGGTGTTGCCAAAGGAAATTAACATTAGAGTCAGTGGACTGGGAGAGGCAGACCCACCCTCAATCTGGGTAGGCACCATCTAATCAACTGCCAGCGGGACTAGAATAAAGGAGGCCGAAGAAGGTGGGAGAAGCAGACTTGCTGAGTCTTCTGGCCTTTATCTTTCTCCCATGCTGGATGTTTCCTGCCCTCAAACATCAGACTCTACGTTGTTCAGCTTTTGGACTCTTAGATTTACACCAGTGTTTTGCCAGGGGCTCTCAGGCCTTCGGCCACAGACTGAAGGCTGCACTGTTGGCTTCCCTACTTTTGAGGTTTTGGAACTTGGGCTTCCTTGCTTCTCAACTTGCAGGTGGCCTATCATGGGACTTCACCTTGTGATTGTGTCAGTCAACTCTCCCTAATAAACTCCCCTTCATATATACATCTGTCCTATTAGTTCTGCCCCTTTAGAGAATCCTAATACAACCTCATCTTTAAAAAAATTTTCTTGGCCGGGTGCAGTGACTCATGCCCGTAATCCCAGCACTCTGGGAGGCTGAGGTGGGCGGATCACCTGAGGTTGGGAGTTCAAGACCAGCCTGACCAACTTGGAGAAACCCTGTCTCTACTAAAAATACAAAATTAGCCAGGTATGGTGGCACATGCCTGTAATCCCAGCTACTCGGGAGGCTGGGGCAGGGGAATCACTTGAAACCGTGAGGCAGAGAATGCAGTGAGCCGAGATCGTGCCATTGCACTCCAGCCTGGGCAAAACTCCATCTCAAAAAAACAAAACAAAACAAAACAGAAAAACCTTTCAGGGGTACATTAGGCAAGAGACAGAGAGCTATGATAACAGGAGATTTTTATATAATAATAGTGTAACTGCACTCTTGCTGAGACAAAATCCATTTGGCAATGGGCTTGTTTTAATTTTTCTCAAGAACTGCCAGCCAGTAATGCTATATCACTCAATCCTATGCAACAGTTACAGCAACCACGATGATGAAACGGATAATCAATGGTAAAGAATCCATTAGAGTGCCAAAGCTGGTCTCTATATCACAAAGGATTTCAGCATTAGGGCTAGAGAAAGAAAAATTAATGAGGTTGGACTGGAAAACAAATGAGAAGAGAGCAGTGAGTAAAGGGTTACTAGGATATACTTAGAAAATCAGTTGATGTCTGTAACCACATTTTTTTAAATGTCCCTACAAGAATGAATTTATTTTTAATTAAAAAAAATTTTCTTTTGGAGACAGGGTCTTGCAACTAAGTTCCTCAGGCTGACCTTAACTCCTTCGCTCCTAAGGAATCCTCCTGCCTCAGCCTCCGGAATAGCTGGGACTACAAGTGCCTGACAATCCTGGCTGCAAGCATTTTTGCAGATAACATCACAGCAGGAACAGGAAGGTACTTGCCTTCCAGAAGAGTTTCAGAGGATGGATTTTTACAACTTATTTTAACAATTAGTAAAGAGGCATTTATTTAACTTTCACAGATTACAAAGCACTGTCACATCTTTCTACACTGGAGCCTCCTGAGAGGGGGCTAAAGCAGGTATTAGTTGTCTCATCATCACTATCATAAAAAATGACCTTTATTGAATTCTTTTTTTCTTTCATTCTTCTCTTTTTTTAGAGATAGGGTCTTGATACATTGCTCTTGCCCTGGCTGGTCTTGAACTCCTGGGTTCAAGAGATCCTCCTGCTCTGGCCTCCTAAAGTGCTGAGATTACAGGCGTGAGTCATTGTGCCCAGCCTGAATTCTTATATCCCAGGCAAAAAAGAATGTTTTGACCCTACCATGTTAACCCAATGAATGTTTTGACTGAATCAGAGGAAAAACTCAAATTTCATAGAAATAACAGCTATGAAAGAAGGTTCACAATAGCAGTAGTTAAAATGGACAGAGTTTGATGAGGATAAAAACCTAATGACTAAAATACCCAGCATAAAGGTGCATGCCTATAGTCCCAGCTACTTTTGGAGGCTGAAGCAGGAGGCTCCCTTGAGGCCAGGAATTCGAGGCTGTTCTGCACTATGATGGTGCCTGTGAGTGACATCCATCTCTAAATTACAAAAAAAAAGACCTAATGACTGAAATGAATCTAATTTTTAAATGCACATGGAAAAATTTTATCCTGAGCATAATTTTGGTAAAATAAAAATTAGAATAGAGGCTGGGTGCTGTGGCTCTTGCTTATAGTCCCAGCACTTTGGGAGGCCGAGGAAGGACCTTGAGGTCAGGAGTTTGAGACCAGCCTGACCAACATGGTGAAACCCCATCTCTACTAAAAATACAAAAATTAGCCGGGCGTGGTGCATGCCTGTAATCCCAGCTACTTGGGAGGCTGAGGTGGGAGAATTGCTTGAACCTGGGAGGTGGAGGTTGGAATGAGCTGAGGGCAGTCCACTGCACTCCAGCCTGGGCAACAGAGTGAGACTCTGTCTCGAAAAAAAAAAATGAGAATAGAAAAAAAATTGGAAATAGTTTCACTGTACTGCAGAGAAATTTCATCAAGAATTAAACTGGTTATAACAATAGTTTACATGGGTATATTCACAAATACAGGGTTCAAAATGGCAGGTCAAAATCACATATCTGATTCAAGTTCAGGGTACAAAAAATGAGGTGAAAATAGCAAGATCAAAATGGCATTATTGACTTGATGTTTAGAATCCTGCCTAACTTCTCACCTTCTATGTAATGTTAAATAAGTCTCACTATTGGGCTGTTTGTCTGTAAAATGAGAAATATAATGGCTGAAACTACCTCACCATGTTGTGGATTGAATGAGATAATGTATATAAAGTGGTTAGCATAGTGTGTGGCACCAGTGAAAGACATTTCAACCCTGCCTGTTTCAAAAATGTATCATACTCTCACAGTGTGCCAGGACAGGATCTTTAAAAATAGGTCTCCTAGTCACTAAACCACATTAATTATCTGTAAGTACATTTCTAATAATTAAAGAAATATTCAAAGCAGATCTCAGATGAAGCTACTGCAGAGCTACTCTGATTATTTCTATATTTTAAAATATATTTTAATTTAGAAAACATTGCCCTGGCGGGGCGTGGTGGCTCACATCTGTAATCCCAACACTTTGGGAGGCCAGGGCAGGAGAATCATTTGAACTCAGGAGTTCCAGACTTTTGTGGGCAACATGGTAAAACCCCATCTCTACAGAAAAATACAAAAATTAGCCAGGTGTGGCAGCCTGTGCCTATAGTCCCAGCTACTCAGGAGGCTGAGGCAGGAGGATGACTTGAGCGTGGGCAGTCGAGGCTGCAGTGAGTCCTGTTCATGCTGCTGTGCTCCAGTGTGGGTGACAGAGCAAGACCCTGTCTCAAAAAAAGGAAAAAAAGAAAAAAGAAAAAAGGAAAGAAAATGTTGTCCCAATCAACTATTCGGGTATAGAGTAAATTAAAAATGCTAAAGATTGTTTAGAAAGTCCAAAAAATAAAAATACTGTCCTCGTGTTTTAAAAATATTTGACATATGGCTGGGCGCAGTGGCTCACGCCTGTAATTCCATCACTGTGGGAGGCCGAGGCGGGTGGATCACCTGAAGTCAGGCATTTGAGACCAGCCTGGCCAACATGGTGAAACCCCTCCTCTACTAAAAATACAAAAATTAGCAGGGCATGGTAGCACATCCCAGCTACTCTGGAGGACGCTGCAGTGAGCCAAGATCATGCCATTGCACTCCAGCCTGGGTGACAGAGTAAGACTCTGTGTCAAAAAAAAAAAAAAAATTGACATGTAAATAGCTATTTTTGTTTGGTTTATTGACCCAACAATTGCTTTATCACTTCTCAAGGAAAAAAAAGTGGCCAATGAAGCAATAACAGTCTTAGTTTCAACAATAATGGAGCACAGAATACCAGGAAACCATTTAGCCTGTCAGTCCTCTCATGTGAAAATAGATATGAAAAAATACACACACTTCACAGAGTTATTATGAGAACTAATTATTGCCCTTAAACTGCTTTGAAATTCCCATGTGAAAGACACTTAACCTGATCTTTATCTAGAAGCAGGTAGCTAAGGCATATATATATATGGGAAGACAACATTCATCCAAAAGTTAAAATAGGCTCTTGCTTGTGTAACTTGAATTTCTACTTGGCAAGAATGTAATTTAGCAGAGGGAATGCTATTATATAATTTTTTAAATACATGTTTCAAAAGATATAATATTCATTCTTTTTCATGATTTCATCCTCACATAGTATCTACATAGCAACAATAGTTACACAAAGTGCTCAATTCAGTATTCACACATATATAGCATATCAAATACTTTTGTATCATCATGCTATTATTATTATTATTATTATTATTATTATTTTGAGATGGAGTTTCGCTCTTGCTGCCCAGGGTGGAGCGCAATGGCGCGATCTTGGCTCATGCAACCTCTGCCTCCCAGGTTCAAGCAATTCTCCTGCCTCAGCCACTACGCCTGGCTAATTTTGTGTGTGTGGTTTTTTTTTTTTAGTAGAGACGGGATTTCTCCATGTTGGTCATGCTGGTCTCAAACTCCCGACCTCAGGTGATCCGCCCGCCTCAGCCTCCCAAAGTGCTGGGATTACAGGCGTGAGCCACCGCACCTGGCCTGTTTTGGTTTTAATTTGCATTTTTTAAAGTGATGTACGGGCATTTCTCTCTCTTAAACATTTGTAGAAGCCAGGCATGGTGGTGAGCCTGCAGTCTAGAGGATCCCTTGAGAGCAGGAGTGAGAGGCTGTGTTTTTATGGAGTCCAACATATCAGTCTTTTATGGCTTCTCGGTTATGTGTTCAGAGAGCCCTTCTTCATTCAAGACAATTGTTATGACAGCTTTATTGAGATATAATTCATATTTCATAAGATTCGCCTTTTTGAAGTACACATTTCAGTGGTTTTTATATAATCTATAATTCAATCTTCACCACTACTTAATTTTAGAACACTTCATTACTGCAAAAAGGAACCCCTTACCCATTAGCAATCACTCCCCAGTGCCCCCTCCCTCTAGCCCCTGACAATCATCAACCTACTTCTGTCTCTATGGATTTGCCTACCCTGGACATTTTATATAGATGGAATTACACAATAAATGGCCGCTTGTGATTGGCTTCTCTCACTTTGCATGTTTCAAGGTTCATCCATTTTGCGGCATGTATCAATCCTTAATTCTTTTTTCTTTTTTTTTTTTGACACCGAGTCTCTGTTGCCCAGGCTGGAGTGGAGTGGCGCAATCTCAGTTCACTGCAACCTCCACCTCCCAGGTTCAAGTGATTCTCCTGCCTCAGCCTCCCACGTAGCTGGGATTCCAGGCACCTGCCACCATGCCCAGCTAATTTTTGTATTTTTAGTAGAGACGAGGTTTCAATTATGTTGGCCAGGCTGGTCTTGAACTCCTGACCTCGTGATTCACCCGTCTCAGCCTCCCAAAGTGCTGGGATTACAGGCATGAGCCACTGTGCCCGGCCACTTAATTCTTTTTTATGATTGAATAATATCATTTATCCATCTATCCATTGATGGTCAATTGTTTTTTTCCCACTTTTTAGCTATTATAAATAATGTTGCTATAAACATTTGTATACGAGTTTTTATTTGAACACCTGTTTTTAGTTCTTTAGGGCGTATACCTAGAAGCAGTATTTTTGGCTTATCTGGTAATTCTGTTTGACATTTCAAGGAACTTCCTGTTTTCCGAAGGAGCCATACCATTTTACAATTTCATCAGCAATATATAAAAGTTCCAATTTCTCCATATCTTTCTTAACACTTGTTATTGTGTATCATTTTTATTTTAACCACCGTAGTGGGTATGAATGGGGATCTCACTGTGGCTTTGATTTACGTGTCCCTAATGGTTAATGATGTTAAGCATCATTTCATGTGCTTATTGGCCATTTGTATATCTTCTTTGGAGAAACGTTATTTCTTTATTGGCCAGGCGTGGTGTCTCATACCTGTAATCCCAGCACTTTGGGAGGCCGAGGCAGGCAGATAACTTGAGGCCAGGTGTTTGAGACCAGCCTGGCCAACATGGTGAAACCTCGTCTCTACTAAAAATACAAAAATTAACCAGACATTGTGGTGCATGCCTGTAGTCCCAGCTACTTGGGAGGCCGAGGCAGGAGAATTGCTTGAACCCCAGTGGTAGAGGTTGCAGCAGTGAGCCAAGATCGTGCCACTGCACTCCAGCCTGGGTGACAGAGTGAGACTTCATTTAAAAAAAACAAAACAAAAAAACTTATAACTTAACACTGTTGTCATTAAATAATTAACTGTGATTAGATTATAATGAACATAACAGGCACTCAAATACTTGTTTAATAAAAAAAGAATGAATGAAAGAGAATAAAGCAGAGAGACTTTTTTTGGCTGCTGTTTACCAAAAAAACCTAAGTGAGAACTGATAAAGGTCTGAGTTAAGGCTGAAAGGATGGATTCTCAGATACTTGGGGAGTAGAATCTACTCCTCTTGCATTATTAAAACCTGTAGGTCAACTTTGTCCAATTTACAATGCCCTCAGGACCAAAGCAGCTCCCTCATTCATAGTGATAAATTTTTATGTTCCAGGTATTGTTCTAAGTACTTCACATGTATAACTCATTTAACACTCACAGCAACTTTTCAATCCATCCTGTTGACCAGAATTAAATTAAATGGGGTTTCTATGGCCAAAGAAGGGAACAGTAGATATTTGGACTACCAGACTCAACCACAGGCCAGCAGCCTTGTGTTTCCTTGTGTCTTAGTCTTTGCTCTTACTTTGGAAATTAAACTCAAAGTTAGCTGGAAAACAATTTCAGGGAAAAAGGTCCACACATATTGTATAGGCGGCTGACTAAACATTAAGTAAAGTCAATGAGCCTGGTGTGTGTGTATAAGCAGGCATGTGATGAGAAGGGTAATATATACTTGGTTTTCTAGTTACCATTGTTGCTCAACAAACTATCCCAAATCTTTGTGTCTTAAAATAATAATAATCATTTATTTTGCTCACAAATCTGTAATTGGAGGAGGGTTCAATAGGGATGGCTTATATATGCTCTAAGATGTCTAGAGACTCAGCTAGGAAGACTTCAGGGCTGAGGGTGACTTGGCAGCTGGGACTTGAATTGTCTGAAGACTTGCTCACTCACATGTCTGGTGGTCGATACTGCCCCTCAGACTGGACCTCAGTTTGTGCTGTCATGTGGCTTTTCCATGGAGTTGTTTGGATTTCCTTTCATCATAATGGCTAAGTTCTGAAAGTGAGCATGCCAAGAGGCCAAGATGGAGGCCGAGTGACATTTTCATAATCTAGCCTTGCAACTCATGTAGAGTCATGATGCGGTCACAAAGACCCTCAAAGTTCAAGGAAAGGAGACAAAAATACCACCACTCAATAAGCAGTTCAAAAAACTGGGAAATATGTTTTAAAATCACCAACATTTAGTGTATACATATACACAGCAGCCTCAAATCCCTTTTTTGGCCCCCTATTAATGGTTCAGTACAGAAAAATGGTCTCCAGACTGTGGTAGCCACTATGAAGTCTGGATTCTTTTTTTTTTTTTTTTTTTGAGACGGAGTCTCGCTCTGTTGCCCAGGCTGGAGTGCAGTGGCGCCATCTCGGCTCACTGCAAGCTCCACCTCCCGGGTTCCCACCATTCTCCTGCCTCAGCCTGGGCCCTGAAGTTAGATCACCTGAATTAAAGTCTCAGTTCTGTCATTTTCTAGTTTTGTGACCTTGAAAAATTCAGTTAGCCTGTTTTAAGTTTTGTTTTCTTTGTTTGTTTGTTTTGTTTTGTTTTGTTTTTGGAGACAAGTTCTTGCCCTGTTGTCCCAGCTGGAGTGCAGTGGCATGATCACTCACTGCAGTCTCAACCTCCCAGACTCAAGTGATGCTCCCACCTCAGCATCCCAAGTAGCTGGGACTCCAGGTATGAGCCACCACGTCTGGCTAATTTTGAATTTTTTTTTTTTTTTAGAAAGAACATCTTACTACATTGCCTAGGCCGGTCTCAAACTCCTGGGCTCAAGCAGTCCTTCCATCTCAGCCTCCCAAACTGTTGGGATTACAGGCATGAACTACCATGCCCTGCTGCTTAAAGTTCTTTATATGAAAAGTAGAGATAATGGGCTGGGCGCAGTGGCTCATGCCTGTAATCCCAGCACTCTGGGAGGCCGAGGCGGGTGGATCACGAGGTCAGGGGTTTGAGACCAGCCTGACCAACATGGCGAAATCCCATGTCTACTAAAAATACAAAATTAGCCAGGCGTAGTGGCAGGCACCTGTAATCCCAGCTACTCAGGAGGCTGAGGCAAGAGAATCGCTTGAACCCAGGAAGCGGAGGTTGCAGTGAGCTGAGATCACTCCATTGCACTGCAGCTTGGGCAACAAGAGTGAAACTTTGTTTCAAAAAAATGAAAAAAAAAAAAAACCTAGATGTGGTGGTGGGCGCCTATAATCCCAGCTACTCAGGAGCCTGAGGCACAAGAATCATTTGAACCTAGGAGGTGGAAGTTGCAGTGAGCCGAAATTGTGGCACTGCACTTCAGCCTGGGCAACACAGTGAGACTCTAGCTCAAAAAACAAAACAAAACAAAAAAAACTAAGGCGAGCTCAGGGAGGACAGAAACCTCCCGTGGAGCAGAAGGGCAAAAGCTCGCTTGATGTTGATTTTTAGTACGAATACAGACCGTGAAAGCAGAGCCTCATGAAAAAAAAGAAAAAAAGAAAAACAAAGTAGAGATAAACATTATCTTCCTCATGGGCTTATAATAAAGGTTAAATTAATTAATACATGTAAAACATTTAAAAGAGTGCCTGGCATGTAGTAGAATTACTTAATAGATGTTAGTCATTATTATCAAGGCTTCTTAATTTGGAATGTATAGAGGAGCTTGAATGCTCTGAAAATATTTTAAATATGTTAAATAGATTACTTTAAATATCTATTATCTTTATTTTAAAATAGTCTGGCCTGGACTGGAAGGAAACACACCAATAAATATTAATAAGAGTTATCGTGAAATATTATTTGTTCATTGGTTATTTTAAATTTTATAGTTTAAATTTTCTGTACTTTCCAAATGTTTGGTAATCTCCAATCTTACTTTTATAATCAGAAGTTTTAAATATTTTAAGGACAGAAAAAAGAAATCTCACAGATATTGAGACACTTTATTTAAAATGACTACATCTGAGAAAATGAATCAAATATCATCATACTTCTCTACTTTAACACCAAGTGCCAAAATACAGTGAAGTAACATCTGCGAAGTTTGAGGGAAAATGATTGTGACCCAAGAATCCTGTACCCAGTTAAGCTGTACTTCACATGCAGTCTGACAGAAAGTACTGTCACACCTTCTCCATTCATTCAAGGACCCAGAAAATATAAGCAGGTGTTTTCTATAAAGTGTACCCATGTACACTTTATAGAAAAATATTATTCAGAGAAGTACTCTAGCAGACCTCCTAATTTGGAGGTTAAGTTAAATAATTTTTTAACTTAAAAAACACTTGAGGTGGGTCGTGGTGGCTCATGCCTGTAATAATGCCAGCACTTTGGGAGGCTGAGGTGGGAGGATAACTTGAGGCCAGGAATTCAAGGCTGCAGTGAGCTATGATCATGGTACTCCATTCTGGCCTGGGTGACAGAGTGAGACCCTGTCTGCAATAAAGCAAACAAACAAAAACCCTTGAACAGGAAAAGCTATAATAAAATAAATGGAAGTAAACAATGATCAATGCCAGGCACGGTGGCTCAGGCCTATAATCCCAGCACTTTGGGAAGCCAAGGCAGGAGGATCGCTTGGGTCCAGGAGTTCCAGACTAGCCTGAGCAGCACAGCAAAAATCTCTACCAAAAAAAAAAAAAACCCAGGCCGGGTTTAGTGGCTCACCCCTGTAATCCCAGCACTTTGGGAGGCTGAGGCGGGTGGATCACCTGAGGTCAGGAGATCAAGACCACCCTGGCCAACATGCTGAAACCCTGTCTCTACTAAAATACAAAAATTAGCCGGGCATGGTCGTGGGCGCCTGTAGTCTCAGCTATTTGGGAGTCTGAGGAAGGAGAACTGCTTGAACCCAGGAGGTGGAGATTGCAGTGAGCCAAGATTGCGCCACTGCACTCCAGCCTGGCAACAGAACAAGACTCTGTCTAAAAATAAATAAATAAATAAATAAATTAGCCAGGTATGGTGTCACATGCCTGTAGTCACAGCTACTCAGGAGGCTGAAGTAGGAGGATCATTTGAACCCAGGAGGTCGAGGCTGCAGTGAGCCATGATCATGCCACTGCACTCCAGCCTGGGTGACAGAGTAAGACTGTCTCAAAAAAAGAAAAGAAAAAAGAAAACAATAATCAAGTAATACAGAGTTTAACCCAAATAAGGTATAATAAAAAAAAATCAACTAAGTTTCCCTACTTATTTACTCAAAGTTTCTTGAGAAAAAGAAACAAGATAACAAAGAAGGAAACGAGGACTCCTTTGCTGTCTGCTAGGCATTTTTCAGTGAAGCTCCTTCTCAGCAAATAACACCCACTCACTCACTTAAGAAATTTTCATCATAAAGCAGAGGTGGGAAGAGATCAGCCCTCAGGTGTTTGGGCTGCACTACAGCTGCTGATCAACTGCCTTTAGTGACTCAAGCCAAGTTATAAACAAAGGGTGAACCTCAATGTCTGTGCAGGACTCAACTTGATAGGAAATCAAGGGAATTCAAAAACAATCATCCAACATTACATGGTTTGACCCTTTGGTTTTCAGAAAGCTGTAATTTTTCACAATCTTTGCCTGGAACTTTCTGTTATGGGCTATATCCCTTGCTGTGAATTCTTTTAAAAGTCTCTCATTGTCACCCTGAGGGTTAATTTGTTCCAGAAGAACAAAGAAAATAATGCTAGACTTCATCAGGATGCCCAGATTCTAGTCCAGCTCTGCTAATTAGGAGAGTGATCCTTGGATTAGTGATCAAAATATTTTTGAGTCGAAGTGTCTTTATCTCTCATAACTTCAGTCAGGGTCAAATAAATTAATGAATGCAAAAATGTCCACTGAACATTCTAAAATGCTATATGATATGGTTTGGCTCTGTGTCCTCACCCAAATCTTATGTTGAATTATGACCTTCAGTGTTGGAGGAGGCTTCTGGTGGGAGGTGATTGGATTGCGGTGTGATTGGATCATATTTCTTTTTCTTTTTTCTTTTTTTCTTTTTTTTTTTTTTTGAGACACAGTCTCACTCTGTCGCCCAGGCTGGAGTGCAGTGGCGCGATCTCGGCTCACTGCAAGCTCCTCCTCCCGGGTTCCCGCCATTCTCCTGCCTCAGCCTCCCGAGTAGCTGGGACTACAGGCGCCCGCCACCACACCCGGCTCATTTTTTGTATTTTTTAGTAGAGACGGGGTTTCACCATGTTAGCCAGGATGGTCTCGATCTCCTGACCTAGTGATCCGCACATCTCGGCCTCCCAAAGTGCTGGGATTACAGGCGTGAGCCACCGTGCCTGGCCAGTTTCAGGTAGTTCTTTATAAGTAGTGTGAGAATAGACTAATACACTACATAAATGTAAAATACTATTGTTACTTTTTTACTTTGGAATCATCATTATTAAAACAGTCTTGATAGCTTGACAACCTTTGTTTACCCTTAAGATTAGTATCCATGTCAGTTTCATCATCATCACGTGTTGAACAAGTGCCAGCCATTTTGGGAGCTTTAAGCCAAATCTTCCCTTAGATAAACAGAGTTATCTTTCCCACTTCCACCCCACTCTTCTTTCCCAAAACCTGCAACCCAAGAGTCTTATGCTATCTTGCAACCTTCAATCAATCAGTAAAGTGAGCCAATACAATAAATTTATATGAAGATTTAGTGTTATCCCTAATGTGTTATTCTTAACTGGAATATTACTTTTTTTTTTTTTTTTTTTTTTGAGACAGAGTCTCGCTTTGCTCTGTCAGCAGGCTGGAGTGCAGTGGCGCGATCTCGGCTCACTGCAACCTCCACCTCCTGGGTTCAAACGATTCCCCTGCCTCAGCCTCCCGAGTAGCTGGGACTACAGGCATGTGCCACCACGCCCAGCTAATTTTTGTATTTTTAGTAGAGATGAGGTTTCACCATGTTGGCCAGGATGGTCTCAATCTCTTGAGATCCGCCCGCCTCAGCTTCCCAAAGTGTCGGGATTACAGGCATGAGCCACCACTCCCGGCCATCCTTAACTGGAATACTTCTATTTCAAAAAGAAATTTTATAATTAAATAAAGTTCATGCTATTCCCTCCACCTGAGAAAACCTTTTTGTTTTCACCTGGCAAAATTCTAACCATCCTTCAAATCCCAGTTATCCTGCAATCTTCCCAGTGAAACCTTTCTAGACTTGTTTAAGAAAGTTGCCATTCCCTCCTATGGATCTCCACTCCCCTTTGCACATATCTTTGTTTTTTTTTTCTGTTTGTTTGTTTGTTTTTTGTTTTGTTTTTTGAGACGGAGTCTTGTTCTGTTGCCCAGGCTGGAGTGCAGTGGGGAGATCTTCGCTCACTGCAGGCTCCGCCTCCCAGGTTCACGCCATTCTCCTGCCTCAGCTTCTCGAGTAGCTGGGACTACAGGCGCCCACCACCATGCCCGGCTAATTTTTTGTATTTTTAGTAGAGACGGGGTTTCACCGTCTTAGCCAGGATGGTCTTGATCTCCTGACCTCGTGATGCACCTGCCTCGGCCTCGGGGGATTACAGGCTTCAGCCACAGCGCCCAGCCGCACATATCTCTTATACTTACCAATTTAAGGGTTAACATATATGTTATGATGGGAAAATATTATATATGGAATAGCAGCCCCAGTATTCCTGGGGGTGAAGGGAGTAGGAGGGTTTGAAGGGGAGACCTTGAGAAGCCTGAGTGCAGACAGAACTGTTTTTTGTTTTTTTTGTTTTTGTTTTTGTTTTTTTGAGACGGAGTCTTGCTCTGTCGCCCAGGCTGGAGTGCAGTGGCGCGATCTCGGCTCACTGCAAGCTCCGCCTCCTGGGTTCACGCCATTCTCCCGGCTCAGCCTGCCCAGTAGCTGGGACTACAGGCGCCTGCCACCATGACTGGCTAATTTTTTGTATTTTTAGTAGAGACGGGGTTTCACCGTGTTAGCCAGGATGGTCTTGATCTCCTGACCTCATGATCTGCCCGCCTCGGCCTCCCAAAGTGCTGGGATTACAGGGGTGAGCCACCGCGCCTGGCCAAGAACTGTTATCTATCCACCAAACAAAGACTGGAGTTTGTAGTAAAGTTTACTCCACAGAAACGAGGCAAGTAAAGGAGATACTTTTAAATAAGAAAGCATATCTGATGCTCTTCAAATCACATTGCTGAGCACTGTTCCTACATAATCCTTGCCTGGAATCCTCTGGCTCTTCTATAGGGATAAATTAGGATGTTCAGGACAAAAAGCTTTATTATTATTATTATTATTTTTTTTGAGACAGAGTTTTGCTCTTGTTGCCCAGGCTGGAGTGCAATGGCATGATCTTGGCTCATTGCAACCTCCGCTTCCCGGGTTCAAGCGATTCTTGTGCCTCAGCCTCCGGAGTAGCTGGGATTACAGGCATGCGCCACTGCGCCTGGCTAATTTTGTATTTTTTTAGTAGAGACAGGGTTTCTCCATGTTGGTCAGGCTGGTCTCGAACTCCCGATCTCAGATGATCCACCCACCTAGGCCTCCCAAAGTACTGGGATTACAGGCGTGAGCCACCACACCTGGCCTATTATTTATTTGTCTATTTATTTGAGACAGGGTCTCACTCTGTCGCCCAGGCTGGAGTGCAATGGCAAGATCTCGGCCCGCTGCAACCTCCATCTCCTGAGTTCAAGTGATTCTCCTGCCTAGCCTCCTGAGTAGCTGGGAGTATTGGCACGCACCACTACGCCCAAGTAATTTTTGTGTTTTGTTTTTTTTTTTTTTTGAGACAGAGTTTTGCTCTTGTTGCCCAGGCTGGAGTGCAATAGCGCGATCTCGGCTCACCTCAACCTCCGCCTCCCAGGTTCAAGCAATTCTCCTGCCTCAGCCTCCCAAATAGCTGGGATTACAGGGATGTGCCACTGCGCCCAGCTAATTTTGTATTTTTAGTAGAGATGGGGTTTCTCCATGTTGGTCAGGCAAGTCTCGAACTCCTGACATCAAGTGATCCGTTCGCCTTGGCCTCGGCCTCCCATAGTGCTGAGATTACAGGTGTGAGCCATGGCATTCGGCCTAATTTTTGTATTTTTAGTAGAGATGGGGTTTCACCATGTTGGCCAGGCTGGTCTCAAACTTCTGACCTTAAGTGATCCACCTGCCTCGGCCTCCCAAAGTGCTGGGATTACAGGTGGGAGCCACCATTCCTGGCCCCAAAACTTTAATATCTAAACATTCTCTTTTTGCTGGAGGTTCCAGTGAGATCACACCACTGCACTCCAGCCTGGGCAACAGATCAAGACTCTGTCTCAAAAAAAAATTAAAAAATAAGCCGGGCGAGGTGGCTCACGCCTGTGTTGGCAGGCGCCTGTAGTCCCAGCACTTTTAGGAGGCCAAGGCAGGCAGATCATGAGGTCAGGAGATCGAGACCATCCTGGCTAACATGGTAAAACCCCGTCTCTACTAAAAATACAAAAATTAGCTGGGCGTGCTGGCACGTACCTGTATTCCCAGCTACTTGGGAGGCTGAGGCAGGAGAATTGCTTGAACCCAGGAGGTGGAGGTTGAAGTGAGCTGAGATCGCGCCACTGCACTCTAGCCTGACGACAGAGCGAGACTCTGTCTCAAAAACAAAACAAAACAAAACAAAACAAAAATTAACTAGGTGTGGTGGTGCACACCTGTAATCCAGCTACTTGGGAGGCTAAAGCAGGAGAATTGCTTGAACCCAGGAGGCATAGATTGCAGAGAGCCGAGATCGCACTACTGCACTCCAGCCTGGCGACAGAGTGAGATTCCGTCTCAAAAACAAAAACAAAAACAAAAAAACCCCAGAAAATTTATATACTCTTAAGTATATATATATATATATATATAGACTATATATAGAGAGGGTCCTAAATTGGTTGTCTCCTCCACTAGAAGGCAATCTTCATAAGTAAAGGCACTTGGTTCATTTTGTTCACTGTTGCATTTGCATCATATAGAATAGTTCCTGGCATAGGTCCTTAGTAAATATTTGCAGAATGAATCACGAATTAAGAGCTCTGTAGATTGGATGTCTATAGCTTTTGCACAGCCTTAGCTTCTCTGCAAATACTAAGAGTCAGATAGCCCCATGCACCAGGGGACCAGAGGTTGGGAGACTACTGGGTGAGTGCAAAAGTGGAGCACGTGGAGAAAAGGCTGCAAGGACAATGAAGGCCAATTGCAAGCTAATATGTTAGTCTGTCATTGTTTCATGGATCCTGGCAATAGTCATGACACTCCTTGGTCAGAGACAGAGGAATTTATTATTCATGGCACAGCAAATAGCATGTGTCAGCCTATTTGCAATGGTTTCCCTTGCCCTCAAATTCTAATGGGGCAACCCAATGAGCCCAGATGACATATGTATCTGCAGTGGTTTGCATTACAGGAGAGGAATCCTGGGCCAAGGGCTTAGCACTTTTTGAGCAAGCAGCAAATGAGCCAATCCCCACTCCCTCTAGGGAGCAAGCAGTTACAGGTAATTACAGTAGTTGCCTTGGCCTAGTTATATCTGTGTGAGTAGCTATAGACATTGCTCAGTATCAGGAGCCTGAAAGTCTTATGGATTGGCCTACTCAGCAAGAGAGTGCAGGCATGTTCAGGGCCCATGGTGGAGTGCCCTCTCAGCACAAGGCAGCTGAGTTATCAGCGAAGGAGGATGACATTGAATGTTGCCAGCTTGACACATGCTCACTAGACTCCAAATCCTAGCTAAGAGAAGCATTTAGCAGATACAATATTCAACCTTCCGCAGGCATCATTCAGCACACAGGTTTGAATGATCAAATTGCGGAGAAGTGTGGAAAGTAAAGAGTCTGGCCCAGCATAGTGGCTCATGCCTGTAATCTCAGCAATCTGGGAGGCTGAGATGGGAGGATCACCTGAGGTCAGAAGTTTGAGACCAGCCTAGGCAACATAATAAGACCCCATCTCTATAAAAAATACAAAAATTAGCCCACCTATTCGGGAGGCTGAGGTGGGAGGACAGCTTGCGCCTGGGAGGTTGACGCTGCACTGAGCTATGACGGCGCCACTGCACTCCAGCCTGGGCGACAGAGCAAGACACTGTCGAAAGAAAGAAAAGGAAAGAAAGGAAGAAAGAGGGAAAGAAAGAAAGGGAAAGACAGAGAGAAACAAGAAAGAAAGAAAGAAAGAAAGAAAGAAAGAAAGAAAGAAAGAAAGAAAGAAAGAGAAAAGAGAGAGAAAGGAAAGAAAGAAAAGAAAGAAGAAAGAAAGAAAGAAAGAGGGAAATAAAGCGAAAGAAAAACAAAGAAAAAGGAGGGAGGGAGGGAAGGAAGGAAAGAAGAAAGAACTTCATAGAGGTTGCTTGCCGTAGTAAAAAATGTACTATATGGCAGAGTTGTGTGGCAAAGCTTACAATGACTCTAGGGCTTTGCATCAGTCATGAATGGCTACCAAGGGAAAATTGAGATGTCCTCAACCGTGGCCTTACCCCTGCAGCCTTTCGACATGATAAGAGTGCCCAGTCCTGGGGATAGAAGGCTGGGTTTCTGTCTAGCTCTACTGCTAACATGTTCTGGAACTTCGAGGCAATCTTTTAAGTTTATTGGACAGAATTATCCCTGGATTAGGATAATTCTGGCTGCAGCTGCCTATGTGTGATTTATTATTCCTTTTAGGACTTCTTGGTTCACACTGATATGATTCTGTCTGATAAAAATAGTGCTG